>NC_000018.10:13310549-13610599 GCF_000001405.40 Homo sapiens
GGGCTTTGTGGATGCTGCTGGGGGTATGGAGCAGGCAGTGACAGCTGCCTGGACCCCTACCCGCCCCTTCACCTCCTCTTCCTCCCTCAGTCTTGACCTTAGCTCCTTCCCAGGAACCTGAGGGTTCTGAGTCACTCACTGTTTGCATCTGGAATAACAGCTTCCAGGTGGGTTTTGAGCATCAGTTTGGTTGTGTGCTTTGTCATGTTTTGGCTTATCTCATTTACTGTAGATCATCTGAGATTAAATCCATAAATTAATGTATTTATTTTTCCTTATTCTTATATTTTACTTGAGAAATTTTGCAGAGTCAGACTTTTGCTAAGGAGATGATTTGACATGTTGGAAAGATGCAGATTCTGGATCCAGAGAGACGTAAGTTCAATCCCTGTTACATCCGCTAGCATTTCTGTAGCCTTAGGTATATTACATAACTCACAGAGTCTCAGCTCCCTCCTCTGTAAAATGCAGAAAGTGATACCTCCCTCAAAGGGCAGATAAAGGATAAGGGCAAATAAAAACTCTATTGTTGGGGAAGACAGAGGATGGATATGGCCTTTCCTATCTTATATTTCAGATCCATTCATTCATCTGTCCATTCAGCTGTTGAGTCCATGAGAGCTTACTGGGTGCTTCTGAGTACCAGGACATGTAATGGGTGGGACACAAACACAAATAAGACCCCATCCCACCCTCAAAAAGCCAGACAGGGACTGACTTCAGTCTTTGTCAGGGGTGGATGGTGGGTGCAACAGAGCCCACTCAGGCCTCCTGGCACCTGCCTACCGATCCACCCTCATGTGAAAGAGTCTTTGTGCATCCTGGTGGCGGTGTTGCGGGTGGCAGGAAGCTCTGATGGCCCTCCGGGCTTGGCTTCTGCCACACTCCCAGGGACTGCTAAGGAGTCGCTTTCCAGCCGTGGGTGACACTGCTGGACACCTCTCAGAGTGTCCTCTGAGGATGAGTGTCATCCTCAGAACGCCGGCCACACTGGGCAATGTTTCCAGCTGGTTGTCGCCATGTTCTCAGGGGATATTTCGTAGAGGTCTTTAAATGCTAAAGCATTGGGCATTGTGACAGCTGGCGATGCTGCTGGCACTGTGCTCTTGAGGGAAGGCGGGCCTGGATGTGGAGGGTATGCCCAAAGGCCTGAGTCCGGAAAGGAGTTCTGCATTTCCATGCCGCCTGTGGCTCACCTGGAAAATAAAAACCTGTAGGAATAGTTACAGGCTGAGCATCACTAAGCTGAGAATCTGAAATCCCAAACACCCTCAAATCTGAAACTTTTTTTTTTTTTTTTGAGACGGAGTCTTGCTCTGTTGCCCAGGCTGGAGTGCAGTGGTGCGATCTTGGCTCACTGCAAGCCTCCCCTCCCGGGTTCACGCCATTCTCCTGCCTCAGCCTCCCGAGTAGCTGGGACTACAGGCGCCCACCACCACACCCGGCTATTTTTTCTTTTGTATTTTTAGTAGAGACGGGGTTTCACCGTGTTAGCCAGGATGGTTTTGATCTCCTGACCTCAAGATCCGCCCGCCTCGGCCTCCCAAAGTGCTAGGATTACAGGCATGAGCCACCGTGCCCGGCCAAATCTGAAACTTTTTGAGTGCTGACTGCAAGTGGAGAATTCCACAGCTGACCATGGTGCCGGGTGGCAGTTTAAACTTCATTTCATGCACACAATCATTAATAATATTGTATAAAATTATATGTGTAAGGTGTATGTGAAACATAAATGAATTTTCTGTTTAGGCTTCTGCCTCATCCTGAAGATATCTCATTATGTACATGCAGATATTCCAAAATCTGAAAAAATCCAAAATTCAAAATGCTTCTTGTCCCAAGCATTTCAAATAATGATATTCAACCTGTATATACTTAAAGGACCACAGGAAGGCATCATTAACAAAACAAGTTGAGGGCCAGGCGCAGTGGCTCACACATCAAAACTTCAGGATGCTAAGGCGGGAGTACCACTTGAGGCCAGGAGTTTGAGATCAGCCTGGGTAACATAAAGAGACCCCATCCCTACAAAATGTACAGAAATTAGCCTGGTATGATGACATGTGTCTGTAGTCCTAGCTACTGAGGAGGCTGAGGCAGAAGGATTGCTTGAGTCTAGAAGTTCCAGACTGTAGTGAGCTGTGATCGCACCACCGCACTCCAGCCTGGGCAACAGAGTGAGATCCTGTCTATAAAAAAAAGGAAAGAAACAAAAATACACACAAAACTGAGTTCAAGGTTAAATATAATACTACGCATTTTTCCTCTTGAAAGTATATGAATGAGATACCTTAAATAATCATAGCGAAACCACTTGGGAAAACTCTTCCTAAGCTTCAGTTGCATTATATGTTCTCTGTGATGTTTTCTGACCCACCTGGACTTTGAAAAGATGGTAAAATATTGTAAAAATAACACGGCTCTGTTTGTGCGTGCTTTCCATTTTTCTTCTTTACCTTTTGCCTGGTCACTGACTTCGTTAAGGGGAGGATGGGCTGCTGTGCGTGCTGTGTGGCTTGATGTTTGTAAGGATTTTTGCAGGTCACATGCTAAAGAGGGTCCCACACTTCATAGAATTTTGGGCGGCTAGAAGGATCTGTTATTTGTACGTGTTCTGTTATCTCTAGTCTTTGGAAAGAAGGGCAGGCTTGCAAACTTTTTGTGTCCTTATTTGCAGAGTCCTATTTGAGTTGGCGTTGTGCACGTGACCTATGCCTGACCTGCTTGGATTAGGACGCCAGCCTAGGTTAGCCCCATGGCAGAGGCTGAGGTGTTATTCCCTAGCTCTGACTGCAAGAAACCAATTCCTTCCCCACAGCCCACTCACACAGAGCACACTAAGTTTTCCCATACCTTGGCTGTGTAGACAAGGGCTTCAAGAACCATTCAGACGTGCCCTTGAACACTTCTTCCTGTTGCAAGAGCGTGCAAGCTTGAGTCGTTTTTATCTCTGGTGAACCCGGTTTCCCGTGGTAAACAGTTGTTTTAAGCACTAGCCCACAACCCAGAGCTTCAGAACTGCCTTCCCCCGCCACCGTCCCCCGCACGGGGAACTCAAGTTAGGCTTCTTGGCCCTTACGTGTGGATGTCATTTGAACAAGAACGTTTTGCACCTATTGATGTACTGCGTTTAATTGTACTTAGCTGTTTTCTTAGATCTTTTTCTCTGTGAAATCATAGGGACTTTGAGGACAGTGACGGTTTCTGCCTTTGTTCCCTACACCTGCAAAACATGTACCTGTGCCTTGTGAAAATCCAGCCAACAGCCGTGTGCGGGGGGGTGCCCACGCATCTCCTTGATGACATATTTTAGCGTTTGGATTAAGGAGAGTAGTTTGTTTGGTTTTTATTTTTATTTTTATTTTTTGCAGTTTATGTGTTGTGATGTCAGAAAGAGAGGGAAGTAGAAGAAAGCATTATTATTTTATTGCAATTAGATGTGACCGCAACACATTTTTCCCTGATCTCAGCACATGCCTTACTGATACTGCGTGAAGAGATTTAGTGCAGCCAGTGTTTAAATATCGGTTTCTAAATGGTTGGTATCAGGTGAAGAAGCAACACCTTCAAGTAATTTTGGTAATGAGTTTGGCAATCAGTGGGGCCCGAGGGGAGATAACTTAGTACGATTTATGGTGATTTTGGCATGTTTCCTAATGGCTCTGGATTTCTCAGTTACAAAGTGGTAAATCAGAAAGGAGACTTTAAAAGAGGCAATTTTGTTCTGATTTAGTGGAATATTTTACAAATAAGAAGTAACAAAGTTCTGTGAGTTATTTTCTGGAAAAATTGTGACTTATGTTTTTAGATTGTTAACTTGTGTCAAATAATTTATTGAAAAAGCGATTTCTTAATGTTAACATTTTTCTGTGATGTGGCTGCATGTACAGGCACACCTTGGAGATGTTGTGGAATACCCTGTAGACCGACATTCCCACGCAGTGATCTTGAAAAGCTGGACAGAGTACAAAAGAAAGGTGGCCAACACTGGAGGGACCAGGTCCTGAAGAGGAGGGAAGCTCATGGGCTGAACGCAGTGTTCTGTGATGCTTTTCCTCTTGAGATGTTTGCTGGCTCATAAGGGGCATGGAGCTGGATAGGTGAAGAACAAAACAGAAAGTGGTGTCCAGAAAACTAGGACCATGCATGGAGCTTGTGGCAGTCTTGTAGGGCTGGGAGACAAAACGTAGAGTTTTAGCTACAAAGGCTGTGTGAGTGTAAGAGACCGAGATCCTGGGGAGAAGGGAAAATATTAAGGTGAGCCTAGTAATCTGCACTTGTGTTCTCCTCAAGGCATTTGCTGATGTGTTAGCTCAGAGGCTATGAGAAGGGAAAGCTATTATTATTATTGTTGTTGTTGTTGTAGAGATGTTCTCGTACGTTGCCCAGGCTGGCCTCAAGGGATCCTCCTGCCTTGGCCTTCCAGAATGCTGGGATAACAGATGAGAATTACCACACCCAGCCAGAAGGCTATTCTTAAAGACTAGGGGAACCAAAACTTGGAGTTCAGGGCATGCCAAGGAGGAGGAGCCCTGGAAAGCACCTAGACTTCCTGTTAGGTCCTGACCCCAACCTAGGAATAAGAGTAAACCTGAAATAGTTTAGCCTTCACAAAAGACCGGGACTCAGCCTTGAACCCACTCAGTTCAGAGAGGATTATGGCACCCTGCCCTGCTCTGCCTGCCAGAAACCAGAGTCAGCGCTCTCTGAAGGATGATAACATTGGCCAGGGCCTCCAGTTCTCCTGTTAGTTTGTAATACACAGTGTTTGGTTTTCAATAAAAAATTAAGGTCCAAATGATTAAAAGATGAAGGAGAAAGAGTAAAAGCCAACAATGGAAACAGCAACAGGTGATGTAGTTTTTGGACTAATGAGATACAGATTTTAAAAGCATCATCATTAATATATTCAAGAAAGTAGAGGACAAGATGGAGAATTGCACAAATAAAATGGAATGTATAGGCCAGGCGTGGTGGCTCACACCAGCACTTTGGGAGGCCGAGGCGGGAGGATCACCTGAGGTCGGGAGTTCAAGACCAGCCTGACCAACATGGAGAAACTCCATCTCTACTAAAAATACAAAATTAGCCAGGTGTGGTGGCACACGTCTGTAATCCCAGCTACTTGGGAGGCTGAGGCAGGAGAATGGCTTGAACCTGGGAGTTGGAGGTTGTGGTGAGCTGAGATCATGCCATTGCACTCCAGCCTGGGCAACAAGAGTGAAACTCCGTCTAAAAAAAAAAAAAAAAAAGAATGTATAAAACTGGACTTAAATGGAAATTCTGGGAATGAAAAATACAATAAATGAAATGAAGAATTAAATATAAATTGGATAGCAGATTGCACATAGGAGAGTGAACTCTGCACTGTAGATTGACAGAAAATATCCAGAGTGAGGCATAGAGAAGAAAAGAATGAAAAAATAGAGGAAAGAGCATGAGAGCCACGGAGATGTGGAGAAAAGGCCCAGCGTGCAAAGGTGAGGGACGGTGAGAGGAGAGAGATGGGGGTGCCAGCAGGATTTGAAGTGATACTGGCTGAGAAGTATCCCAAACTCTGTCAGACATGAAGCCATAAATTCAAGAAACTTTACAAACTCCAAACATGGCAAATACACAGAGAACCACACCTGACATGTCACTGCAAAACTAGAACACAAGGCAATGTGGAAATGTAGATGGAGCTGGAGGTGCATCTGAGTGAAAGGACAGCTCTACGGCTGACAGCTGACTTTTCCACAGAGATCATAGAAATCAGATGACGATGAAATGACAGTCTTTAAAGTGGAGAAAGTAACTCTTTTCCTAGAATTCTATTCAAAAATGAAGGCCACCAAAGGGCATTTTCAGACAAACGGAATCAGACAGAACTTGTCACCAGAAGAACTATAGTAGAAGAAATTATTAGGGAAATTCTTCAGGCGGAAGGATAAAGGGTCCTGATGGAAGCATGGGAATGTAGGAGGGAATGCAGAGCCACGTAAACAGCAAAGCCACGGGTGGTTCTGAGTGGACAGCGACTACCTGTCACCAGCAAGTCACAGCAGTGCCTTGTGGGGTGTGATGTGCAGGCAGAATTAAAACACATGATGGTAACAGCCTTGAGGGTGGACGTGGAGGGTGGGTGCTGCTGTTGTTAGGGAAGCTGTTGGAGAACTAATTTCTCTTGGGAACTAGTGAGTTAGGACACATGTTACAATCTCCAAAGTAACCACTAAAATACTAATAATGCATGATGCATGTGGTGACAGAGGAGGGAAAACTGAACCGATAAGAAGTACTCAGTGAATCCAAAAGAAAGTAAGAAGGGAGAGATGTACAAACCAAACAGATGGGATAAATAGAAAACAGATAGCAACATGGTCAGTTTTCACTCAAACACTTCATAATTACATAAAATGCAACTGAACTAAATATGCCAGTTAATACCGAGATTGTCAAACTGAATATTTAAAAAATTGCTGCTTACGATAGACGTGCTTAGATGAAGGAATCCAGAAGGCACGATAGTGAAAGGAGGGAGAAGGATGCCCGGTGCACACACTAGCCATAAGGAAGCTGGTGCACCAATGTCAGGTGAAGCAGACATCAAAGCATCGGGCATTGCCAAAGATAGCAGCTTCTCACAGTGGTAACAGGTGAATTCCCAAGGATGATAGTTTACTGTAAAGGCAGGGTCTATAGCCACAAAAAAGATATTTCTTAAATTGCCCCTACACGTATCCTAAGCTCTCAGGGATAGCTTCAACCTGTAGAGACTCCCAGTTTCTTTAGCCCGAAGCCTAAGGTACACATCCCCAAAGCAATTTGGATGGAAGATCCTGACCTGCTCAGCTATTCAGATGATTTTTTTACTGAAAGAGTATTTCATTTTTGTCTCAATTCATTTTGATGGACTTACAGATAAGATTTCTTCACTAGAAGGCATTCATCACTTAAAAAATTAATATTTGAAATTGGTTATCCTTTATCTTTTTAATAAATTGAACAATTAGGATTGGTAGAACAATGGTACACCTGTCTATTTTCCGTGGGTGCCACTGGGAAGACCTTACAGTATTGTTGAAGTGTATCTGTTGAACCTGGCAACATTCAAGGCAGGCTGAGTTAAAGAAAGCACGTCACAAGACAGTATGTGCACTGTGATCCCACTTCAGTTAAAAATGTGTATGTTTATATTCATATAGAGAAAAGTCTGGAAGAATAACCCAAAATATAAGTAATGTTTCTGTCTGAGTGGTGGGATTATGGGTGATTTTATCTTCTCTGTTTATTTCTATTTTTGTATTTTCTCCAATGAACGTTTGTTACTCCTATAATAAAAATAAAAGCCATTTAAGAAAAAATTTTTTATCATATGACACCAACTGTTTCTACTAGAGGAATCTATGTCTTCTTTTAATCTTTATCAGTGTACACAGTTGAATTTCACATTATGTTAAATATTTGTCTCTCTGTGTCATCTGGAATAGAATTTTCTGCATTACCGTGTGGTTGAGTATACATCTGCCACTCGTCCGGTCCCTCGCTTCCTGTCCTTGTGAAGTCACTGTTCCCTGAGTGTTGTCAGCACTGGGAGGGTTCAGCGCAGGGGTCCCTTCAAGGCAGGACCGCTCACCTGGAGCTTCCGGCTTTCCCTGCGCACCACTGCCTCCTTCCCCTGCTGCCTGTGGCCATCGCTGATTTCTGGGGATGGAGCTTTAATTCATAGTGAAATCTTTTTTTTTTTTGAGACAGAGTCTCCCTCTGTCGCCCAGGCTGGAGTGCGGTGGCATGATCTCAGTTCACTGCAACCTCCGCCTCCCGAGTTCAAGCGATTCTCGTGCCTCAGCCTCCTGAGTAGCTGGGACTACAGGTGCATGCCACCACACCCGGCTAATTTTTGTATTTTTAGTAGAGACGGGGTTTTACCATACTGGTCAGGCTGGTCTCGAATTCCTGACCTCAGGAGATTTACCTGCCTTAGCCTCCCAAAATGCTGGGATTCATAGTGAATCTTAAGTGTGACCTCATAAAATAGAATAAATGCCCATCCATAAGACTAAAATTTCTTGTGTTTTTCTCCTTCTGAGTTTAAAATGGCACTGGATGACAAATGGAAAGCTTGATGCTGCTCTTAATGTGCCGCTAGGCATTCCGGGGATTTCAAAGCCAGTGGACGGGAGGTGGCCTCTGCCAGTGTCTGTCTGGTGTCTGTCTGTGTCACTGTGGTGCTGCCTGGGCCACAGACCTAGGCAGGACCCTGGGTGATGGAGCTCCTGTCTGGTGGGTGTGTGTGGGCAGTGCTGTTCCTGTCCACGTTAGAAAAGCCCTCTTACTTTACACTGAGTCATGCTCCCTCTCCACCACGGACCGCAGTCCCCTTCCCTAGTGACTCGCTGTCCCCTTCCTTTGTTGCGCAGCTTTCTGGCTTTAAATGAGGAGAGCTTAAGAATGGATGGGGAGCTCAGCACTCACAGTAACTGTTGGTGAACTCAGGGCCTGCTACGTCTGGAACACATCAAGCCATTTAGTGGGTGAGGTCATTCACTGTTTTTAAATGCTGCTGCAGCTCTTATTTCTCATGAAGCCCTTTATACCTATTAAATACTTCATAGTATTGATTAACTTAGCTGCTGCTCCTCTCTGTCATGGCACCTTTTGCTCATGTGGACTTTATGGTGCAGAAACACGAATCGATTGTCGTAATGAACAACACCCCTCTGAAGTGGCCACGGCGGGTATGATTCGTCCCAGTTCACGGGCGAGTAACAGAGGTGCGCAGTGGCGGGGCAGCTGGCCCAGGTCGTGCAGCTGCTGTGCGTGAGCCAGCTCGCTCCTGAGTTTCCTTTTGTTTGACAGCATTTTGTTTACAGACACCACACCAATCCTTGGTCTTGGATACATCAGAAAAGTTGGAGTTCTAGAGGTGGGTGGAGGCAGGACTTGTACCCTCTCCCTGCAGCAAAGACAAATTCATTAAGCATTTGGAACACTTGTTAAGTTCAGTTTGTCTCTCTCTAAAAGTTATCACTAGATGACTCTCTCATTTTTGTGTGTGCGTGTTTTAGATTTGCCTGTAACTTACGACCAGGGATACTGGCTTTCTATTTATGGTAGTAATAGCAGTTCTCCTTTTAAATAAACTTATTTTCAGCCAAAAGAGTGATTAGGTCTATCAAAAAATGATAAGGAAATAAACAGTACAGATCGTCTATATTTATGGCAAAAACCATGAAAAGGGCATTCCAGGGGCTGAATTTTGGAAACCCCGCATGAGATGACCTTTGAGGTCAATATTTCCGGGAACAGTTGCCTCATAGCTCTGAGACTTACGATTTAAAGCTCAGGTCATGAGACATTACTTGAGGCCACTATGTCTCATTTCTATTATAATTTTTATAATAAATGATTCCTTGACTGATATACCCAAGGGAAGAAAGGATGAAAAACCAAAACCAAAAAACTATGTGTGGCCTATTCACAGAGTATAAAAAATTATGTTTTGAGTTGAAAACAGTGTTGTCTGCATTGTTGCAGGAATCATAGTTGACTCCATCCTGAGATTTCAACTTTAGGATGAGATAACATATTTTATTGCATATCTGATCATAAGATCTTCTGTAGTTTTATACATCGTTTCTGTTTACAAGAGAGAATGCTGCGCCTCTGAGGGAAAAGAATCATTCGCAAGTCTTTTAGCTGCATCTCTGACTTGGCGAATCCTGCTTTCAAGATTGCATTAGTCGTATTAGGTGACTGACACTGTGAAGTCCTGTGTTGACGTAATCTGTTGCCTTTTCTTTATTTTTACGTTTCCGCTGCCTCTCATCTAGGAAGGAGCCTTATGAATGAACACATTGAAAAGTCATCCTTTAATTGAGGGAAGAGACTACTTTTAACCCTGTCTGAGCCTGCTGCTCTCCCCCTGGGACTGCAGTGACCAGTGCTCTCAAACTGCTTGGCATAATTCCTTATGGAAGAGTGAATCCCCTCTGATAGAGGGTAATCCTGACTTTGTTTGAATTCTTCCAGTAACAGAGAGCTCAGCCTGTAAGAAGGTGGCCCAAGTTGCTTTCTGGACACTTGTAGTTTTAGAAGCATCTTCTGTCCTGTGACGGTGAGGAAGGTCACTGCAGTCCCCAACAGTGAGGCTCAGCACAGGCTGTGGGAATCCCGCTGCCAGGTGCAATGGCAGGGTGGAGCCGGGGAGCAATGGGGCAACTCTACGTTTGAGTAACGTGTGACGTGTTGACCTCATTGTTCCCTGAGTGTCACAAATGCCCATGGCATCTGGTAGACCGTGTTCAAGTTTAATTCAGGAGTTCAAAGCCTAACAGGATTGTTGTCATTCCCTCCCAGTGGGACCCTCCAGAAGGTGGCTCCTCTCCGTGACTGGACATAACAAGCCACGCCTGTGTCTGCAGGTGGGGAAAAGTAAATTGGAGGCCAGGCATGAATGCACTGTTTCAGTGAGCCCTAGTGAGTTCAGTGTGGAGAGCGTAGTTGGAGATACTTGGTTTTGCAGCTCCCCCGCCCTCTTGTGTTGATGAAGGCAGCAAGCAGAGGTGGTTAACTTCGGCCCGAGCATGCTGCAGGACTCCGAGAGACTGGCTCCCTGGGTCTTCTCTGGCCCAGCAGACAGGCTGCCTGCTGCAGACAGGCCGGTCTCCTGCCCCTACCCGCCGTCTGCACACTCAGCCCTGCATCTCCCCCAGAGGCCTATGCGCGGTTTGGCTGCCCGGCCAGGTTCCTCCTGAACATTATGAGTCTGTGATTTCAGATGTAGCTGCAAACGTTTCCAAAGCCTATCTCTGGGCCTATCGCCGTGTGATGTTTTAAAACCATAGTTTATTTGGCTTTTTGTGGCTATTTAATTCTCTTCGGGACTCATTCATCTCCCTCAAATTTTAAGTGGTTGTTTACAGCTCTGAATTATTTTCTTTGTGTCCTCTTGTTTCTAGTCTTTCCCATTCAATTTTACAGCTATCAGGTTTGGATAATTAGAATGGAGATTCTTCTTCCAAAAATAAGGTATTAAGAATAAACACACAAGGCTGGGCGTGGTGACTCACGCCTGTAATCCCAGCACTTTGGGAGGTCGAGGCGGGTGGATCACCTGAGATCAGGAGTTTGACCTGGCCAACATGGTGAAACCCCATCTCTACTAAAAATGCAAAAATTAGCCGTTGTGTGGTGATGTGTGCCTGTAATTTCAGCTGCTCGGGAGGCTGAGGCAGGACAATTGCTGGAACCAGGGAGGCAGAGGTTGCAGTGAGCCGAGATCGCGCCATTGCACTCCAGCCCAGGCAACAACAGCGAGACTCCGTCTCAAAAAAAAAAAAAAAAAAAAAAAAAAAAAAAAAAAAAAAAAGAAAAGAAAAAGAATAAAAAGAATAAACACACAGACTTAAAAATCTTTATTTGTGCAGAAAGCAATTGAAAGCCAGAATAATTATATTTAGAATTTTTTTTTTACAAAAAACTAGCAATGCTTGTTCTTTTTATTGAAACACAGAAAATATTAATTCACAGCATAGAAAACTTTATCCTAAGAAAAAAAATCTAGTGGTGATCTCATCAGAGTCTATGTTGTATTGCGACACACTTAACATAATTTGAAAATTACTTCTTTGTGAAAAATTGTCTACATTATCCCTTCTTAATTTTTTTATGTAAGGACTTTTACTTCACAGCTGATTTTTAAAATGGCTCTCACTTCTTTATTTCTATTATTTATTTAAGCCAGTCACTTTTCTCACTTTTTTTTTTTTTTTTTTTTTGGTTTTGAGACAGAGTCTTGCTCTGTCTCCCAGGCTGGAGCGCAGTGGCGCAATCTTGGCTCACTGCAACCTCCACCTCCCGGGTTCAAGTGATTCTCCCAACTCAGCCTCCCCAGTAGATGAGACTACAGGAGTGTACCACGACGCCCAGCTAATTTTTGTATTTTTAGTAGAGATGGGATTTTGCCATATTGGCCAGGCTGGTCTAAAACTCCTGACCTCAGGTGATCCACCTGCCTCAGCCTCCCAAAGTGCCTCCCAAAGTGGCGTGAGCCACTACACCTCGCCTGTCATCCATGTTTCTTTTCTTTTTCTTATTTTTTTGAGACGGAGTATCGCTCTGTCACCCAGGCTGGAGTGCAGTGGCGCGATCTCAGCTCACTGCAACCTCTGCCTCCCGAGTTCAAAAAATTCTCCCACCTCAGCCTCCCCAGTAGCTGGGACTACAGGTATACACCACCATACATGGCTAATTTTTTTTTTTTTTTTTTTTGATGGAGACGGGATTTTACCATGTTGGCCAGGCTGGTCTCTAACTCCTGTCCTCAGGTGATCCACCTGTCTCGGCCTCCCAAATTGCTGGCATTACAGGCGTGAGCCACTGCACCAGGCCATATTTCTCACTTTTTTGTACTCGGCTGTACCCCTTACAGATGGATAATGTAAATTTGTGTCACACAAACGCTTTGACTCAATTTTCTTTTTCTTCACAAATAGTTACAAAATTGGTAGCAGCATCTCTCTGGATTTCTACTTTTATGAAGCTTGCTCAGGGAGAAGCAGGTGGGAAGAGGAGTAGTAGAAAGAAAACCACGTCCTTCTCACTCCACAGAAAAAGCTTTTGTTTTTTAGAAATTTGCCTTTTAAAAGATAGGTCTTTATCCATTTCACTTTTCTGCATACATTTCTTTTTGTAGACACAGGATCTTGCTTTGTGCCTTGGCCTCCCAAGTAGCTGGAGCTATGGGCGCCGCCACTGCGCCTGGCTGCAGCATGTCACGCATTTGCTTTCACCAGGGATGCCCCTTTTTATCCTCAGTTCCTGAAAGTGAGCTCTCGTGCTGTGAAAATGGCAGGACTGGTAATTAGGAGAGGGCTGGATGTGGGAAAAGGAATGAGGATAGTTTTTGCGTCCTGAGCTGGAAATAGCAAATGTGTTCACATTCTTTGCTCTTTTCTTGCTTCCAAGTCAGGTCCTTATTTGACAGGGCCGTGACTCAAGTGAGGTGCCACGTTTAAGGAGGCGCCAAACTCCAAACAAAACAAAACACCCCTCAGTAACTGAGTTAAATAATACTTTAATGTAATATTAAAAGTATGGAAATTATGACAGATGTGCGTGATGAACAAAGTATTCAGCATATGGGACTGTGACTATTGTTCAATATATATAAGGTATAAGGATTTCCAGTGAATACTCTGAAATGTTTGGTTAATCTATTCATATTGGTATTTTTCCTTGGTGAACATTTGTAATAAAGAAGGAAATAAGTTCAGAGAAGGATATAATCTTCAAAAAGTCATCAGAGTTATCATCTGAGGTCAGGAGTTTGAGAGCAGCCTGGGCAACATGGTGAAACTCCGTCTCTACTAAAAGTATAAAAATTAGCCGGGTGTGGTGTCACTGCCTCTAGTCCCAGCTACTTGGGAGGCTGAGGCAGGAGAATCGCTTGAACCTGGGAGGCAGAGGTTGCAGTGAGCCAAGATCGTGCCGCTGCACTCCATCCTGGGCAAGAGTGAGAAAAGAAAGTCATCAGGATTAGCATACCAAATCTTGACGATGAATTACACGTGCGTGGCTCCATTAACCATCTTGAGTTCAAGTGTCTATTTTTTTTTTTTTTGAGACGGAGTCTCGCTCTGTCGCCCAGGCTGAAGTGCAGTGGCACGATCTCGGCTCACTGCAAGCTCCGCCTCCCGGGTTCACACCATTCTCCTGCCTCAGCCTCCCCAGTAGCTGGGACTACAGGTGCCTGCCACCACACCTGGCTAATTTTTCGTATTTTTTTTTTAGTAGAGATGGGGTTTTACCATGTTAGCCAGTATGGTCTCCATCTCCTGACTTTGTGATCCGCCTGCCTTGGCCTCCCAAAGTGCTGGGATTACAGGCATGAGCCACCGCGCCTGGCCTCAAGTGTCTATTTTTTGACAAGGTTCTGAAATTACGAACTCTCTGAGTATGTCCCGAGGACCTTCTATGCGCAGAGAACAGTGGCAGAACGGGGAAGAGGGAGAAGCGGCCTGTGGGTTTATTAGCTGGTGGCTTCTCGCAGGAGCACGTTGACTCTGAGGCCAGGCATCCGGGCAGCAGGGGAGGGGCTGGCGTGGGCTGCTGCTGATGATCTGGAACCTCCAGTCCCTGTCTGCTGTAAACAAAAAAGTGTCTGAGACAGGTCTCAATCAATTTAGAGGCTCATTTTGCCAGGGTTGAGGGAAAAAGACACACACGTCACAGTAGGACCCAAAAAGGGTTTCGACAACTTCATTATTTAAAGAGGAAAGAGCAGACAGGAGGGGAAGGTGGAAAGAAAACAGCAGAGGTAGGTGGTGAGGTGAGTGGTCGCATTCTTGTGAGGCTTTGATTTTCGCTCACTGAATACATGTGACATGTGAAAGGAGGGGTAGAGGGACGTCAATTACGCATGCGTCTCTTGTTCAGTAAATCTGCATTTTACACGGGATAAAGTAAACATAGAGTAGAGGAAGAAGTCATGTACACATTTGTCTCAGGGCGGCAGAGGGATGATTTCTGGTCTTGTCTTTGTGCCATGCCTGCCAAGATGAGCTGTTAACTTACATTGTTAGGGTGAAGGAGGCCTCCTGGGGAGACACGTGGCCTTCTATCTTGCAGCAATCTGTATAGGAATAAAAGGAAAGTCAGCTTTTTGCATCCAGCTTAACTTTTCCCTTTGGCATAGTGAGTTCGGGGTCCCAGGATTTTATTTTCCTTTCACATTTTGAAGTGACACTTGCAGTCGTGGCTATGGACTTCTCAGGGAGGCCAACAGCAGAGCTTTGATCCCTCAAGGAAGACGCAGAGTAGGATTTCAAGAGGTGGAGATGCAGAGTGCACTAAGCCTTTGAGACGGCTCCAACCAGAGTTCTGCCCAGTCCACTCCCTTGGTGGAAAACCAGCTCCCAGACCCACCTGGCACCACACACACCTCCCCTCGCTGCCCGGCCTGACTCCATGACTTGCAGTCCGCCCACCCCCTTTAAAGGGAGTTTTGGGGCCACTCCCTCTCCTTGCTTCCTGTGGACTCCTCAGCTGCTCAGTGCCTCCTCTACTCTCCCTCTCCGCGTGGGCAACGCTGAAGGCCCTTTCCAGGCCGATCCCGGCACTCAGCTTCGCTGCGCACCCGCCCGTCTCGGAACTGCTGAGTACTCTGGAGCCAACCCCAGTTTCCTCATCTGTAATGTGGGGATGGCAATATAAACTTTTTTCCTTTTTTTTTTTTTGAGACGGAGTCTTGCTCTGTCGCCCAGGCTGGAGTGCAGTGGCGCAATCTCGGCTCATTGCAAGCTCCCCCTCCCGGGTTCACGCCATTCTCCTGCCTCAGCCTCCCGAGTAGCCGGGACTACAGGTGCCCGCCACCGTGCCTGCCACCACGCGGAGCTAATTTTTTTTTGTTTTTTTAGTAGAGACGGGGTTTCACTGTATTAGCCAGGATGTTCTTGATCTCCTGACCTCATGATCCGCTTGCCTCGGCCTCCCAAAGTGCTGGGATTACAGGAGTGAGCCACCACGCCCGGCTGGCAATATAAATTTTATATGGTGACATGTGGCTGATAGCTGAGATGAGTGACTGAGGCAGAGGTCTCAATTGTTGACGTTTATTAAGCCAGCTTTAGGGTGCATCTGGAAAAATACCAGCCACAGACACATCTGTATCTATTTTTCTAAAGAGGTTTTCAGGAGGCTTAGTATTTGTATGTTTCCTTAAAGGGGGGAAGGCTCGGAAGAGGGGCAGGTGGGCTGTAAGGCGAATGATTACATTCTTGTGAGACTCTAGTTAGTGCCAGTAAATCTGCATTTTACATAAGATAAGGTGAATGAATGTTTGAAGAGAAAAAAGGGCGTAAAGGAAGAATCAATTATGCAGATGTCTCTGGGCAGGTGGAGGAATGACTGATCTCATCTTGTCTTTTTTCTGCACCTGGGAAGCGAAGCTTGTAATAGACATGATCAATGTGGAATGGAACAGACTTCAGTTTTAACCTAGAATCAGATTGTAGACGTGAAGTTACAATGAGATGTTCTTGTTTATGGGATGCCAGCAAAGAATTTACTTAGGAATGATCTATGGGGCAACCCTTCCAGACCCCTGAGGCTTTCACTTTTCTGCGGGGTTTGGCTGATGCCTGATGCTCCTAACAGCTGTTCCTGGGGAAGAGGGCATTGCCTGGCTCACCCTCTTGGCTTAACTTTCCCTTTTGCGTAAGGAATTTGGGGGTCCCGAGCTTTTTTTTTTTGTGAGATGGAGTCTCGCTCTGTCACCCAGGCTGGAGTGCAATGGCACGATCTTGGCTCACTGCAAGCTCCGCCTCCCAAGTTCACACCATTCTCCTGCCTCAGCCTCCTGAGTAGTTTCCTTTACATGGTTAAATGAGACCAAGTGCTTACTGAAGTGTAAAATAGCAGGTGCTGACAGGAAAGGCAGACATCTTTTTCTTCTCATTGTCACTGTTACCATCATCAATACGCTACTTCCTTGGCATCTGGGTCTCCCTTTGCTTTGGGAACCCTCCTCTTGTGCTTTCCTAGAAGTCAGTGTCTTGTCCTGGGCTGTTGCTTTTCTGCTTGACTCCCTCTGTGGGCCGTGGACTCTGCGGCAGAGTCCTATCTGCAGGGCTTCTGCATGGTTATCCATTGTCTTCTGAAGAAATGATGATGTTAGTGATGGAGCCACTTTGGTTAGCGTTTTGTTAAGTATGAACTTGTGAATCCTTCCCACAGCTGTGCAATATTATTACCTCCAGGGCACAGCATCTGGACTTTAATTGATGATGAGTGTATGTGGCCCCAAGGGACATGGGGCCTCGAAATTAAGGAAGGAGCTGGAAGTAGTGGACAAGCAGCAGCACCACCACGTGGAAAGGTGAAAAGTTGGATAAGGACTGGCTGAGAAAATGCCATCAGAATAGCAAGAGGGGGTCATTGTTGAAGAGCACAGCTTCAGGCAAGTCTTTGAAATCAAAGCCAGATTTCAAGGAAGTCGGAAGGAGCAGATGGAGAGGAAGTGGAGAGATTTCCATATGGTGCGTGTATTTTTTTTTTTAATTAAGGATTTTGGTGTTAAATGGAAGTGGTACTTGATGGCCTAGCAGGATGAAACAAAGTTTGTTTCTAAAGATAGAGGGACATGGGCTCACTTTTAAAGAGAAAGAAAGTAGGTGGCCATTGAGTTATGAGAGGTTGAGAAGCCGGAGATGGTGGGCCCAGAGACCCACAGAGCAGGCTCTTTGAGAGCAGCAGGTCTTCCTGCTCAGGGCCTTGCTGGTGCTGTCACGAGCCATATCCCCTGGCCTCCTGCTTTGCTTCTGGGCTGTCATCAATCTGTTTTGTGGTGTTCTCTGAGAAATGAAATTAAATCCTAAGCTCCCAGCCAAATGAATGGACCCCCTCTTGGCCAAGGGGCACCCAAAGAAACCTTAGAACTGAGTCCTGGCTGTGACAGGAGGGGAAACACGCCTCATGAGACCCCCACCTCGCTGACCACCATCAGGCTCTCCTCCCTGCGGGCTAGAAGCTCCATACTCATTTCAGCAACGGCCTGATGCTGTCCCTCCCTTTTGTGGTTTTGACCAAACAACTAACCAGCATTCTCTTCCTGATACAAAGCCGCTGACCTTGGAGTGGTTCTGGTGAGTCTACAGAGGAGGCTCAGTGAGGGTTCTTGTGTCCTCTGCTTCACCTTTTGATGTCACATGGCTAAAAACTCCATCCTTGGATCATGCTCATGCCACCATTTTTTAAACATGGGTCCCACAGACAGAGAGGCATGAAGCTCAGTGTGCATGTGCCTGTTTCTCCTTTCATAAATATTCATGACTCCTCCTAGAGCTCATTGAATATGCATATTTGGCAGCCCCATTCAGCATAAATCCCTGTCTTATTCTTCCCACCCTTGAAGTGCCTGTTTCTGGCTTCTGGCCGGAGGCTACACTTCCCAGCCTGTCAGAAGAGCCACCTGCAGGCTGCAGCCCTTTCTGAGAAATAATGCCCTCCTTTCCAAATGCATGAACTTCATCATTCTTCAGCTGATATGTCCTTATCCCATGTAGAAGGAAGGATCTTAGTGTTTATTGAGCGTCAACTTTGTATAAGGCTCTGGGCTATCTTATATGATTGTCACAATAATTTTAGAATATATTAATGTGTTCATTTATACCTTTAATTTTTAAAATTTGCGTTTTTAGTCAAGCAGCTCAAAAAACATATAAAAAGATGTTTATTGAAAAGTTTCCCTCCTATGCCTATTCTCCATCCATCCAGTTCTCCCACTTCCCAATATTTAGTTGTTTTTATTATTTTCTTGTGGACACATTCCAAAATTTTAAGCATATAAAATAAACATAAAAATATTATTTATCTTTTATGTATAAGTTGTGGAGTCTATATACACTGTTTTACACCTTGCTTTGTTTCACTTAAAGTTTACCTTGGAAATCCTCACATATCAGTTCACAGAGAGCAGCCTCATTCTGTTTTACAGTTGCATAGTTTTGACTGGATTGAATGGATACACCAGATTTTTTAACCCTGTGTTGTATAGATAGATGTTTGAGTAGTTTGCAGTCATTATATATTATGTACACATATTTTCCCGCATGTGAAAATGCATTTGTAGGATACATTCCCAGAAGTGAAGTTGCTGGGTTAAGGGTATATTTATTTGCAGTTTTGAGTGATTATTACTGAGGCCCATCTTTAGGCTTGCACCAGTTCACACAATCATCAGCAACATACTAGAGGCCTGTTTCTCTGCATCTTTGCCAACAGAGCATGTTATCAGTTTTTTAAAGGTTTCTGTCAGCCTACTAGGAAAAAAAGTAATAGAGTTATTTTAATTTGCATTTATTTTTATTATGAGTGAGGTTGTCTTTCCACAGGTTTATGAGCTGTTTGTATTTCATTTTCTTTTACTGTCTGGTCTTATTCCTTTCCTCTTTTCTGGCCAGATCATTGGTCATCTTGTAGATGATGTGGTCAAATCTATCAGTCTTTCCTTTTGTGACTTCTGCATTTACAGTTACAGTTAGGGAGCATCTTTCAAAATTATAAAGGAATTCTTCCAGGTATTCTATTACTTTTAGAAAGTCATTTTTTTCAAACAAGACAAAATACCCAAATCGTTTATCTTTGAAATTTATCCTGCTGTGGTATGAGTTACGGATCCAATTTTCTCCCCTAAATGTTACCAATTCCAATATCATTTATTGCCTAATCTGTCTTTTACTCACTGATTTGAAATGCTGCCTTTACCATACACTGAATTTCTGTTTGCATTTGGGTCTAGTTTTAGATTCATTATTCTGATTAATTGGCCTGACTTCTTGTTATTTTAACCATTATTCTTTTAATTAGTCTATTAATTTTTGAGGCTTTCTACATGTATCCTTATCTGATGTAACTTCCACTCCCTCCAATTTTTTTTTTTTTTGAGACAGTCTCACTCTGTTGCCCAGGCTGGAGTGCAGTGGCGCGATCTCCGCTCACTGCAAACTCTGCCTCTCGGGTTCACGCCATTCTCCTGCCTCAGCCTCCTGAGTAGCTGGGACTACAGGCGCCTGCCACCACGCCCGGCTAATTTTTAAAAATATTTTTTAGTAGAGATGGGGTTTCACCATGTTAGCCAGGATGATCTCGAGCTCCTGACCTCGTGATCCACCTGCCTTGGCCTCCCAAAGTGCTGCTGGGATTACAGGTGTGAGCCACTGTGCCTGGCCTCCCCTCCAGTTTTTTTAGTACTACTTTTTTGTTAATTTTTCCACTTTAGCTTTATAATCAAGCTTGTCTAGTTTTCAAAAATGTGGTATTTTTTATTGTGATCATAATACATTATACATTTCAGAGAGTTGGCATCTTCAGGGTGTTGAGTCTTCCTGTCCTAATCCTCGTGTATCTTCTGTTTCTTCAAGTCTTCTTTTGTGTCTGTTGTTTCTGTAGTTGTCTTCAGAAAACTTTATTAATCTTATTGGTGGTTATTCCTGGAAACCTAATCTTTTTTATTGCTACCGTAAATAGGATCTGATTATTTGTAGCCTACAGCAATTATTTGCAAATAGCTATCTGTGATATTATAAAATATGTGTTTGGTCTTCGACCCCTTTTCCTGACATACAACTCTAAAAATCCTTAGAATCTCCACAGTGATGTCTTTTGTATTTTAATGACCGACTGATGGGTGGCAGCCCGTAGATAGCTCCAAGATGGGGCTGGTCACCAGAAAGACCAAGGCATTACTAGAAGATTGGAACCTTCAGCCCACCCCCACCCTCCAGGGAGGGGAGAACAGGTGAAGGTTAAGTTGATCACCAGTGGCCAATGATGTAATCAATTATGACCATATAATGAAGTTTCCATAAAAACCCAAAGGACTGGGGTCCAAGAGCTTCTGGATAGCTAAACACATGGAGGTTCCTGGAGGGCTGCACCCCTGGGGAGGGCATGGAAGCTCCATGTTTCTTCCCCCATACCTATGCATCTCTTCATCTGTATCCTTCCTAATAAATGCTGTATAATAAAGCAGTAAAGGTAAATAAGTGTTTCCTTGAGTTCTGTAAGCTGCTCTAGCTAGTTAAACCCAAGAAGGGGGATGTGGGAATCCCGATTTATAGCTTGTCAGCCAGAAGGACAGGTCACAAGTTGAGGGTAGTCTTGGGGACTGAGCCAACAACCTGTGTGATCTGATGCTGTCTCCAGGTAGGGAGTGTCAGAACTGAGTTGAATTGGAGGACAGTTCACCCAGGGGGTGTCCATGCAGAACTACTTGCTTGGTTGGTGTGTGGGGAAGCCCCCTCCCCACATTTGCTCTCAGAAGACTTCTGTGTTGATTGTTGTGTTGTGAGAGCAGAGGAAAAGTTTGAGTATTTTTCCACACCATGATGTTAAAAGAAAAAGAAAGAAAAAGAAAAAAGAGAAAATAAGCCCTCCAGTTTCTTTCTGTAACTGTTATCTGACCACATTAATTAGTACCTCCAGTGCAGCGTTAAAATACGGTGGTGATGGAAGTATTCATGTTTTCTTCCGAGTTTTGCATCTGGTGTTTATTAAACATGATCAGTGTAACTAATTTTGATAATAAATTTCTAATGTTGAACTATGTTTTCATTTCCTAAATAAACTGCACTTGATTATGTTTTGCCCTTAATGTTGGATTAATCTTGCAATGCTTTATGATTTTTCTACTGACTATAACCATGAACAGTATACTTTTTGTTTGCTCTGTTAGGCTTTAATATCAGTGTCATTTGTACTTCTTGTAACAACTTGGAGGTTTCTCTGTTTCTCTTTTCTAGAGAAGTATAAGTATCTTCGGAATTTTCTTTTATTAAAATAATTTTTATTTAGAGCCAAGATCTTGCTCTCTTGCCCAGACTGGTCTTGAACTCCTGGGCTCAAGTGATCTTCCTGCCTCAGCCTCCCAAGTAGCTGGGACTTCAGGTGTGTGCCATGGCACCTGCCAGATGGCTTTAGAATTGTAAGTGGTAGTTGACTTCTCCAGAGAAACTGTCTTAGCGCTCTTTGCAGGGGGTGGGTAGCCTTTGATAATCTTCTCTATTTCTTCCTGTGGAATTGAGTTCAAATAGCTTGGTACAACAAGTTTTGGTAAATTATACGTTCTTAGAAACTTCATTTTATTCAGAATTTAAAATTTATTTGTAGCAAGGTGAGCAAAACACAAAACATTCTTTTTTGGGTTGAATTTTTTAAAAGTATTTTTTAGAGCAGTTTTAAGTTCACAGCCAAACTGAGCAGACACTACAAAAATTTTCTCATATACCTCTCACCTTTGCATAACCAGCCTCCTCCGCCATCAACATCCCACACCACAGTGGTACATTTGTTACAATTAATGAGCCCATACTGAAACATCATCACTGAAAGTTCATAGTTTATGGTGGAGTTCACTCTTGGTGTTGTACATTCTGTGAGTTTGGACAAATGTTTAATGATGTGTTCACCATCAGAGTATCATATACAGTAGCTTACTGCCCTAAAAATCCTCTGTGCCTCACCTGTTCATCTCTCCCTCCCCTCAACCTGTGGCAACCACTGATTCTCACTGTCTCCATAGTTTTGCCTTTTCCAGAATGTCATATGGTTGGAATCATAGAGTACGTAGCCTTTCAGAGTAGCTTCTTCATTTAGTAATATGCGTTTCATGTTCTCCTATGCCTTTTTGTGGCTTGATAGCTCATTTTTTTTGTTTTTTTTTTTTGGTGGTGAATAACATTTCATTATCTGGATGTACCATGGTTTGTTTATCCACTCTTCTACTGAAAGACATGGTAGTTACTTCCAGGTTTTGGCAAATATGAATAAAGCTGCTATAAGTGTCCGTAAGTAGGTTTTTGCATGGTTGTAAGTTTTTAACTTTTTTTTAGTAAATACCAACGAGCGCAATTGCTGGATCATATGCTAAGAGTATGTTTAGTTTTTTTAAGAATCTGTCAAACTGTCTTCTGAAGTGATGGTACCATGTTGCATTCCCACCATCAATAAATGAGAGTTCTGTTGCCCTACATCCTTGCCAGCTTTTGGTATTGTCAGTGTTCTGGATTTCGGCCATTCTAATAGGTGCGTAGTGGTATTTCATTGTGTTTTTAATTTTCATTTTCCTGATGACCTGTAATGTGAAGCATCTTTTCATATGCTTATTGGCCATCTCTATATCTTTGAGAGACTATCTGTTAAAGTCTTTGTCCTATTTTTAAATTGGGTTGTTTGTTTTCTTATTTTTGAGTTTTAAGAATTCTTTGTATGTTTTGGATAACAGTCTTTTAACAGATGTGTCTTTTGAAAATATTTTTTCCCAGTATGTGGCTTGTGTTCTCATTCTCTTGGCATTGTCTTTCACATAGCAGAAGTCTTTAATTTTAATGAAGTCTAGGTTATCAATTATTTCTTTTATGGATCATGCCTTTAGTGTTGAATCTAAGAAATTGTTGCCATTCCGCAGATCATCTCCTATGTTATTTTCTGGGAGTTTTATAGTTTGTGTTTTACATTGAGTTCTATGATCTGTTTAGAGTTAATTTTTGTGAAGGGTGTAAGGTATGTGTCTAGGTTTATTTATTTTTGCATGAGCATACCTAGTAGTTCCAGCACGATTTGTTGAAAATACTGTCTGCTCCATTTTATTGCCTTTGCTCCTTTGTCAAAGATCAATTGACTATTTTTATATCAGTCTCTTTCTGGAATTTCTATTATGTTCTCTTGTTCTATTTGTCTATTTTTCATCAATACCACACTGTCTCCATTACTGTAGATTTATAATAAGTCTTAAAGTCAGGTAGTGCTAGCACATTGAATTTGTTCTTCTTCAATATTGTGTTGGCTACTGTGAGTGTTTTGCCCCTCCTTGTAAATTTTAGAATCAGTTTGTTGATTCCCACAAAATAACTTGCTGGGATTTTGATTGCAATTGCATTGAATCTATTGATGAAGCTGGGAAGAACTGACATGTTGACAATATTGAGTATTCCTATCCATGGACATGGACCATCTGTCCATTTATGTAGTTCCTCTTTTATTTCTTTCATCAGAGTTTTATAGTTTTCTCCATATAGATGTTGTATATATTTTGTTAGATTTATGTTTAAGTATTTTCTTTTGGGAGTGATAATTTGAATGGTATTATATTTTAAATTTCATATTTCATTTGTTCTTCGCTGGTCTATAGGAAAGCAATTACCTTTTTTATTTCTTTTTTTTTTGAGATGAAATTTCACACTTGTTGCCCAGGCTGGAGTGCAATGGTGCAATCTTGGCTCACCACAACCTCCACCTCCTGGGTTCAAGAGATTTTCCTGCCTTAGCCTCCCGAGTAGCTGGGACTACAGGCATGTGCCAGCACGCCTGGCTAATTTTTTGTATTTTTAGTAGAGACAGGGTTTCACTGTGTTAGCCAGGATGAGCTTGATCTGACCTCATGATCTGCCTGCCTTGGCCTCCCAAAATGCTAGGATTACAGGCATGAGCCACTGCACCCGGCCTCAATTAACCTTTATATATTAACTTTGTATCCTAGAATCTTGCTATAGTTGCTTATTAGTTTCAGAATTTTATTGATTCTTCTGGATTTTCTTGGTATCTGTACACAAAGACAGTTTTATTTCTTCTTTCCCAATCAGTGTGCCTTTTATTTCCTTTCCTTTTCTTGTCTTATTGCACTTGCTAGGGCTTATAGTACAATCTTGAAAACTAGTGGTGAGAAGGATGTCCTTGCCTTGTTTCTGATCTTAGCAGGAAAGTTTCTAGTTTCTCATCATTAAGTATGATATTAGCTGGTTTTTTGTAGATGTTGTTTATCAAGTTGAGGAAGTTCCCCTCAACGATTTCTTTTCTGAGAATGGGTTGAATTTTATGTCATAGCTTTATCTGAAAAGTTTTTAATTGATAAACTTAGCTCATTTACATTATTGATATGACAATTATGTTTTATCTAAGTTATGTCACATTTTATATTTTCTGTCTTATAGTTTTCAAGTCTTTTTCATTATGTGACTTATTATGCTTTCATGTTTTGTCTGAGTTCTGTCATGTTTTCTGTTTTTATAGTTTTTAAAGTGGTTTCTTATTGGGCCTATTTTAAGTTGGTAAGTTGATGTTTTTGATATTTGTATTTTTCCTAATAGTAACCTTTTTGATTATAACTTTAGGGAATGTCTTCACTCCTCTGGTTCGTTAGAGGGAAGCTTCTACCATGAGCATTGGTGTCGAGCACATGTTCTCTTCCTTCCTATCCCCTCACTACACGCCCTTACTTGTTATTAGTCAGTTTATTAGTATTTACTGTCATACTGTTAGATATCTTCATATGTATATTACTTTTTTCATCACATTTGAATGATACCTGTTGATTCTCAGCCACTAGGGATAAGGCAGTCAGTGACATTACCCTGTCTCCCACCATCTTTTACTACTCTCCCCCAACACTACAATTTTTGCTGGTTGTATGATTTTTACATTGTCACTAGTTATTACATTTAGATTTGGTTGACCACTTTAATCATCACATTTGTTTTAATCTTAGTTCTATAGTTAAATGAATTCAATTGCCAGTTCTTTTGCTTTTATTTTCCTGATTGTCTCTTGGATTCATTGGGTCAGGAATTCCGGAATGCCTGTGTGTTCAAAACTGTTAGTCAGTGGTCTTTTTGCTTGAAGGAATGCCTGGCTGGGTATAAATTCTTGGCTTATACTTTATTTGCTTAAGTATTTTAAGTATCTTGAAGCAGTAACATATGGATTTGTGGCATAGAGTATTACTGTGAAGAAATACGTGGCTAGTTTAATGCATTTCCTTCTTATAGATGACTTGATTTCTTTTTCTTTTTGCCTAATTACTTAGTCTGTGTAGTGTTACTATAAAGTACTACCTGAGGCTGGGTAATTTACAAAGAGGTTTATTTGGCTTACAGTTCTACAGGCTGTACAAGAAGCATGGTGTCAGCATCTGCTTCTGGTGAGGGCCCCAGAAAGCTTCCACTCATGGCTGAAAAGCATAGTGGAGCTGGCGTGTGCGGAGATCACACGGTGAGAGAGGAAGCAAGAGAGTGCAGGGAGGTGCCTGACTCTTTTAACAGCCGGCTCCCAGGCAGCTAACAGAGTGAGAACTCACTCACTAGGGAGGGCATTAATCTATTCATGAGATTCCAACCCGAATCAAATGTCAGCATGAGGCTCGGAGGGGTTAAATATCCAAACCATAAACATAGCCCAGAGAGTTGTTCTTTATCTTTAAAGTCAGATTTATTAAGTCCAATTTTACTAGAATATTCCTGGTTGTTGACTGTTCTGGGTCCATTTTGGAATGGCCTGGGTGCCTTTTCAGGATGTAGATTTAAATCTCCTTGTATTTAGGACATTTTTCTTGAATAATACCTTTAAATATTTGTTTCATTCTATTGCTTGTTTTTATTTTGTAGGAATTCTTTTTATGCATCTGTTGACTCTCATTTGTCATTCATCCAAACCTATCATTTTCCCCCATCCTTTTTCCTTTTCTTTTACCTAAGTTTCAATTTCTAGGCTTTTCTAATCCATTCCTCTACCCCTTTCTTTGGATTCTGCAATACCTATTCTGTCTTATGCTCATTTGAAATTCATCTTCATTTCTGTGACTTTTTTCCCCTAAGTATTTCTTTTCTGATCTCTTCTAGTTCATATTCTACCTTTTCTTTTTTTCTCACTATTTTTTCCTTGAGTTCTTATATTTGTGCTCTGTGGTGCATCCCTCCCTCTCTTCTGTCTTCCTCCCCCTCTCTCTCTTTCAAGGCGATTGCCTCATTAAGTTTTAAACAATGACAAAATTTTGGTCACAGCTTTCATCTACTCACTAGCAACATTCTAGGGAGTATTCGTCTATTAGTAAGTTTTATGGCTTTCTTTCACTTTTTTTATAGAATAACTTTTTATTGCTTTTCCAATTCCCTTTTTATTACTCATCATTGAGTGAGCTGGGTTTTCCAAGACCAGCTTTATTCAAGAGATACTGTGATATGGAGAAGCTTCCAGGATGGCTTTCCAGGCTTTACAACCCAGAGCCTCTCTCCATCTCTGATGCACTAGAGAGAGGGCTGTTTTCCTACAAATGTAATCCATCTCTGAGATTTTTTAAATGGTCTTGCCTCTGATTCTTCGAAATGATATAAGTCCTGGAGGGCTTCAGTCCCATTCGCGCACTCATACTTGCAATCATGGACTACAGCCGTGTCTTTCAGGGTGTGTTCTTCACCTTCAAGCATGCTTTTGCTGATGGTGCTTGGGATCTTTCATTTCTCTGTGCTCTTTGCAGTTTCTGCCCAATCTCAGCTGCCTCTGGCAGACCTTACAGGTACTTGGAATTCTGGAGATTATACCTGTCTCCTAGTTCCATGGAAAATGGAGTTCAAAAATTCCACGAAACTTTTTTCATTGTCTTTTTGCTTTTGTTTGATATCGAGAGGAAAGGAAAAAGTTCTGTTTGTCCATTTTGTTACAGATAAGGAAAGTGGTTTCACAAAGGTTAAGCAACTTGATCAGTGTTACCCAGCAAAGAGCAGAATGATTTTCAACATTCAGTTTAAAAGTCGGCGGGGGGCAGTGGCTCACACCTGTAATATCAGCAACTTGGGAGGCCAAGGTGGTACGGTCGCTTGAAGCCAAGGAGTTCAAGACCAGCCTGGTCAACATAGCAAAACCTTGTCTTTACAAAAAGTAAAAAAAAAAAAAAAAGAGTTAGCCAAGTGTGGTGGACCTGAGGCAAGAGTTTGAGGCTGCAGTTAGCTACGATTGTGCCACTGCTCTCCAGTCTGGGTGACAGCACGAGGCCATCTCTAAAAAAAAGAAAAGCTCATGCTCTTTCACTATACCATGGTTTCTTCAGTGTTGGAGATACAGTCACAGTGGAAAGCAGTTATGGAGTCAAAGCAACTTTAGTCTTACTGGGTATTTGTTATAGAGGTAGATGTATTTGAGTAGCAAGTTATGGTTACAGAAAATTTTTGTGCCTTCAGTTAAGAACTTTATGGTCACCTACAGCTTCAAGTTACCCCTTTTCCCTTCTCTTTCCCTTCTCCTTACTGCTGTGACCCCGAAGGGAGAAATGTATATAGGTAGACACGCTCTCTATTCTCATCTGCTGCCTTGCTCACAACTTCTCTGAATGCAACTCGTGCTTCATATCATCCACCATGTTTCCTTTCTATTCTCCCTTGATTTTTCTTTTTCAGAATTGCACCCATTGCTATATGTTCTCCCCTGTTTTGTTTAAGGGGTCCTCCAGTAGCACTGTTCTCTGGAGGTCAGGGATGAGTGGGTAAAATCAGGTATCTTTTCTATCCAGGTTCCCAAGTTGCTAGTGGCTGAGCTTCCTGAAACAGAGAGATCCGAAAACAGTTCCTGCTGTTGTTGACTCTTGACAGAGGATCCTCAGCTCTGACCACTGCTGTGCCCTTCTTCAGTGTAGCGTTGGTGGATTTGTTTGTGAATGTTTCTGAGAGTGTAAAGGTTACTATCACACATATGTTTACTCTGTAAAGATAAGGTTCTGGTGAAAATAGAATTGAACTGTGCCCCATCCTCTGTCTTTGCATTTCTGTGAAGAACACAGTTCAGTTTCTAAAAATCACTGGTGGTGGCCCTCTGTATGAAAAAATAAGGCTTACTTCTTGACACTTAAGGTCATTGGAGGATCATACTTAATTGTTTGAACATATGAGTCCTGTTTACACATTCTGGCTCGTGTGTTTTTTTGTTTGTGTTTAGCTGGGTAGATTTGTGAGAGACTCAGGGTGCAGAAGAGAGGGAGAAGATGATGCTGTTTTAAAATGATGCTTTCCACTGGTTGTTTCCTCTAAAGAAGACAACGGTGAGTCCAGGGGAGCTGTTATTTTTTTGCTTAGGGTTGGAAGGAGGGAAAAGACAACTTCTTTTTAAAAATTTATAAAATGTTATGTATTTTTGTTTATGCTTAATTTATATCTGTGACATGGAATTTGAGCAAAGTGGCCACATATTTTTGTAGGGAAAAAGGAGGCATCTGATAGTTTTATTTTCCACATTTTAGGGACTACTTTCCATTGCAGCTTGAGGCTTTCACTGATTAAAATAATGGCTTTTCAAAAGTTAATGTGTTATATAGTGAGCACATAATCTCTTTAAATCTGTTATCCTTCTGTAGTATCACTACTTTTTTTTTTTTTTTTAAGACTGAGTCTTGCTCTGTTGCCCAGGCTGGAGGGACGTGGTGGGATCTTGGCTCACTGCAACCTCTGCCTACTGGATTCAAGTGAGTCTCCTGCCTCAGCCTCCCGAGTAGCTGGGACTACAGGCATGTGCCCAGCTATTTTTTGTATTTTTAGTAGAGACAGGGTTTCACCATGTTGGCCAGGATGGTCTCAATCTCTTGACCTTGTGATCTGCCCGCCTTGGCCTCCCAAAGTGCTGGCATTACAGGCATGAGCCACTGCACCCAGCCATATCACTACTTAAGCTTTGTGTCCTTTTCATATGTAAAGACAAAAAGTTAGCATAAAAACGTAAACAAGAACTTTATATAGCCAGAAAAGGTACAGTGTAATGCTGATGTTTTTGCTTTAAGTAATAAAATAAAACTTTTTTTTATTATAGAAATGGTAATAAAATATTATGGAGAACAGTTTGAAAAGAGAGAATAATTTTTAAAAGGAGATAAGAATTGATCAGTCTAGATCAACCTAGAGGTAACCATTGTTAATGTTTTCTTCTTATTGTAGTAAAATATATATAACATTAAAATTGACAGTTTTAATAATTTTTAAGTGTACAGTGTCATGACATTACGTACACTCACATTATTGTGCAACCATTACCACCATCTATCTTCAGAACTTTTTCTTTTTTTTAAACTGAAACTTCATATCCATTAAACACTAAGCCCTGATTTTGCCCCCTCCTCAGCCCTGGCAACTGCCATTCTACTTTCTCTATGAATTTGATTACTCTAGGAGCCTTGTAAGTGAAATTATTTGTCCTTTTGTGACTGGCTTATTTCACTGAGCATAATGTTCATTTATGATGTAGCATGCATCAGAATTTCCTTCCTTTTTAAGGCTGAATGAAAACTCACTGTATGTATATGCCACATTTTGTTTATCCCTTCATCCATTGATGAACACTTGGGTTGTTTTCACCTTTGGGCTACTGTGAATAATGCTGCTATGAACATTGATGTACCCATGTGAGTTCGAGTCCTTGCTTTCAGTTCTTTTGAGGATAGCTCCAGAAGTGGACTTGCTGGGACATATCGTAATTCTATATTTAACATTTTGAGGAACTTCCATACTGTCTTCCACAGGGGCTGCACCATTTTACATTCCTACTAGCAATGCACGGGGTTTCAGTTTTTCCACATTCTTGCTAACTTTCTATTTTTTTTAAGTAGCCACGTTAATATGTTTTTGATTTGCATTTCCCTAGTGATTTGTGATGTTGAGCACCTTTTCATGTGCTTATTGGTCATTTGTGTATCTTCTTTGGAGAAATGTCTATTCAAGTCCTTTGCTGGTATTTTATTTGGGTCTTGCTGCTGTTGAGCTTTAGTAGTTCTTTATAAATTCTGAATATTAAACCATAATCAGATATGTGATTTGAAGATACTTTCTCCCATTCTACAGGATGTCTTTTCACTTTCTTGATATGTCTTTGGATGCTCAAAATTACTTAATTTTGATGAAGTTCAGTTTCTCTATTTTTTCTTTTTTTGCCTGTGCTTTCAGTGTCATATCAAAGAAATTGTTGCCATATCCAATGTCATAAAGCTTTTCCCCTTTGTTTTTTCCTAAGAGTTTTATAATTTTAGCTTTCGTTTCTAGGTTTTTGATCCATTTTGAGTTAATTTTTATGTATGGTGTAGGACAAGGGTCCAGCTTCATTCTTTTGCATGTGGATATTCAGTTTTCCCAACCCATTTGTTGAATATTGTTCTTTCCCGTTGAATGGCCCTGGCACCCTTCAAAAATTGTTGTATTGTATCTGTGAAGTTGCATTTCTGGCATCTCTATTCTATTCAGTTGGTGTATATGTCTGTCTTTATGCCAGTATCACACTGTCTTGATTATTGCAGCTTTATTCTAGCAAGTTTTGAAATCAGGAATCGTGAGTCCTCCAGCTTTGTTTTTTTTTTCCCCCTAAAATTGTTTTGGCTATTTAGGGTCCTTTGATATTTCATATGAATTTTTGAATGGATTTTTCTATTTTGCAAAAACCATTGTTGGAATTTTGATAGGAATTACATTGAATCTGTAGATCACTTCAGGTAGTACTGATATCTTAAAAATATTATTTTCTAATCCATGAACATGGAATGTCTTTTTATTAATTGGTGTTTTCTTTAATTCTTTCATCAACATTTATAGTTTTTAGTGCACAAGTCTTTTCCTTCCTTGGTTAAGCTTATTCCTAAATATTTTATTATTTCTGACACTATTATAAAAGGAATTATTTTTAAATTTCCTTTTAGGATTTTTCATTGTTAGTGTATGATAATGCAGCTGATACTTGCATGCTGATTTTGCTTGTGGCAGCCTTGTTTATGTTTTATGTTCATTAATTCTAACACTTTTTTTAAAAAAGGGAATCTTTAGGGCTTTCTACATATAAGATCATGACATCTGTGAACAGAGATAACTTTACTTTGTTCTTTCTGATTTGGATGTCTTTTATTTCTTTTTCTTGCCTGATTGCTATGGCTAGGACGTGTACTGTGTTGAATAGAAATGGCAAAAGTGGACTTTCTTGTCTTATTCCTTATCTTAGAGAAAATGTTTTTAGTCTTTCACTTTTGAGTTTAATGTTAGTTGTGGATTTTTCATACATGGCCTTCATAATGTTGAGGTAATTTTCTTTTAGTCCTAGTTTATTGAGTGTTTTTTAAAAAATCATGAATGGTGTTGAATTTTGTCAAATGATTTTCTGCATCAATTGAGATGATCATATGGTGTTTGTTCTTCATTCTGTTAATGTAATATATTACGTTCATTGATTTTCACATGTTGAACTCCTTGCATTCCAAGAATAAATTTCCCTTGATCGTATTGTATAATCCTTTTAATATGCTTCTGAGTTTGGTTTGCTAGTATTTAGTTGGGGATTTTTATATTAATATTCATAAGAAATATTGGTTTGTAGTTTTCTTTTCTTATAATGTCTTGGTATAGTTTCGGTATCAGGGTAACGCTGGTCTCATACAATAAGTTAGAAAACGTTCCTTCCTCTTCAGTTTTTCAGAAGAGTTTGAGAAGAATTATGTTAATCCTTCTTAAATGTTTGGAAGAAGTCACCAGTGGAGACATCTAGTCCTTGGTTTTTCTTTCATAGGAGGCTTTGATTACTGATTCAGTCCCTTTACTAGTTAAGGTTTATTTGGATGTTCTGTTTCTTCATGATTCAGTCTGTGGTTCCTGGGCCTTCCTGTCTTTTTTTTTTTTTTTTTTTTTTTTTGAGATGGACTTTTCCTTCATGGTTTATTCCTAAATATTTTATTATTTCTGACACTATTATAAAAGGAATTATATAATATTCTTTTTTGTCCCTTATAATAGTTTTTTAACTTAATGTCCATTTTGCCTGATATTAGTATAGCCACCACTGCTCTCTTTTCATTACTATTTGCATGGAATATTACAAATAGTATTTTCCATACTTTCACTTTCAACCTGTATGTGTCCTTAGATCCAAAGTTAGTCTCTTTTAGACAAAATATAGTTGGATTCTTTTTTTTTAATTTTTTATTCCATTCTACCAACCTACAGCTTTTGATTAGGGAGTTTAATCTGTTTATATTTAATATAATTACGGACAGGGAAGGATTTATTGTGGTCATCAAGTTAGTTGTTTCTGTTTTTCTTATAGCTTTTTTGTTTCCCATATCATCCATTACTTTCTCAGTGTTAAGTGGATTTTTCTGTAATGACATGTTTTGATTCCCTTCTCATGTACTTTTGTGTATAGTCTGTAGATTTTTTTTTGTGGTTACCTTGAGCATTACACATAATTTCCTAAATCTATTGTTTCCTAAAACAATAGACTTTTTTATTATACTTTAAATTTTAGGGTACATGTGCACAACGTGCAGGTTAGTTACATATGTATACATGTGCCATGTTGGTGTGCTGCACTCATTAACTCGTTATTTAACATTAATATATCTCCTAATGCTATCCCTCCCCCCTCCCCCCACCCCACAACAGGCCCCAGTGTGTGATGTTCCCCTTCCTGTGTCCATGTGTTCTCATTGTTCAGTTCCCACCTATGAGTGAGAACATGTGGTGTTTGGTTTTTTGGCCTTGCAATAGTTTGCTGAGAATGATGGTTTCCAGCTTCATCCATGTCCCTACAAAGGACATGAATTCATCATTTTTTATGGCTGCATAGTATTCCATGGTGTATATGTGCCACATTTTCTTAATCCAGTCTATTGTTGTTGGACATTTGGGTTGGTTCTAAGTCTTTGCTATTGTGAATAGTGCCACAATAAACATACGTGTGCGTGTGTCTTTATAGCAGCATGATTTATAATCCTTTGGGTATATACCCAGTAATGGGATTGCTGGGTCAAATGGTATTTCTAGTTCTAGATCCCTGAGGAATCGCCACACTGACTTCCACAATGGTTGAACTAGTTTACAATCCCACCAACAGTGTAAAAGTGTTCCTGTTTCTCTACATCCTCTCCAGCACCTGTTGTTTCCTGACTTTTTAATGATCATCATTCTAACTGGTGTGAGATGGTATCTCATTGTGGTTTTGATTTGCATTTCTCTGATGGCCAGTGATGATGAGCATTTTTTCTGTGCCTTTTGGCTGCATAAATGTCTTCTTTTGAGAAGTGTCTGTTCATATCCTTCACCCACTTTTTGATGGGGTTATTTGTTTTTTTCTTGTAAATTTGCTTGAGTTCATTGTAGATTCTGGATATTAGACCTTTGTCAGATGAGTAGATTGCAAAAATATTCTCCCATTCTGTAGGTTGCCTGTTCACTCTGATGGTGGTTTCTTTTGCTGTGCAGAAGCTCTTTAGTTTAATTAGATCCCATTTGTCAATTTTGGCTTTTGATGCCATTGCTTTTGGTGTTTTAAACATGAAGTCCTTGCCCATGCCTACGTCCTGAATGGTATTGCCTAGGTCTTCTTCTAGGGTTTTTATGGTTTTAGGTCTAACATTTAAGTGTTTATTCCATCTTGAATTAATTTTTGTATAAGGTGTAAGGAAGAGATCCAGTTTCAGCTTTCTACATATGGCTAGCCAGTTTTCCCAGCACCATTTATTAAATAGGGAATCCTTTCCCCATTTCTTGTTTTTGTCAGCTTTGTCAGAGATCAGATAGTTGTAGATGCGTGGCATTATTTCTGAGGGCTCTGTTCTGTTCCATTGGTCTATATCTTTGTTTTGGTACCAGTACCATGCTGTTTTGGTTACTGTAGCTTTGTAGTATAGTTTGAAGTCAGGTAGCATGATGCCTCCAGCTTTGTTCTTTTGGCTTAGGATTGTCTTGGCAATGTGGGCTCTTTTTTAGTTCCATGTGAACTTTAAAGTAGTTTTTTCCAATCTGTGAAGAAAGTCATTGGTAGCTTGATGGGGATGGCATTGAATCTCTAAATTACCTTGGGCAGTATGGCCATTTTCACGATATTGATTCTTCTTACCCATGAGCATGGAATGTTCTTCCATTTGTTTGTATCCTCTTTTATTTCATTGAGCAGTGTTTGTAGTTCTCCTTGAAGAGGTCCTTCACATCCCTTTTAAGTTGGATTCCTAGGTATTTTATTCTCTTTGAAGCAATTGTAAATGGGAGTTCACTCATGATTTGGCTCTCTGTTTGTCTGCTGTTGGTGTATCAGAATGCTTGTGATTTTTGCACATTGATTTTGTATCCTGAGACTTTGCTGCAGTTGCTTATCAGCTTAAGGAGATTTTGTTCTGAGACAATGGGGTTTTCTAGATATACAGTCATGTCATCTGCAAACAGGGACAATTTGACTTCCTCTATTCCTAATTGAATACCCTTTATTTCTTTCTCCTGCCTGATTGCCCTGGCCAGAACTTCCAACACTATGTTGAATAGGAGTGGTGAGAGAGGGTATCCCTCTCTTGTGCCAGTTTTCGAAGGGAATGCTTCCAGTGTTTGACCATTCAGTATGATATTGGCTGTGGGTTTGTCATAGATAGCTCTTATTATTTTGAGATACATCCCATGAATACCTAATTTATTGAGAGTTTTTAGCATGAAGCATTGTTGGATTTTGTCAAAGGCCTTTTCTGCATCTATTGAGATAATCATGTGGTTTTTGTCATTGGTTCTGTTTATATGCTGGATTACGTTTATTGATTTGTGTATGTTGAACCAGCCTTGCATCCCAGGGATGAAGCCCACTTGATCATGGTGGATAAACTTTTTGATGTGCTGCTGGATTCGGTTTGCCAGTTTTTTATTGAGGATTTTTGCATTGATGTTCATCAGGGATATTGGTCTAAAATTCTCTTTTTTTGTTGTGTCTGTGCCAGGCTTTGGTATCAGGATGATGCTGGCCTCATAAAATGAGTTAGGGAGGATTCCCTCTTTTTTTATTGATTGGAATAGTTTCAGAAGGAATGGTGCCAGCTCCTCCTTGTACCTCTGGTAGAATTCGGCTGTGAATCCATCTGGTCCTGGACTTTTTTTGGTTGGTAAGCTATTATTGCCTCAATTTCAGAGCCTGTTATTGGTCTATTCAGAGATTCAACTTCTTCCTGGTTTAGTCTTGGGAGGGTGTATGTGTCCAGGAATGTATCCATTTCTTCTAGATTTTCTAGTTTATTTGCATAGAGGTGTTTATAGTATTCTCTGATGGTAGTTTGTATTTCTGGGGGTTCAATGGTGATATCCCCTTCATCATTTTTTATTGCCATCTATTTGATTCTTCTCTCTTTTCTTCTTTATTAGTCTTGCTAGCGGTCTATCAATGTTGTTGATCTTTTCAAAAAACCAGCTCCTGGATTCATTGATTTTTTGAAGGGTTTTTTGTGTCTCTATTTCCTTCAGTTCTGCCCTGATCTTAGTTATTTCTTGCCTTATGCTAGCTTTTGAATGTGTTTGCTCTTGCTTCTCTAGTTCTTTCAGTTGTGATGTTTGGGTGTCAATTTTAGATCTTCCTGCTTTCTCTTGTGGGCATTTAGTGCTATAAGTTTCCCTCTACACACTGCTTTGAATGTGTCCCAGAGATTCTTGTATGTTGTGTCTTTGTTCTCGTTGGTTTCAAAGAACATCTTTATTTCTGCCTTCATTTTGTTATGTACCCAGTACATTCAGGAGCAGGTTGTTCAGTTTCCATGTAGTTGAGTGGTTTTGAGTGAGTTTCTTAATCCTGAGTTCTAGTTTGATTGCACTGTGGTCTGAGAGACAGTTTGTTAAAATTTCTGTTCTTTTACATTTGCTGAGGAGTGCTTTATTTCCAACTATGTGGTCAATTTTGGAATAGGTGTGGTGTGGTGCTGAAAAGAATGTATATTCTGTTGATTTGGGGTGGAGAGTTCTGTAGATGTCTATTAGGTCTGCTTGGTACAGAGCTGAGTTCAATTCCTGGACATCCTTGTTGACTTTCTGTCTCATTGATCTGTCTAATGTTGACAGTGGGGTGTTAAAGTCTCCCATTATTATTGTGTGGGAGTCTAAGTCTCTTTGTAGGTCTCTAAGGACTTGCTTTATGAATCTGGGTGCTCCTGTATTGGGTGCATATATATTTAGGATAGTTAGCTCTTCTTGTTGAATTGATCCCTTTACCATTATGTAATGGCCTTCTTTGTCTCTCTTGATCTTTGTTGGTTTAAAGTCTGTCTTATCAGAGACTAGGATTGCAACTCCTGTCTGTTTTCCATTTGCTTGGTAGATCTTCCTCCATCCCTTTATTTTGAGCCTATGTGTGTCTCTACACGTGAGATGGGTTCCCTGAATACAGCACACTGATGGGTCTTGACTTTTTATCCAATTTGCCAGTCTGTGTTTTTTAACTGGAGCATTTAGTTCATTTACATTTAAGGTTAATATTGTTATGTGTGAATTTGATCCTGTTATTATGATGTTAGCTGGTTATTTTGCTCATTAGTTGATGCAGTTTCTTCCTAGCCTCGATGGTCTTTATAATTTGGCATGTTTTTGCAGTGGCTGGTACTGGTTGTTCCTTTCCATGTTTAGTGCTTTCTTCAGGAGCTCTTGTAGGGCAGGCCTGGTGGTGACAAAATCTCTCAGCATTTGCTTGTCTGTAAAGTATTTTATTTCTCTTTCACTTATGAAGCTTAGTTTGGCTGGATATGAAATTCTGGGTTGAAAATTCTTTTCTTTAAGAATGTTGAATATTGGCTCCCACTCTCTTCTGGCTTGTAGAGTTTCTGCCGAGAGATCAGCTGTTAGTCTGATGGGCTTCCCTTTGTGGGTAACCCAACCTTTCTCTCTGACTGCCCTTAAAATTTTTTCCTTCATTTCAACTTTGGTGAATCTGACAGTTATGTGTCTTGGAGTTGCTCTTCTCGAGGAGTATCTTTGTGGCGTTCTCTGTATTTCCTGAATTTGAATGTTGGCCTGCCTTGCTAGATTGGGGAAGTTCTTCTGGATAATATCCTGCAGGGTGTTTTCCAATTTGGTTCCATTCTCCCCGTCACTTTCAGGTACACCAATCAGACGTAGATTTGGTCTTTTCACATAGTCCCATATTTCTTGGAGGCTTTGTTCATTTCTTTTTATTCTTTTTTCTCTACACTTCTCTTCTTGCTTCATTTCATTCATTTGATCTTCCGTCACTGATACCCTTTCTTCCAGTTGATCGAATCAGCTACTGAGGCTTGCGCATTCGTCACATAGTTCTCGTGCCATGGTTTTCAGCTTCATCAGGTCCTTTAAGGACTTCTCTGCATTGGTTATTCTAGTTAGCCATTCGTCTAATCTTTTTTCAAGGTTTTTAACTTCTTTGCCACGGGTTCGAAATTCCTCCATTAGCTCAGAGTAGTTTGATCGTCTGAAGCCTTCTTTTCTCAACTCGTCAAAGTCATTCTCTGTCCAGCTTTGTTGCGATGCTGGTGAGGAGCTGCGTTCCTTTGAAGGAGGAGAGGTGCTCTGATTTTTAGAATTTTCAGTTTTTCTGCTCTGTTTTTTCCCCATCTTTGTGGTTTTACCTACCTTTGGTCTTTGATGATGGTGACATACAAATGGGGTTTTGGTGTGGATGTCCTTTCTGTTTGTTAGTTTTCCTTCTAATAGTCAGGACCCTCAGCTGCAGGTCTTTTGGAGTTTGCTGGAGGTCCACTCCAGACTCTGTTTGTCTGGGTATCAGCAGTGGAGGCTGCAGAACAGTGAATATTGGTGAACAGCAAATGTTGCTGCCCGATCATTCCTCTGGAAGTTTTGTCTCAGAGGAGTACCTGGCTGTGTGAGGTGTCAGTCTGCCCCTACTGTGGGGTGCCTCCCAGTTAGGCTACTTGGCGGTCAGGGATCCACTTGAGGAGGCAGTCTGTCCATTCTCAGATCTCAAGCGGCGTGCTGGGAGAACCACTACTGTCTTCCAAGCTGTCAGACAGGGACATTTAAGTCTGTAGAGGTTTCTGCTGCCTTTTGTTGGGCTATGCCCTGCCCCCAGAGGTGGAGTCTATAGAGGCAGGCAGGCCTCCTTGAGCTGCGGTAGGCTCCACCCAGTTTGAGCTTCCCAGCCGCTTTGTTTACCTACTCAAGCCTCAGCAATGGCGGGCGCCCCTCCCCTAGCCTCGCTGCCACCTTGCAGTTTTATCTCAGACTGCTGTGCTAGCAATAAACGAGGCTCCATGGGTGTAGGACCCTCCGAGCCAGGCACGGGATATAATCTCCTGGTGTGATGTTTGCTAAGACCATTGGAAAAGCGCAGCATTAGGGTGGGAGAGTGACCCGATTTTCCAGGTGCCATCTGTCACCCCTTTCCTTGACTAGGAAAGGGAATTCCCTGACCCCTTGCACTTCCCAGGTGAGGCGATGCCTCGCCCTGCTTTGGCTCACGCTCGGTGCGCTGCCCCCACTGTCCTGCACCCACTGTCCGACAATCCCCAGTGAGATGAACCCGGTACCACAGTTTGAAATGCAGAAATCGTTTGTCTTCTGCGTTGCTCACGCTGGGAGCTGTAGACTGGAGCTGTTCCTATTTGGCTATCTTGGCTCCCCAACAATAGATTTTAAATTAATATCAATTTAATATCAATGTCATACAAAAACTACTCTTTTACAGCTCCATCTCCTACTATGTATTATTGTTGTCATAGATTATGTCTTTGTATATTGTGTGTCCATTAATATGCACTTATGATTCTTTTATGCATTTGTCTTTTAAGTCCTTTAGAAGAATAAAAAGTGGAGTTACAGACCAAAATTACAATAACCCTGGTTTTTATATTTGTCCATGTATTTACCTTTACCAGAGGACTTTGTATTTCCACGAGGCTCCAAGTTACTGTCTAGTGTCCTTTCATTTCATACCCTTTAGCATTTCTTGTAGGGTAGGTTTAGTGGTAATGAACTCTCAGCTTTTGTTGATCTGAGAATATCTTAATTTGTCCCTCATTTTTATTTTTTTAAATTTACTTTAAGTTCTGGGATACAAGTGCAGAATGTGTAGGTTTGTTACATAGGTATACATGTGCCATAGCGGTTTGCTGCACCTATCAACCTGTCGTCTAGGTTTTAAGCCCCGCATGCATTAGCTATTTGTTCTAATGCTCTCCTTCGTCTCACCCCCCACCCCCCAACTGGCCCCAGTGTGTGTTGATCCTCTCCCTGTGTCCGTGTGTTCTCACTATTCAACTCCCACTTACGAGTGAGAACATGTGGTGTTTGGTTTTCTGTTCCTGTGTTAGTTTGCTGTGGATGATGGCTTCAAGCTTCATCCATATCCCTGCAAAGGACACGATCTCATTCCTTTTTATGGCTGCATAGTATTCCATGGTGTATATGTACCACATTTTCTGTATCCAGTCTATCATTGATGGGCATTTGGGTTGGTTCCATGTCTTTGCTATTGTAAATAGTGCTGCAATAAATATACAACATGTGTCTTTATAGTAGGATGATTTATATTTCTTTGGGTATATACCTAGTAATGGGACTGCTGGGTCAAATGGTATTTCTGGTTCTAGATCCTTGAGGAATCGCCACACTGTCTTCCACAATGGTCCAACTAATTTACATTTCTACCATCAGTGCAAAAGCATTCCTATTTCTCCACAGCTCACCAGTATCTTATTGTTATTTGACTTTTTAATAATTCCCATTCTGACTTGTGTGAGATGGTATCTCATTATGGTTTTGATTTGCATTTCTCTAATGACCAGTGATGATGAGCTTTGTTTCATTGTTTGTTGGCCACATAAATGTCTTCTTTTGAGAAGTGTCTGTTCATATCCTTTGCCCACTTTTTGATGGGGGTATTTGTGTTTTTCTTGTACATTTCTTGTACATTTGTTTAAGTTCCTTGTAGATTCTGGATATTAGATGGGTAGATTGCAGAAATTTTCTCCTATTCTGTAGGTTGCCTGTTCACTCTGATGATAGTTTCTTTTGCTGTGCAGAAGCTCTTTAGTTTAATTAGATCTCATTTGTCAATTTTTGCTTTTGGTGCAATTGCTTTTGGCATTTTTGTCATGAAATCTTTGCCCATGCCTGTGTCCTGAATGGTATTGCCTAGGTTTTCTTCTAGGGTTTTAATGGCTTGAGGTTTTACATTTAAGTTTTTAATCCATCTTGAGTTAATTTTTGTATAAGGTGTAAGGAAGGGTCCAGTTTCAGTTTTCTGAATATAGCTAGCCAGTTTTCCCAGCTCCATTTATTAAATAGGGAATCCTTTCCCCATTGCTTGTTTTTGTACAGTTTGTTGAAGAGCAGATAGTCGTAGATGTGTGGTGTTATTTCTGAGGTCTCTATTCTGTTCCATTGGTCTGTATGCCTATCTCAGTACCAGTACCATGCTGTTTTGGTTACTGTAGCCTTGTAGTATAGTTTGAAATCAGGTAGCATGATGCCTCCAGCTTTGTTCTTTTTGCTTAGGATTGTCTTGGCTATATAGGATCTTTTTTGGTTCCATATGAAATTTAAAGTAGTTTTTTCTAATTCTGTGAAGAATGTCAAAGGTAGTTTGATGGGAATAATATTGAATATATAAATTACTTTGGGCAGTGTGGCCATTTTCATGATATTGATTCTTTCTATCTATGAGGATGGAATGTTTTTCCATTTGTTTGTGTCCTCTTATTTCCTTGAGCAGTGGTTTGTAGTTCTCTTTGAAGAAGTCCTTCACATCCCTTGTTAGCTGTATTCCTAGGCATTTTATTCTCTTTGTAGCAATTGTGAATGGGAGTTCATTTGTGATTTGTCTGTCTGCTTGTCTGTTGTTGGTGTATAGGAATGTTTGTGATTTTTGCACATTGATTTTGTATCCTGAGACTTTGCTGCAGTTGCTTATCAGCTTAAGAAGTTTTTGGACTGAGATGATGAGGTTTTCTAAATATAGAATCATGTTGTCTTCGGTTGAATCCCTGAATAGACCAATAACAAGTTCTGAAATTGAGGAATTAATAGCCTACCAACCGAAAAAAGCCCAGGACCAGACAGATTCACAGCCAAATTCTACCAGAGATACAGAGAGTATCTGGTACCATTCCTTCTGAAACTATTCCTAACAATTGAAAAGAAGGGACTCCTCCTTAACTCATTTTATGAGGCCAGCATCATCCTGATACCAAAACTTGGCAGAGACACAACAAAAAAAGAAAACTTCAGGTCAATATCCCTGATGAACATCAATGCAAACATTTTCAATAAGATACTGGCAAACCGAATCCAGCAGCACATCAAAAAGCTTATCCACCATGATCAAGTTGGCTTCATCCCTAGGATGCAAGGGTGGTTCAACATATGCAAATCAGTAAACATAATCCATCACATAAACAGAACCAATGACAAAAACCACATGATCATCTCAATAGATGCAGAAAAGGCCTTTGATAAAATTCAACATCCCTTTGTGTTAAAAACTCTCAATAAACTATGTCTTGATGTAACATATCTCAAAATAATAAGAACTATTTATGACAGACCCACAGCCAAAATCATACTGAATGGGCAAAAGCTGGAAGCATTCCCTTTGAAAACCAGCACAAGACAAGGATACCCTTTCTCACCACTTCTATTCAACATAGTGTTGGAAGTTGTGGCCAGGGCAATCAGGCAAGAGAAAGAAATAAAGAGTATTCAAATAGGAATAGAGGACGTCAAATTGTCTCATTTTTAGTTCAAGTTTTGGAACATACAGAATTCTTGGCTGACAGGTTGTTTTTGTTTGTTTTATTTTTCCCTTTCAGCAGTTTAAATAAATCCTCACATTGCCTTTGGGCTGCTGGGTTTCTGCTGAACAATGTGCTGATTATCTTACTGGATATCTTTTGTATATGATGGTTCACTTCTCTCAGTACTTAAAAGATTCGGTCTTTTGACAGTTTGAATATGTCTTGGTGTGGGTCTCTTTAGTTTTATCCTACTTTGAGTTGTTAAATTTCTCGGATTTGTCAATTTATGTATTTTCTCAAAGTTGAGACATTTTCTGCTATTATTCCTTCAAATAATATCTTCCTCTTTCTCTCTTCTCCTTCTGGAATTCTCGTAACATGTATACTTGTTCCCTTGCTTGTGCCCCATAAGCCTCTTAGGCTCTGTTCACTTTTCTTCATTCTTTTTTCTTTCTACCTCTCAGATTCAGTAGTTTTAAATGACTTGTCTTTAGATTTTCTTATTCTTTCTTTTACCTGTTTGAGTTTGCTGTTGAGCTCCTGTAATATATTTTTGAAAATATAGTAGCATTTTTCATTCAGTTGTGTTTTTCAGCTCTAGAATTTCTGTTTGGTTCCATTTTATAATTTCTGTCTCTTTGCTATTATTCTCATTTTGTTTTTAAATCATTTTCCTGATTTTCTTTAGTACTTAGTCCATTTTTCCTCTAGCTCTTTAAGCATATTTAAGACTTATGTGGTAAAATCTTTGTCTAGTATATCCAGTGCCTATGTTTCTTCAGGGATAGTTTCCACTGCTTTATTTTCTTCATTTTTGTAAGCCATGTTTTCCTGTTTTGTCTTTTGTATGTCGTGTGCTTTTTTAAAATGGAAAATTAGGCATTTGAAAAAAAAATAACCACTTCCTCCTGTCTTTCTAGAGTGGCTTTGTGTTGGGGAGGACCTTTGGGATCAGCTGAGCTTTATTAACAAGCTGAGCTTTGGGATAGCTCACTGTGAAGGCTTAAGGCCTTGCTAGGCCCTTTTCTGGGTATGTGTCTTATGTGGGCCTGTGTGTATGCTTTTCAATTCCCAAGTATAGATGGTGGCTTTTAATTTTCTTAATTTCCCCAATACTCTCACCTTGGCTGCTGGACCTTATGTATTCTATTGTATTCCTCTGCCTGCAGTCTGTTGCCCTAGGTGTCTGTGGGTCTGTTTTCTTAGAGTAGCTGTCACTGCTGCTTCCTGTTTCTTGTGCCTTTTCCTAGCCTGAGAGGCAAGCTGTGGTGGTTTTTGCCTTCTGAGCTTGGAGTTAGGCAATGCAGAGACCAGTCCTCAGGCAGTCCTCAGACAGGTTAAAATATTGCAAATTAGGTCAGGTCTACTCCCTTCAGAGGGAGGGAATTGGAAGCTTTGGCCACTGCCTCCTCCAGCCCAAGGCTACACCAGGCTGGGAAGTAGGGGAAAAAAGAGTGAATAAAAATGAAATGAAATGGCAGACATTTTGAATGTGGCTTCTTCAGTAGGCATTTGCTTAATGACTATAGAACTTTGTTTTCCAGCTCTTTTATAAAGTTAATGTAGCTAGTCTCTAGTTGTTTTTCTTTAATGTTTCTTTGGGTGAATGAGGGCCTGGAGCCTCCTGGTCTGCTATTTTGCTGATGTCACTGCTCCAGATAATATTCTTTTTTTTTCCTAGTTAATACAACAGTGATTTAACTCACAGGATTAAAAATGTTTAGAGTTTTAGATGGGCATGGTGGTGCACACCTGTAGTCCCAGCTGCTTGGGAAGTTGAGTTGGGATGATCAGTTAAGCCCAAGAGTTCGAGGCTGTAGTGTGCCATGTTTGCACCTGTGAGTAGCCATTGCCCTCCAGCCTTGGCAATATAGCAAGACCCAGTCTCTAAAAAAAGAAATAAGAAAAGCTTAGCATTTAATTTTTTCAAGTACTTTGGAGAATGCAATAAGAATTGTCAATTTTATGCTAAAATTTATCATATGGAAGTTCTTACGGTGTTGATTTGGTTGCAGCACAACTTTTTATTTATGAAAAAGGAATTTACTCTTTGAAATGGTAAGATTTTGGGACCAACAGCATGAAATGGATATAATGGAAAATGTTCTTTTATTGCTGTTGGGTGCATTCTCTTGCACATTCTGTAATTTTGACATAGGCTACTGTGATTAGAAATTACATCATTTGTGTGATGGAAAAATATAGAGAACTAGAGGCAGTCTGAACTAAATTACTGCTCCATGAAACCAAAGGGGCCTGAGATGACTTAGACACCATCCTTCTTGAGGATGGGGAATGAATCAGTGATCAGCTGAGCCTTCTGGTGGTGTGATTCAGACATTATTTAGCTGGGGTTCTGAACCCAGGATCCATTAATGGAGTTAAACTTTCTTTTAAAATATATTCCAAAATCATTTTACAGAGATTTATTCTCATTCTCCTCAATGTGCAGTTTGGTCGGCACTGAGGGCAAGGGCTTGTGCTGTTAGATGAAGATAGATGTGCTGTGACCATTCATTGAGTCCTCTGGCAGCTTAGGGTGGACCTTGTGCCCCAGGGCTGTCTCCAGTGTCACCAACACTCATCTTCAAGGAGGTTCTGCTCTGGAACCTGTTGTCAACACAGAGGTTCCAATTTGATTTAATTGGATGCCTGAAGGGAAATGAATGGAGAGAGGTGCTTGTTTCCACCCCATTTCTATGCCTGTTTGACATGTTGGTCATAAACAGGATCGATGGGCAGATTCAAGTTGTTGGACTATTACACTGTGGCAAAGATGCCTGGTACAGCATTGCAGAGGGCCTCTCAGATGAGGCGCGTGCTCCTGCACTTTAGTCTATGTTGTTTTGTTTTTGTGATGTTTAATCAGATCTTACTAATTTTTTAAATCCAAGCTTGGAGTGAAACTTTGGCACCCTGACAGTGCTTATAACTTAGGAAACTTGAGGAATTGATGTATGTGGGGAAGTAGGAAGAGGCCAGTTTTAGCTTTCCATCTGGATAACTTGGTCAATTCCTGCTATGCTGTTGAACTACCAAGAGGATTAGGACCCTTTGCTCTTTGTCCCTTCTAAGGAGTTTCTATCATAAGCCAGTGGTAGAATTTGTCATATGAGGGAGTCAGTGGCTCATTCACATAAAGTAATGAAATATTTGGGTACATGCTGATAGCATTTAGTGTTTCCAGAAGGGCAAATGCCTAGTTATTATGACTTACTAAGACCTATGCTGTCTGTCAATAATTCTTTTCTGTTATGCTGAAATCGCTTTGGTCACTACAAAAGTGACTTTTCATTTCCAAGAGTCTGGTTTTTTTTTGAAAGGCAGTCTCACTCTGTTGCCCAGGCTGAAGTGCAGTGGTGCAATTACAGCTCACTGCAGCCTCAAGCTCCTGGGCTCAAGGGATCCTCCCACCTTAGCCTCCAGAGTAGCTGGGACCACATGCATGTGCCACCATGCCTGGCTAATTAAAAAAAAATTATAGAGACAGAGTCTTGCTTTGTTGTCCAGGCTGGTCTTGAACTCCTGGCCTCAAGTGATCCTCCCACCCTGGCCTCCCAAAGTTCTAGGATTAAGGCATGAGCCTCTATGCTTGGCCTCCAAGAGTCTTAAGTTGGATTTTCTAGAAGCAGAGCCTGAGATCGCAATCCAGTTGCAGTGAGTTATTGAGGCCATATAGGAGCAGGGGATTGAGGAGTGTGGGATTGGGCAGTGGAGGGAGGAGCGTAAGCAAGTGAGCGGGCTCAGCCAGGGTCGTGCTTCAGCACAATCCCATGAGACCTTCAGAGCATGAATTGCTCTATTGATTTGGTCCCACTTTGAGAAATACCCAGTATTAGGCACTGTTGGCTCCTGGCTGCCTGAGAGTGCTGGGATCTGGGGCAGGCCACTGGGCATGACCTCTGTAGGGAGGAGGCTCCCATCCATCCAATGGGAATCTCCTTGGAAGGGTGGCTGTGAGCCTTTGGCAGCAGGCGCCCGCAGCTCTTGGGACAGGTGCACTGCCACCACACCAAGTGTGCAAAGGACCCGGGTAAATGCATTGCTTAAAGCTAGTGTAGCTTATTTGAGAAAAACAACTCTTACTACTTATTTTTAGTATCTATTTTATTGCATCATAAGTCAGATTTAGAAGATGTAGCACTGTAGAAAGATGAAAAAGTAGGACAGAACTTTTATTTGAAATTTAAAAGATTTTCCCATCTAATTAAAAGTTTTACCTTTTTATTGTAGAATAAAATACAGGTACAGAAAAGATAAGAAGCAAATACATAGTTTAGTGAATTATTTTAGACAGTTTCCCCTGGAACCACCACTCAAGTCAGGAGGTAGAAATTTGCCGCCCCAGGAATCACCTCTGTGTGCTGCCCCTTTCCCGTCACACCATCTTCCTCCCTCCAGGAGCACCCCCTGTCTTGAAATTTATAATAATGACTTTCTAACATTTCTTTATGGCTTTATCATCCAAATTTGAGCTATAGTTTAATCTTCTCTAATTAGAACACTTGAAATGTCTTTTAGGTCAGGCGCATTGGCTCACGCCTGTAATCCCAGCACTTTGGAAGGCCGAGGTGGAGGGATCACGTGAGGTCAGGAGGTCAAGACCAGCCTGGCCAACATCGTGAAATCTTGTCTCTACTAAAAATACAAAAATTAGCCGGGTGTGGTGGTGCGCACCTGTAATCCCAGCTACTTGGGAGGCTGAGGCAGGAGAATGGCGTGAACCCAGGAGGTGGAGGTTGCAGTGAGCTGAGGTTGTGCCACTGCACTCCAGCCTGGTTGACAGAGCGAGACTGCATCTCAAAACAAAAAACAAACAAAAAAACAAAAACAACAACAACAAACACTTGTTACATCTTTTAAGTTTCCATTTTAACAGGCAGGCTCTCTACTTCCTTATTTTCCTTGAAGTTTAATTAATTAATTAATTAGAGATGAGGTCTTGCTCTGTTGTGCAGGCTGGACTCCTGGGCTTAAGTGATCCTTCTGCCTTATTCTCCTAGAGTGTTGGTATTACAGGCATGAGCCCCCACACCCAGTTTGCTTGAAATTTATTTGTTGTAATGGATGGTTGGATGCAGGAAAAAAAAAAAAGGAAGTTTATTTGTTAAAGACACTGGACCTGTTGGCTCTAGAGGTTCCTTCACCCTGGATTTTGCTGACTGCAGACTTGTGGTATAATTCAACATGTTTGTTTATCCTCTGTATTTCCTATATCTTGGTAGCTGTATTAGGAAGCTTGATCAGAATTTGGTCTTCTTTGGCAAGTGTAGAAGAAGTGGTATATTTTTTCATCAGGAGATATGTGTGCCTGTCCATATTTCTTTTAATATTGTCTTCCTAGTTGCATTAGTTCATTGGGGGGTTAGAAGATGGGCATCCTGCAGTTCTGTTATTTTGTTTTTACTTATTGGCTGGAACATTTTTGTAAGGACATGCTTCCCTTCATCTACCATTTGGTTACCCATGGTATATGGCTCATATAAATGGTTGATGTTCCTTTTAGTTACCAAGTTTCCCAGTCATCCTTGAGAGATGACTGCTTTTTTACATATAATTATGAACTCATGGATTTTAACATAGTTGATGTTTCGATCCATCACAATTATTATTATTACTGAAGTTCAAACTATCCTATCCCTGACCAGTGAAACCCTTTTCTGGTTGTTTCCTGAGTCCTTTTGACGTGGCCCTAGTCTTCTTTGATGGCTTCTTTGCTATTGGGTATGACAAGATCATACCCAATCCACACTCATCTTGTATATTTTTTGCACCAGACCTGGAATCAGCCATTTGTTTCAAGAAGCTCTAGTTTTTTATAATGATAAGTTGCATTTCAAGAGCATGGTCTGTATACTAGGGATATTCACTGACACGAGGTTATTGTTTTTAGGACTTTTTAGTGGACAGAGCCAGGGATGTATGTGTGTGTGTATTTATATCTATGCATCTATTTATCTATCTATCTGTTTATCGATATAGATATCTAGATTATATATATCTAGATTATTTTATATATAGAGAGAGATTATATGTTTTCACAAGATAAAAGATTTTGTGAATGCCTGTTGATATATCCAGTTCAAACAGAAGATTATTGAGTTTTTCTATATTACATTTATCTCCTTCCATCTACACTGAGAATGCTAATTTTCAAGGACATGGGGGATGATGGTTAGAATATTTTATTATTACTCATTTGATTTATCCCTAAAATGTGATAAATAAAATTTATCCTATTTATCCCTCAAATGTGATAAATCAAATTTATCCCATTTATCCCTCAAATGGGATAAATCAAATGTACAGAGTTAGACGAAAACTACTAATTCTACCGTCACCAATTGTGATGACTGGAAACAGTTTGTTGCAGAGGAAAAGCAATTCTAACCCTGCTCTTTTTGAAGTTTTTCTGTAATTGATACTTAGAAAGTTGGCTTACCATATTTCCAGCTGGAAATAATTCATCCATATTATTAAAAATCATAATTCAGAAAGATACTGGGTGGCTAGAAAAATCAGTTAACACAAATATGATGAAATTTAACAAAGGTGAAAATTTTCATTCTGAAACTCCATTATGTAATTTTAGGATGGGAAAGTGAAAAGAACTATGGATGGAGAAAAGAATAGTAGTAAACCAAAACACAACAAAACCCAAGACTGTGATGTACACCAGTAATATCAGGCGGCTGAAAACCAACAGAATCCCACCCCTGGCTTTTCAGGCTGTGTTCCTAGGAGCTTGGTGTTTTCATCAGTGCACGTGGTTACTCCATGGAATCCCAAAATTGTCATTCCAACCTGTGCTCAGCCTCAGGCTTTGTGCACAAGGACAGGCATTGACACACTATAGGTGGCTCTGAGGCAGGGACTCCAGGGAGCCAAGAATCTGGACATTGTGTCACAGGAGAAGCAGCTGAGGAGTTGAGGGATGGAGAGGACTCCATGGTTGTAAGAGACCTTCAAGTAAATGGAGTAGCCTTTCTGTGGAGGAAGGGAGTGGGGTCTTAGCATAGCTTGAAATGATCAGTCTGGGGCCTGTGGGTGCAAGGTACAGGGAAGTGAAACCTCAAGCCGTGGTCAGAAGGTGGTTTCTAACAGCAGGACTTGCCCAACAATGGAATGGGCTGCTTGTCACATGATGTACTTCCGTGCCTTTACCATTGTTTAAGACAACTTGGAAAAAAAAAAGCCATGTTCTTACCTGCTAACTCCAATACTCTGCTGTTCCATTTGCTATGTAATATTAGTAAGGAAGGGATTTAATTTTTTAATTGCAGATAAGACATGATTGTGAGCTCATTTTAGGGAACTTAATTTCCTGGGAGTTGTCTCTCATGGATGCCTAATTAGGAGGCACTGCCAGTTGGATTTGGTCTTATCATCACAGAGATGATGAATGATTTGAACGTTGGTGGTGATCAGAAAGATTGCCCCTAAGAATCCAGCTTTCTGGTGACATCTAGATTGAGCACTTCTTGATACAGGCCAACCGCAGCATTGCAGAGGGTTCTGATGCCTCCAACCTGCTTTGCCCTCAGATGACGCTGTTCTTGGCTTATGTGTTTCAAAGATTCCCTTCCAGCCAACAGGCATGGCTAAGGCACAATTGGACATTGATTAGCTTTGTTTCTAGCAATCTTTGGCTTTTGAAATCAATGTGACTGAGGTGTTTTCAACTTCAGATGGAGCACAGAGACTGTGAGCTGTAGGTGGGCCACAGAATGGAAAGATGAGAAACTTCAAGCTGTGGCAAACCTTGGAGAACAGTGAGTCTCCTGAGCGAGGGGCAGGCTTGGCCACATGGAATCTCCACCAAGCTGGCCTTGCTTGGGACCCAGGCTTCTGACCTTCCTGCAGGTCATTTCCTCTCATCATTGGAGGGAAAAAACATCACATCTCGGAGCCACTTTGGAAACAGGTTTATTTTAGTTTCAGACCAATAATAAAATATCCTGTAGAGATTCCCTTCTCAGAAAAGTGCTGTTTGCCCTCAGGGAGGTTGTAGTCAAACTGGGAGTGCAGTGAGATGAATCCAAGTGAGGAGATGTGTGGTATTACAGCGCAGCCAGCGAGGATAAAGCAGCGCTCACCTGCCATGATCCTGGCTAGTTTTCACTCTCAGTGCTGTTGTGCATTTTGCCTGGTGGCAGATATCAACACTAAAAAAAGTATGACAAAAGATTCCTGGATTTTTAGGTCAATGGAATTTCCAGGTCATCAATAATAACCATGGATAGTCTTGAAAAGAGCATAAGTAGACATGATCTGGATTTTCCAATTTCTGCCTTCAAACGTACTGGCCATTTACATTTATTTGAAAAGATAAGTTGATGTAAGAGAAAATCTCTGGTATCATTTTTCAAAAGGCAGGCAAGGCCACTGAGATGCAGGGCAATTGGCCACCCTCTTAAACAAGGCTTCTCCCTGGTGTGGAAACTGAGTGAAGGAGAGGCATGGTATGTACCACTTTGACGCTATGCAAGTAAGAGGTGACATGAAGATGAAAATTCCTGGACCCTGGGAGAATTTCTGGTATTTTTCTGTCCCTTTTCTCCCCACTGATTTCTTTTTTCTCCAGAGGAGGAGGCAGATGAGTGGGAACTGAGTATAAAAACTCCACCACACTTTGCATTCAGAATTCAGAATAGTCTTTAAGGTTTGCACCAAATATTTGGGTATTGCATGTGCATTGTGATGTCAGCTTGTTGTGGGAGGGAATGGGGTCAGTAGCACACGTGACATCTGTGCAGAGCCCATCACTCATCAGGAAGACCGTCAGCAGGGGTCCCCTCCCGTTTTGACTCAAAATACACTTCTACAAGCTCCGCCTCCTGGGTTCACGCCATTCTCCCACCTCAGCCTCCCGAGTAGCTGGGACTACAGGCGCCCACACTCGGCTAATTTTTTGTTTTTGTATTTTTAGTGGAGATGGGGTTTCACCTTGTTAGCCAGGATGGTCTCAATCTCCTGACCTCGTGATCCACCCACCTTGTTTCCTGTCATTTTAACATACATAATATACCAACATTTCTGGTGGTGATTTTTAGTAAGGGATGTTGGATTGGAAGAAGGGTATATATCTTTCCTTATACTATAAGCATTCTGAGTACTTCTTGTTGCACCTCGCTTTGTTTGGTGGTTCCAGGCCCTCAGTACAGTTCTCCAGAAGGGATAGCCAATTTCACCATGGCCTTAAGCCAGATTTCTGTTGTCCCATCTGCTGGAAGATGAGGATGTTCTCTTCCTGGGCCTCTTCATGCTAGTTCTTTCATTGGCAGGAGTGCGTGTTGTCTTGTAGGGGTTCTGGATGACATCACTGCTGCCCACACCCATGCAGGTGTTAGGGCTGGAGGTGAGGCCGTGCTGACAGCTGAGAAGGGACAGTTGCAACAGTTTGTAGGATGAGAAATAATGAGTTGCATGTTTTCCATGAGGGGCCTCTCCATCCTAGCATGATGTCAGCTGCATTCTTGGTAGGGTCTGCCCCCAGCCAGCCAGAGCAGGCTCATGGTAGAGCGACGCATGACTGCTTGGATCTGTTTGCAATGGGGTTTGACACAGAAGGCAAGTCTTGACTGCATGAAGGTTTAATAGGAGCGTACTTGACATAGGAGGCGAGTTTTGACTGTATGAAGGTTTAATAGGAGCGTACTTGACATAGGAGGCGAATTTTGAGTGTATGAAGGTTTGATAGGAGCGTACACTTGTGATTGTCACCCATCGAGGTCTGTGGGCAAAGGCACACATTTGGAAGGTAACACAAGCAGAGGCGTGAGCGAGAGGAGAGAGGCCGTCTTTTAGATTTGTCATTGTGCCTTTGTCTCATACACTGACTGTTCTGTTGAAGCTGGTTGTGGGTTGTACGAGTTTGTGTAGGACCGTTGGATGGCTATTCTAGTCTGATAGTCTGTCAGTGTGGACTGAAACCTCTCTCAGTTTATCAGCATGGGAGTGAAATTCGTGCTTTCCTATGATTGTGCCAGCTGACTGTTCCAGTGACCTTATCATTCAGTCTTTTGCAGTCCAAATAGACCTTGTAAATGGAGTTTTGGAATATGTCTCTACACGCCATAGATGGAGGGAACTCACAGAGGAGACCAAGGTATGATGTGCAGCAGCCATTTAGGAGTCAGAGCCCACTAGGGGCAGTCGGATTCCAAAACCTCCGTGCCAGCAGGGCAGCCATGCGGCCTTCAGATTGCAGTCTCCATGCTTTAGCTATGCATCTAGACATTTCTAGCTGGACCTTAATAGAAATATGAACACATCTTAGAAGGCAAATTGAATAAAACAAGTGGAAAATTTAAAAGGTAAATGTAGCAGAAAACAGTGTGATAGATTAATGGTATGGAAACCAATTTAATAGAAATGAGAAGGGGAAGACAAAGATGATAAACGTTAAGTTATTCTTGAGTAAGAGTTAGTCTTTGGGTTGTGGGCAGGAAGGATCCTTCTGACTCTATGAAAATTACCCAAGAGGGAAGTGGATTGCTGGATATGAGCTTGTTGGGTACTTTTATGCCTATAGAGAAGAGCTAAATTAGAAAACTTTTTTTTTTTTCTTTGCTTGAGATATGAGAGCCCAACTCACCTTTGGGGAAAAATGGAACATATTTCTAACCAGTTCTGTGCTCTGTCGTTAGTTATCAGGTTAGTCATAAAAATGCCAACCGGCAGCAAAGGCTGGAGAACACTAAGAATGGAGAAGGGGGACCAGGCGTGGTGGCTCACGCCTGTAATCCCAGCACTTTGGGAAGCAGAGGCGGGCGGATCACGAGGTCAGCAGATTGAGACCATCCTGGCTACCACGGTGAAACCCCGTGTCTGCTAAAAATACAAAAAAAATTAGCCAGGCGTGGTGGTGGGTGCCTGTAGTCCCAGCTACGTGGGAGGCTGAGGCAGGAGAATGGCGTGAACCTGGGAAGTGGAGCTTGCAGTGAGCCGAGATCGCGCCACTGCACTCCAACCTGGGCGACAGAGCAAGACTCCGTCTCAAAAAAAAAAAAAAAAAAAAAAAAGAATGGAGAAGGAGGTGGTTAGGTGGGCAGGCTTCATGTTGTTTCCCTTAACGAAGGTCTTCAGGCTGCGCCGGGGAAAGGGAGAGTGGAAATTCAAACAGATTTCTCAAGTGTGCAAGGGTGTGTTTTAATTATTCCAGTGCCAAAAAGAGCTTTGTCTAAACAAAGCCAAACCTGTTATGCATCGTGTCAGAGGAGCCTAGGAGTCAGCTTTGAGGACAGTTTTGCATTTTTAACTATCACATTGTCTTTGGATTGGTGTTGGCTTATGACCTTGGCTTTCAGGGACTGTTTTGACAGCTGACAATGATGATGCTAGTTCTCATTTCCATGATAAAATATGTAGTGTCAGGAGGAGTAATGTAATAAAAATAAAAATAAAATAAATATTGGTTGTGGTCTCACAGATAGCTTGAGTCTTTATAATTATAATCAGTCTCATTTTTAAAGATGTGAAACATTTTAATTGGCAAATTAACAGCACTAGAGTACTCTTTTGGTGGAACTGTAATGCAGCACCACGCTTGGCTTTTTCAGTGCTTGTCAGGTTCAAAAGTCTCTAAATAATGCCATGTACTATGCTTGTTTCTTGTGGCATCTCTGCTAGACCTGATCTTGTGAGCAGGCTTTAAAGTAGTAAACATAAATTTTAAAAGTTTGGTCTGAAGTATACTGAGGCCATAGAAATGTTCTGTTCTAAAGAATAAATATAATTAGCATAAAACAAGTTTTAATATATATTAAGTGAAAATATCATATCATAGTATCTGTAACATGATACCGTTTTTGGCAAAAGATATATATGCAGAATCATCTGCTCTGAAGGAGACATGCCAAGCTACTAACATTGGTTAACTTTGGTCATGGGGTTACGAGTATTAATGTTTTAATTTACTTATCTGTATTTTCCATTTTTTTCCCACAGTGAACATCATTGCCATTATTGCTTTTTAAGAAAAATGTTCTATAATGACATGTATTATTTGATTTTTTTTTAAAAGAGACAAGGTCTTGCTCTGTCACCCAGGCTGAAGTGCGGTGGTGTGGTCATAGCTCACTGCATCCTCAAACTCCTGGGCTCAAGCGATCCTCCTGCCTCAGCCTCCCGAGTAGCTGGGACTAACAGCATGTGCCACCACACCTGGCTTATTTCTTAAAAATTTTTTTGTGAAGACAGGATCTCACTGTGTTGTCTAGGCTGGTCTTGAACTCCTGTCCTCAAGTGATCCTCCCACTTCAGCCTCTTAAATAGCTGGGATTACAGGTGCGAGCTGCCACACCCAGCTCTATTATTTGATTTTTTTGTGTATGGAGGGGCCATGTCATGCAAGTAGCAAATAAATTTGAAAATCCTCAGTGGACGCACTTTGTTCTGTATTTCCTGCATACCTGAGGCTGGCGATGCTGTGAGTGGTATTATACTCATGTGTGCAGAAGTCTTTCAGTAGTTCCTCATGGAGGAAAGGAAGCAGCCAGCCTAAGCAGGCAGGAAAGGTTCAGCTCAGCGCTCAGTGCAGTTCCACTCGTGTGTTTGAAGTGTGCAAAGTGTGATGGGGGCAAAGAGCACAGGATAGTGTCCTTGTCTGTAAGCAACTTACAGGCTAGTTAGGGAGACAAGACACACCATGAAAGCAGCTAGTGAGCGATGCAGGTGCTGCTGAGTTGTGCAGTACAAGTAACTAAAGCAGCTGCTCAGGCCGTGATGCAGACAGTGGGAGTGATGGAGGGAGACAGGGAAAGGTGAACGTAGCTAGGAGTCATCAGAAATGCGTTTGCATTGCTTTGTTTATTCTTTCCCCTGGAGAGAAGGAGCAGATGCCTGTCCTTGGAAGGAGCTCCTGTATGGCTACACCGTCCGTGCTTCCAGCATTAATCTTTTGCTTTTTACCTTGAGAGCTGGTTCCATGAGAGTCTCTAAAATAGAAAGCTCCGTTAACTAAGTCTGGGTGCTGTCTTCTCGCAGAGATGCTGGGAAAACTTGGCTTCCCTCATGTGTATTCATTAATGCCACCTGAGGATGAACCAAGACAGCTGAGTCTAGCACAAAGTCAGGCTGTTGTGGAAGTGATAATTGTCAATATTTGTAGTGCGCTGTGAGAGTGGTGAAATCCGTTATAAAGAACGTTTTCCACCTTTCGTGCATAAGAAAAATGGATAGTGTCACTTAGAAGACAGCCTGTGCATGTGAATCCCCTCCATGACGGTGTCCTTTTCTGCCAACACACAGTTCTCACACAGCATCTTGCTGTGGGCAAATGTCCTAAGGCTAAATTGACCTGATGCTGAAATGTACTTCCTGTAAAAGCCCATTCGAAGGATGTGATTTCACTCAAGGCACTGCCTGTCTCAAAGTCACCAGGATTCCCTAGCTGAGTTTTATGTATTATTTATTTTGACCACAAGGATACACTGATTATTTGACTGATTGATTGATTTGAAACAGAGTCTCACCCTGTTGCCCAGGCTGGAGTGCAATGGCACGATCTTGGCTCACTGCAACCTCCGCCTCCCAGGTTCAAGTGATTCTCCTGCCTCAGCCTCCTGAGTAGCTGGGATTACAGGCGCCCGTCATCACACCTGGCTAATTTTTTGTATCTTTAGTAGAGAAGGGGTTTCACCATGTTGGCTAGGCTGGTCTCCAACTCCTGACCTCATGATCCGCCCATCTCGGCCTCCCAAAGTGCTGGGATTACAGCGTGAGCCAGCACGCCCGGCCCTTATTTTATTTTTTTTAAAGAGACAGGGTCTCATTCTTTCGCCCAGGCTGGAGGGCAGTGGCACAATCATACCTCATTGCAGACTCGACCTCCTGGGCTCAAATGATCCTGCTGCCTTGGCCTCCCAAAGCCCTGGGATTACAAGTGTGAGCCACCACACCTTGTCCGATTATTTGAAATGCAAAGTAAATGTCTGTGTCTGTAAATCCTGAGCTCACAGGAAATTATGTGTTGATCTCACAATGAATGAGTATTCAGGAAGAGACCCTGGTTGCTTCTCAGCAGGTAGAGAGGATAATCCCGGGCATGGTTTCCTCCTGGTATTGTTTCCCCAAAGACCACTAACAGGATGACTCTCAGGTTCTTCTCTCTGGAAGAACCAGGCTTGCCAGATGCTCAGCTAAATTTAAATACTGGATCTTTTGAAGATCAGTATTTCTCTGCCCTGAATTGACCACTGTGGGAGATATACTCTTGGAGATCAGGGTCTGGAATGTATTGATTTGATACTGAAACTTCAGCAGAAAAAAATCCTTCTGAATAAATATGAAGGTTGTTTCATCTTTATCATCTGGATTCTGTCTTTGGTCTGATCCCTCTCAAAACAGTTACTGTTTCTGTGAAGTCATTCGGGGGTGGAGGGTGTTAGCTGCTGCAGTCACATCCAATGGCTGGGTTCTTCAGCACCCACCACGGGCCAGTGGCTTCTCTCCAGCACCGCAGTGATGGGTGCTGACGGTTCATGAGGCTGCCCTTTCAGTCTTGCGTGGTTCTTAATTATTAAAGAACAAAGACACATTGGCGTGTTTCTTGTCAGTGCGTTGAAGCCTGTCTTCCCATATTTCTTGCTCGCTGGTCCTCATTCTGATCCTTGTGGTCAAAATAAATAAATACATAAAACTAGGGAATCCTGGTGACTTCTGGACAGGCAGTGCTTTGAATGAAATCACATCCACCAAATGGGCTTTTTACAGGAAGTACGTTTCAGCATCAGGTCAGTTTACTCTTAGGACATTTGCCCACAGCGAGATGCAAACTGGGTGTCACACAGAACAGTCCTGTTGCTGTCCACAGGGAAGTCCTGTGGCTGTGGGAAGGAGGTTTTGCAATCCCCTCCAGCCCCACTCCGTTACAACCAGTGGAGGTGGAACTTGGAATCTTTGAAATAAACTCCTCAGATGATTTTGGTTCACACAGAGTCAGAACCGCTGTGGCAGCGTGAGGGAGTTTTGTCAGGTGGTGTGATTGGCAGGTGGGGCAGAGGGGCCTGGGAGATGAGGTCCCGCTGTGCAGAACACACGGGGACTGGCAGGCAGGAAAGGGGGCGAGGGGGTCTCAGGCATTGAACTGCGTGGGGCACTCCATGGGGCAGAAAAGAGCCTGGCAGGTTTTGGAGGTGCACTGTATGCTCAGGAAGGATTCAGTGCACACCAGGCAGCTTCCGTCCAGGCGGAGAGCCAGGGCCCGGGTGCTGCAGCAAGGCGGCTGTGGCAGTGCCAAGCGAGTGGACAGAGGGTCTGCAGGCCACTCAGTGGCTGAGAGGGTGGGCAAGCAGCTGCAGGGCCAGGTAGCCCCATCTGCTGTCAAGGAGTGTGCCGAGAGGGGACAGCCGGGCACGGGGGCACACGTTGTCAAGGGATATACCGAGAGGAGACAGCCGAGCCCGGGGGGCATGCACTGTCAAGGTGTTTGCTGAGAGGGGACAGCGGGGCCTGGGGGCACGTGCTTTCAGGGGATGTACTGAGAGAGAGGGGACAGTGGGGTGTGGGGGTGTGCTATCAAGGGGTGTATCGAGAGGGGACGACTGGGCATGGGGGCGTGTGCCTGTGGTCACAGCTACTCAGGAGGCTGAGGCAGGAGTTTTGCTTGAGCCTGAGAAGTCGAGGCTGCAGTGAGCCATGACGGCACCACTGCAGTCCTGCCCAGGTGACAGAGTGAGACCTGAGACCCTGTCTCATAAAATAAAATAAGGAACAGATGTGGGAGGAAGGGTCTGTTTTTGGCTTCTTAGACCTGGGTATATCTGGGGGTGGTGCGAGTGAGCCTTTCTAGGAGGCAGCTAGCAGATAAAGGTGTGGAGCCCAGGGGATGCTTCCTGCACCAGGCGACAGGTTTGGTGGCATTGGCGCACGGTTGGCGTGGAAGCCAAGTTTCTAGAGGGAGCCGACAAGAAGCTGAGTGTGGGACTTTGGGGGATGAGCTAAGGAGGAAGAAGGAACAAGAGAGGAAGAACAGAAGAGTCGGGGGCCCTGCAGAGAACGGGGGCCTGGGTGTCTGAAGAGCAGGCGTGGGCTCAGCACTGTGGGCATGTGAGGTGTGCACTGCCCCGGCCTGTCTCAGGGATGCCTGCTTTCTGTGTAGGGAGCTGCAGTTATGCACAGCCTTGCCTACACCAGAACTTCATATTTAAAGTGAACACATACTAAAATCATAGGCATAAAGCAGCTTTCCCACCGAAAGCAACTCTGATTTTATCCATCCATTACTCTACCTGTCCATCTCCCCTGGGGGTGAGCCTGCTGTGTGTCGGATGCCCTTCCAGGGACTCACAGAGTGCCTCCTGCACCTGCGTCATTGAGATTTCTCCAGTCACTTTTATGTGGGTTTGGGGGACCAGGTTGTTTGGGAGCATCTTCAGTTTTGGAGGATGCTCATGGCCAAAGGCTCACCTGAACTTTGTGTAGGCTGTTTGATGACTAGCTTAATTTGCACTCTTCCTGAATTCCTTCTTCCATACACTTTGGCACTCTGATAGGTTTCAAGTCCCATCTTTGTTACCTGGGGACACTGGAGAGTGGAGAGGCCCAGGGCCATGGGGAAGGTGGCAGGAGCCCTGGCCTTCATGGACTCAGCGGTCCTGGCCTCAAGCTATTCTCCCGCCTTGGTCTCCCAAAGTGCTGGGATTACAGGTGTGAGCCACCGTGCCAGGCCAAGCCATGATCTTTTTTGCCAGAGCCAGCTCAGTCATTGTCCGTGTGTGTCAGCGGTGAGCTGGACGTCAGGCTATAGAAGGAATGTGGAAGCTGACTATGGGAACTGGCTATGGGAGGACCGTGTGCTTTTACCCCAGGCTGAGGCCGGGCTCACAGGCAGGGGACGTGGGAACTGATCATAGCGACCACTTACTCACCTTCTTAGGGTGATCTGGTCATTTTTCAGTTAGTAAGTGTTTATAGAGCACCTGTATTTGGTGCTGGAGGTGTAGGAATGAAACGCATTTTCTGCCCTCTAGTTGCTGTCCAACCTGGTGGAGACAGAAAAGGGAAAAATATGCGCAGGTGTCAGGCGCTCTGTAAGAGGGCATGCGTGTGGGGAGCCTGGGGGCCTGTTGGCCTCAGTGGGCTGTTGGGTGGGCGGCCATGGTCTTGGTGAGAAAGTTGCTGGCAGGGGCACTGTGGGCGTCTGCTGGTGTACTCAGGATGGCCAGAGCATGGCACGGGGTCTCCAGTTGGGGTGGAGGGAGATGAGAGTGGAAGGGAGGCAGTGTTCGGACCGTGAGAAGACACAGGTGCCCCGGAGTGTACACTGCATCTGAAGTGCACTGGGGAGCCTTTGAAGAGTTCTAAGCAGAGAAGTGATCTGAGCAGATGTGTGTTTTGAGAGCCGCCCCTGCACTGCAGCACCTTGGATAAATGCTCTGATTCCCTCTGAGTAAATATTGAGAGTGAACTTCATGCTCTTTAGATAAATATCCTTTCCTTGGTGTCTTTTCTTCTGATGCCAGGCGTCTGGTAATAAACTCCACGTGGGCTTACGCACACAGATACAGATGCCTCCTCCCATGCCTTCTGTTTCCTCTCAAATCAGAGGCAACTGGAAGGGTAATTCAGCCCCGCCCTGCAGCCTGACCACGCCTGCCACCCAGGAGCGAGCCGTGGCTTGGAACTGTGGGGGATTCTGGGAGGTTTTGCGCTCTTGCCACTAGAATGCGTCTCCATTAGCATGGAATAGTCAATGCATGGACATTTTTAATCCTCAGCCAACGCACTAATTAAATTCCTGGTTGCAGGTGGCCTGCCACACAGGGAGCTGTGTCCATAGCAAAGTATTTTCCAGGAAGAAGTGGGTTTCATATCAGGACTGTGAGTCACAGTGCAAAATACATGCGCCAGCACACATTCATACACCACTGCACAGAAGTTTCTGGAGAAGAACTTGCCCTCACCTTCTGAGATGTATTTGTTCTTACTCCTGCATTTGCTTCATAGACCACTAATGGGTTGCAATCCGAAGTTTGGAAAGCATTGTCTTATAGGAACATGGAGTCCAGGGTCCGGAGGTGGGGCTTGTGGTCTCTGTTGCTGTGCTGGATGGACACCGAGGGGAACAGGCTGAGGATGGACCTGTGGAACCACATCTTAAAGACGTTATTTAAATCTAATTTTCAGTTTGCCTTTATTGATTTGAGCTGACTGTGTTGATGCCCCTAGTGACTCTGGTGGGTACCTGCTCTGTGTCAGGGACTCTACAGCGGCACCATATAGTTTAATAAGGAGATGGCACCCTTTCCGTTTCTTGCTGTGCGGAAGTGGCCCAGAGAAACCGCGGGAAATGCTCCATGGAGACTGCCATTTTCTGTGACATTGGGCCTTATGCTGCCTTTAGATGTAGGCAGTGTCTCTTTCATGGTTTTTTGTTTTGTTTTTTTTTTTTTTTGAGATGGATTCTTGCTTTGTCTCTTAGACTGGAGTGCAGTGGTGGGATCTTGGCTCACTGAAACCTCCGCCTCCTGGGTTCAAGCGATTCTCCTGCCTCAGCCTCTGGAGTAACTGGGACTACAGGCGCGCACCACCACACCCAGCTAATTTTTATATTTTTAGTAGAAACGGGGTTTCACCATATTGACCAGACTGATCTCAAACTCCTGACCTCATGATCTCCCTGCTTCGGCCTCCCAAAGTGCTGGGTTTATAGGCATGAGCCACCACACCCGGCCCCCTTCATGTTTCTCAATTCCTACCTTTTCTCACCGGAAAACATTGCCAGAATTTTCAGACTAAGCTGTGGCTCCTGGCGGACTCTGTTCTGAGAACCCGGGTGCCGGTGGGCAATGCGCCCACCAATGCGGTGGGAGGCTGAGGGAAGACTCTCCTTTCTGGCACAGGTGGCTGTGGGACTGCTGTGCTCCTCTCACACCCAGGCTCCAGGAGGAGCAGCCACACAGAGGCTGAGATGGGGGGGCCAGGGCTGGGAAATGCTGTGGGTGTGGGCTGACTGCTGCCATCACCTCTAAGAATGGGGGGCTGCCCCAGGAAGCCCAGTGTTCCATGCCCTGCTGCTGCTGGAGCCCACCTCACAAATGTTAAGCCCTTGCCGCCGCGTTGCTGTGAACCGTTGTACTCCCTAGCATAAACCCTGTGAGTGCACTGGTGCACTGTCCACTAGGGAGGCTGAGTACATCAGAACCCACAGTTGGCCGGGCGCAGTGGCTCAAACCTGTAATCCCAGCACTTTGGGAGGCCGAAGCGGGTGGATCACTTGAGGTCAGGAGACCAGCCTGGCCAACATGATGAAACCCCATCTCCCTTAAAAATACAAAAAAATTAGCCGGGCATGGTGGTGTACACCTGTAATCCCAGTGACTTGGGAGGCTGAGGCAGGAGAATCGCCTGAACCCGAGAGGCGGAGGTTGCAGTGAGCCGAGATCACACCACCACACTCCAGCCTGGGCAACAGAGTGAGACTCTGTCTCAAAAGAGAGAGAGAGAGAAAGAGAGAGAGAAAGAGAAAAAGAGAACCCACAGTCAAGGAACTGCTGAATTTAGCAACAAACATCTTTTTACTAATTCATGTCTTTATTTATGAAGGAAGTTTCATTATAGGATTCCTTAAATAGCAAGAGTTTCTGTATCACATTTAGAACAGCATTAGGTTTACCCTGCTTTTACTGTGCTCTGGACCCAGCCCTTGAGTGTCTAGAGACACTCAAGCCATGGTTTCTACTTACATGGGACGGTGAGTTAAAGTTGATGATATTTAAGAGCAGTTTTAATTCCTGAATGCCATAATTCTGCTCAAATGTAAAAGGTTAGTTTACCATATATTTCATCACACTTGATCTATTGTCGAATTCACCAAGCACTGCCGTGTGCCCTTGCCAGGCATGCCATCAGAAAGGCCGGTCCCTGCCCTCAGGAAGTGCTGGCAGCCACACCCCTGTGCACCTGTTCTTCGCAGGGCAGACCTGGAGGTTGTTCCTCTCTACCACAGTTGCCTTGGGGGTACACGTAAAGGTGGTGTAGTTTTTTTCCTGGTTAGCCTTACTTTTACCTACCTTTTGAGAGGAAGAGAGGATTTGCTCGTCAGCAGTATCTTTTGCTGAACACTAAGCTAAATTCTAAGGGAAAATGCAAATAAAAACACCTTGCCCTTGAACTATTAGAAGAAATGAAAGAGACAAGATGAATGCAAGAAAAATACAGAGAACAAAACAGCACACAACAAGCAATTATTTATGTTAATTGGTGGCAGCTGTACAGAGCTGGGATGGGCGTGCTGGGAATGCTAGGCCGTCTGGGTGTCCTGGAGGTTCCTCCAGGGTGACTGAGAAACTGAAATGAGGCCAGCTCTGCAGGGTTTTTCCCCTCCCTTCCCTGAAGCTGTGGAATGGAAGTTGAATAAGACATTGCACTGAAGATGAGGAGGGTATGGTCCGGTACTCAGCACTTCATGTTCATGCTCCATGTCCTGGGCAGGGCTTGTCTGTGTTAATAAAGTTTTATTGGCATGTAGCCACACCATGTGTTTGTGTGTTGTCTGTTGGGGCTGCGTCCCTGTCTTCTCGGCAGAGCAGAGGAGCAGGGGCCGAGGCGGCATGGCCTGTGCAGAACCGTTCACCATCTGGGCCTTTGTGGGAAGCTTGCTGTCTGGGCTCCAGTTGCGTCTTCATGTAAACTCAAAGTAAACACATGTACACAATAAATATCAACAACGGATTTTCTGGCTAGGGTCTCGCAGACTAACAGATTTCAGTGGAGCTGGGTGTAAGCACATCTCTGTATTTATTCCCAATTATTTTTATCATTTTTAATGGAACTCTTAACAGCTCACACTCCTTTGGCATCCTCTACCACAACTGTTTAATGTGTGTGTGTGTGTGTGTGTGTCTTTTGAGCAAAGGCAGAAATCCCTTGTTTTGATTTCCTTTTCTCATCGCAGCAGTTGTAGCGCTCTGGCTTTATACGCTTTGAGAACCTAAAAAGCAACTGGGTCTCAACACCAACTCATGGCCTTTTTTTAAGTTTGTGTATGACATTATACACATATGTATAAATATATGTGTATTTTTGCTTCAGTGGAATGAAAATGTGCGTCACAGACTGTATGTTCAATGTTTTCTTTAGCTGCTCACAGTTATAGGATTGTGCAGAAACGCTTAGCTATCTTTGTTGCTTGTGTGCTGACTAATGAAATAATTGATTTTTCCTCTTTTGCATTTTTAGAATCAGAAGATTATTTTTTCAAGTAAGCTTATACTATAATTCAATGATTGATGGTTGAGATCTTTGCTCATATTTTCATTTTCAGAGATTAATATATGCATTTTGAAGGAGACAGTGTATTTAGTAAAACAAACTGAAATAGCTCCCCTTTTATATTTAAGCAAAATGGATAGAAAATCAGTAACTTGCTTTTGAATAGTACCTGGCAGTTTATGTGGTATTTTGCAGTTCAGTGTAGAAATAAATGCTACTTTTTTGTGACACAGCACACTTTTAGCTGAAACGTGGAGTATACTTTTACCTTGTACATTTTCATTTAGACTGGATTTTAAAGCTACCTTAGTTATTTTTTATAATAAATTCCAGAGTTTTCCAAAATTCTCTCATTTCTTTTAAAATGACACGTGTACAGTTCCATTCTTCTTTGATAATATGTCTACATTTATAAATATTTTCTAAATATTTCACATATTTCCACCATGCAAACGTGTGGAAATGTGTGAAATATTTAGAAAAAATGTGTACGTTTGATCCTCAACCACGTGGAATTTGCTTTTACCTTTTAGAGAAATCACACTTGGAGGTGATGTCATGTGTCCCTGATAATTACACGTAAATGTTGGCTGTTTTGTTACCTTCTGACCCACATAGGTCGTCTCTTGGGATAGCACAGGTAGCAGAGGATGCTGCAGAGGCCAGAGCCCTCCCAGCCCTGACCCCACACAGGCTCCTATGGAGGCCGGAGCCCTCTCAGCCCTGACCCCACACAGTCTCCTGTGGAGGCCAGAGCTGGGTCATGGACTGCAGGCTGCCGATGGGAGCAAGCTCTCATGCAGGAGTGGCTGTCTGTCCATTGTTGGTCTGTGGAGAAGGTTCTAGAGCCAAAGAACCTGGAGTCTAGAATCTCACTAATTAGATGTGGTCCCCAGCAGCATCAGCATCCCCTGGGAGCTGGTTGGAAATGCAGCCTCTTGGGCCCTGCCCCGGACCTGCTGAACCGAATCTGCAGTCACCACATCCCCGGAATTTGCAGGCACCTTAATCTCAGGAAGCTCTGGTCTGGATCTTCGCTTTCCCAGAACAGCCGTGCATCAGAATCACCTTTGGAGCTGATGAGACACTGCAGAGTCCTGCCCCAGCCCCGACAGATAGTGATTCAATTGGTCTGGGGTGATTCTGCCACCCAGCCAGGAGTGGGACCCGTGCTCTGAAATGGTCATCCCTGTTGGCTGAGGGGCGATTGAGAAGGCCAGCACCTGCTAGGTGTGTGTCTGGAAGTCTGCAGCAGCTTCAATTACACAGCCCAGCTGCTGGGAGCCTCATCTTTAGGACTCTATCCCCAAGTGGACATCTTATTCCTAAAGAGCACCCCAGGCCCTGGACCTGTGTGTAGGTGCCGTCTGCAGCCCCATGACGGGGATGGAGATTTGCAGGCGTCTAGCCACCCAGCCTCCACTCCCTTCCCTTCCTGTTCCCATGGAAACAGATTGCGGGAACACTGGGCATGGTGCTATCTTTACCCGGTTTTTGGCGATCTGAGGTCTGTTTCCATGGGAACTAGAAGGGAAGGGGACGGTAGTGGAGCAGCTAGACTGCTTTTAGATTTTGATGGCAGCCTCTGTGCTCACTGTAAAACCTGCTTTGCCCAAGTTTACCTCTAGGCCAGGGGTCCGTGCAGCTCTGAATGCAGCCAGGACTCATCTGGAGGAGAGGCCGGTGGAAAAGGAGGAGAAAAGGAGGAGGTCTGAAAATATCCTTGAAAATGCCAGTCATTCCCTTTTCCTCCAGGAAGCCATTTTTAGGTGTTGGTATAAGTTATTTAAATGCCATCTTTAGTTATTATTTCTTGTATGGTTTTATTGAACATAATAACATGTTTTTATTCAAAGGAAGTGAGGAGATGAGTCATTTCGATAGGAGTGATGTCTCCGACGTGGGGAATCCCTGTGGCTCGGCAGTGCGAGTGAGTCACAGCTGGCTCTGTGTGTTGGGCTGGAAATGAGGGCCTGCTGGGTCAGGGCAGGGCCGAAGCTGAGTGAGATGGGGAGGCTTGGGTTGGTGGTAAGGACAAAGTAAAGTGATGCTGACCTATTTAAGTATTTGAAGATGAAAAGCTAAATTCTAATCTAAGCAGGCCCTGGCCTGAGTGAATGCTCTGAGTGTTCAGTTATGGAGTGGAGTTTACTGGGGCAATCATGGTGCTCTGCTTTTCCCTCCCTTCCCTCTGTACAGTCAGGGAACAGCACCCTCTTCCTCCCTGCCAGGGAGCCTGCACCTGGTGGGAGGCCTTCTCCTCCTCGTTTCCTCCCGCCCGCCAGCGCCTTGCTCTTCAACACTGGTCTTGTCCACCGGCGTATGTGTGTTTCCCGATTTCAAGTGTATTTGTTAATTATCTAGTTTTTAAGTAAAAATAGAGGGTAGTTTTGGTGATTGCCTGGGGTATTGGGGATATTTGGGGAGCAGTGGCCCAGATTATCTTGGTGAAAGTGGCAGCAGCTTACTTTCCTTGGAGGAGTGAAATCAAGTCCTCGTTCTTGCCGTTTGAGGGAACTGTGTTCACTTCATCAGACTCTGGGAGGGAGGGTAGGCACGAGGTTGCTGTCTGTTGCGGGAAAGCTGCCCCTCCCTGCCTGTCCTCCCAGGCTGTGCGGGCACTGGCCTCTGTCTGAAGAAATGTGCTTAGGTCTCCATGCAGAGTAGGGGTTGGAATAAATCGATTCCTACTTGTCAACTCCAGTGGGGAAGGGAATAAATAAGGGCCAGATTCTGAGAGGGAAAAAGAAAAATCTAAAGAAGACATGACTTTCCGTGCAGAGGAAGTTGGCGGTCAGGCTGGCGCGGCCCACGGTCGCTTAGATCATGAAAGGCCTCTCAGAGCCTGTGCATCCCCATGAACAGCGGCGTCAGCTGCCAAGCATGGCAGTTATATTCCCTCTTGCCAGCGGCATCCTGTGGTTTTCTCTGGTGGATCCCAGGAATTCTCCTGCCTGGATCTGACGGTGGACATATAAGACAGACAGATCCTTTCAGCATCAGGTATACACAGGGGCTTCTTCTGCGGGTGAGGGCACAGCTCAGGATGAGACGGCTCCTGCAGTTGCCGATCAGTGCCTCTGAAGCCCAGCAAACTCAGCACACCCTCGGCGTCCGGTGCTGTGGAAGACTGCTCTATCACACGCGGTTCCAGAGGGGCCAGTTCTGTCTTCCAGGAGGGCACGTATCTTTACCGCTGCCTGGGCTGCCTGGCGGGATACATGGTACCTGTCTGTGGTGCTTTCCCCATGAATAACCCTCACTTGCTTTTCCTGTGTGAGAGCACACGCACGGGCCTTCGTTACCAAGGCAGTGGAAATTGGTCTAATGAACTCTTTCTGCCTGGCCGGAGGCCTCCAGAACACAGCGGTGGGGTTTGTGGCCCCATTAGTTAGAGACCAGGCAGCCTTCCCCTGGGTTCTCTGCCCTCTGTGACAGCTGCTCCTGGGGACAGATGCACTTTCACATCCTGCCTCGCCTGGCCTTGCAGGAAGTCAGGAAGCTCTCTCAGTGCTCCCTGAAGGTGCATCGAGTCGGGACTACCCGTCAGAAGGCTTAGTGTGCCGGGCCCCGCAGGTGGCATTTGATGTGTGTCACACCCAAGAGCTCCTCTGTCACACTCTTGGGTCTGCTCACTGCCGGTAACATCAACGCCAGAGCCATCCTCTGACAGCACTGTTTTGCATTCTGTCCTTCAGACATCGGCTGAAATATGCATCTCCTTGGATTTCTGTGGCCAGATTAAGTTATTTCACCAACATGAACTGACTAGGCTGCGTCACGTCTGTTTCCATAACTTGGTCTGCCTCAATGATGGTTTTGCTGCTTGAATTGCAAGTCATTCTTGGAAAGGCTGGTCTAGAGGTTATCTTTTTTTAGCTCTTAGATGAGTGCCCGTGCCTTCTCCCAGGTGGTTGTACAACCCATGACTTTCCTAGGGTGGCACGCGATTAACTGCAAATAATTTCTTCTTCTGGTTCCCTTAAGTGGGAGAAATAGCAGAGTGGTTGAACCGAAGTTTAAGTTCTAAGAGGATATCAGATGGGCCTGTATCTGTTTCTCCTCTTCAGGCAATAGAAACCGCTTCCTCTCTCCAGAGGAAAGTGGGACTTCCCCTACCTTTTGTCATAATGGACATACTCAGGCAGTGAGGAGTCATCATTCCGCCAGAGCACAAACTGCTGGCCAGTCCCAAGAGCTTCGCGAGCGTGACCCGCCATTGAGCCTACATTAAGTTGCATGGAGCAATAGGCAGAGCCTCGCAGGCCCATCCCAGACAACACAGAGTCTCCCCTGGAAATATCTAAGAAAAGTCTTACTGGAGCATTTCTGTCCACCCCCACTCACCTTGAATTGGATACCGAGTTGTGAAAAATTATATAAAGTGGACAGTTTTTCTTTGTCCTAAAGGAATATATATTCCTCAGATAATGAATGTGAGCAAATGAGACAGAAGTGCTTCATGAAAGCTCAGCTGTTCCCTGTGTGTTTGATTTAAGAGGCACTTGTGGAGCTGGTTTGGAGCTTGGTGAACAAGGAATGCTTAGGAGGCTTTGTGAACGCAGGCGACTGAAATGACTCTGATCGTTCATTTCTGTAGGGAACATTGGCTGTTATATCGCTGATCAGTTTGTCTGAGCCTTAAGGTGTAGGGTGTTTTGCTGCGTGTCCTGGTGTGGCCCCGTTAGTTAGGGACCAGGCAGCCTTCCCCTGAGTTCCCTGCACTCTGTGACAGCTGCTCCTGGGGACAGTTGCAGGTTCACAGGCTGCCTCGCCCGGCAGAGGGGCATGGGAGCACCCTACTTGTCAGAAGGGTGGTTTGTTGCCCTCTCTGTGCCATCTTTCGTTCTCAGGGCTGTGTGGAAGCTTGAGAGGTGCATGTGAAGAACTTAAAAGGTCAGCACTTTACCAAGGGAACAAACCACACAAGAAAAGAGACGGAAGAACAGCAGACAGGACCCTGCGTGATGATTTTCCGAGAAGGAGATGTAAAAACTTGGTCAAATTTATTATTTTTCTTTCTATTGCTGCTTTTTAAATGTTATATTTCAGTATGAAAACATGAAAAAAAGCCAATCAAATATCAAGAGCCTCTATCTTTTTCCTTTTAAAGGCAAGTTTCTTTCTTGACATTTTTTTCCTCTTCTACTATTCTACCACATTTCATACCAAAAACCTCACCCACACACTTTCTCTAATTTTGTATCCTTTCTCCTGTTTCTCTCTGTTGTTAATTTTAGCTGGCATGGAATGATTTGAGCTTTGATTTTTATCTATTGGGAACTTTTTAAAAAAATCAAGACAAATTAGCAGAGGAACTAGGAGATGAATCTGACGTTGTATCAGTTGGGTCAGATCAGAACTGGAAGAGGGTGGGCTGAGCCGTGTTAGAGACGCGATTTCATCGGCCATCTGCTGAGGCAGGTTGTAGTAATTTGGGAGGGGTGGTAACTTCTCCAGCCCTCATTAGATCTAGGGTTTTGTTTGTGTTTTCTCATTAGATACACAATGGCTCCATCAGGCCAGTGCCATCATTGCTTCCATTTTACAGCCAAGGAAACTGAGGCTCAGGGGCTTTAAGTAACTGCCTAAGTCACACACAGCCTAGAATGAGGTGAACCCAATGTGGCCAGAGCCCAGACTTTTGTCCTCTGGCCCCTTTGTATAAGGCTCTTGTTTGAGCATGTTTGAAACAGTGTGGGGCTGGGCACTGCCTGTGCAGTAAACTCCCAGCCACGATGTCCCCCATGGGGCACCCCCAGGCCAGCAGCCACTTGTGTGTGGTGCCCAGATGCAGGACAGAGGCCATAGATTGAAAAGGAGGTGACCTAGCTGAGGCTCAGCTAGAATTCTGTGCAGTACAGTCAGCATTTATTGGGTACCTGCTGTATTCTAGTCCCCATGGTCAATGCCAAGGATAATCAGGAAGCGTTGTCCAGAAACACCTGCAGAGGCAGACGAGACACAAGGATCTGGGCCCCATGGTGACAGGAGCTTGGTTTGTTTTGCTCACTGCTGTCTCCCCAGCTCCTAAAATAGTGCCTGCCAGAGTAATGACCCCACAAATAGCTGTTGAAATACTGAATGAAGAGATGCAGCTTTGGTGGCGTCCTGCAGGCCAGAGAGCAGGGAAGACTGTGGGCCGGCACAGGTGTCCCAGGGAAGCCTGCTGTGAGCTGACAGCAAGGAGTGGCTTGGCAAGGGAGATGAAAATTGTTTCGTACAAACAGCTTGTCGGTTCATATTCTTTTCTATTCCCACCAAAGAATGAGACAGCTCCCCCTCCCTTCCTGCCCACACTTGTTAGCCTATGGTCTGACCCCCTTCTTGTTTGCCTGTCATGCCCATTTTAAGCTGATTTTATCTGAAGAAAGCTGGAGTGGGGGAGATCCCTGGGTGTGGAGGATTGCAGAGGCCTGCCCCTGCCCGCCAGCCCCCTGCCCGCCAGCCCCCTGCCCGTCAGCCCGAGCCCTCACGCCAGGCCACAGTGGGAGCAGAACCTCTACGGGGGTGGGGCTGGGTTGGGAGGGGCATTGCCGCTGCTTGGCTGGTGGCCACAGTGGAGGTGTCTGTGATGTGCTCAGACCGGGCTCAGACCAGAATGCACGTCTGCTCAGGGATCATCTGCCCCTGGGCCAAGCCCTGACCCTTTCCCATTCCCTTGTGCATGTGGGTGCTGTGGGAATGGCCTGGTTCGGGCCCTGGAAAGCAGAGATCTTCCCAGTATTCCCTGATTCCCAGCGAGCGGCTGGTGCAGGTGTGCACGGCTGTCTTCCTAGCATTGCAGGCTCTCCCTCCTGAGCCAGTGTCTCCTGTGGCCGCTGTGTGTAGACAGTGGAACTGGAAGCTTGGGCCAGGATCCAGACACCTGGTTCCAGCCCTGGCTTGCATTCCTCCCACACTCATCTTCAACCTGTCCCCTCTCCCTGAGCCTCTGGATCGCCTCCTCCACAAAGCACAGGGGTCGGATATATGACTCCTTGCGGCTTCCTCTGCTGCTAGATCATATGAGTCGATAATTATAGACTTACTAATGCATTAAGGACAGTTATCCTGTTTATTTTAGGGGGAACTCTCTCCAACTTGGTTTGAATATAGCCTCAGGATTTATCAAGTGTTGGATTTGTCAAGGTGACATTTTAAAGAATGTTCTAATATAATTATTGCTTTTCCTGTTTGCAGCCTGTGTGTGTCTTTGAATCGATGTTTTGGGTTTTGTACTTGCTTCCTGAATTGGTGACCTACAGCAAGGCACTACGCTACCCTGAACTACATTATGCTGAACAAGTAACCAGATCCCACTGAGCTACCCAGGGTGAGGATGGCTTGGAGGTTGTGTTACAAAAGCTACATGTTATTTTGCCCCCCCACATCACAGAGATGAAAAGTAGCATGAAAAATTCATCACACTCCAACTCAGTCTTCCCTGGCTATAGGCAGCCTGTTTCTCTGACTTGCTCTCAGATTTGCATTTCCATGTGGATTTTCTGTGCTTCTGCACTGTGTCCCTTTCTTTTGTTTCTCTTTAGTTTTTTTTTTTTTTTTGAAGAGACAGGGTCTTGCTATGTTGCCCAGGCTGGAGTGCAGTGGTGCAGTCACAGCTCACAGCAGCTTTGAACTCATGGGCTCAAGCAGTCCTCCTGCCTCAGCCTCCCCAGTATAGGTGTGCACAGCCATGCCCAGCTAATTTTTATATTTTTAGTAGATATGGGGACTTTCTATGTTGGCTAGGTGGGTTTCAAACACCTGGGCTCAAGCAATCCTCCTGCCACAGCCTCCCAAAGCACTGGGGTTACAGGCGTGAGGCACCGTGCCCGCCCACTGTATCCTTTTTTATGCCCATTTGCCCTCTCTCTCGGCCAGAGACATGGCCATAGGGGACTTTTTGGAATGGGAGGGACCTCCAGTTTCACCTCCTCATTGTATAAAAGAGGAGATGGGAGCCAGGGCCGGGAGTCACCACGGGTACCAGAAGCAGAGTGGGTCCCCTACCTGGGGCTCTCTGCCTACGGCTGGCTGCCTGGAGGCAGAGGTGTTTTATTTGTAGCACCTCCTTTTCTTTACTGTTAGGAGATCTTGAGACTGACTGGCCGTTGCCAAGGTCTGCACTATCCATGAGCTCTGAGGCACTCACATGGAGACGTGTGACATCTCCCTTGGTGGGACACCTGGTCCCAGCTCAAGTTGGAAATAGCTTCTCAAGGGTCTTTTCCCCACTTTTTCTCCCATCTGTCTCATGACAAGCCCTTTGCCTCTTTGATCCTAAATGAACATAGGGTGAGATGATGCATAGGTGAGCTGTGCCGTGCAGCTCTCAAACATGGTCATTTTTATTTTTTTTAAATTTTGCAGCAGAGCCCCAGTTTGCCGAGGTTTAGAATGACCTCTTTGGTTGGCAGCGTTCCTTTCTCCCTGGAACTTCTCTGGTGGGTAGAGTGGCCAGGGATCGGCATCCACAGGCCGGGGCTCGGCCCTGAGCGTCTGTGGGGCCTGGAGCAGTCGCCATGGCTGTGGAGCTGTCACCTAGGTAACCGACATTCCGCCAGCGAAACAGTCTGTCCACAGCAGGAGGAAATAAAAAATGAAACTGCAGCGTCAATTCTTTATGCACTACGGTTTTTTGAGTGCTACTTTGATTTTGGAAAAAAGGCTGTTTCACTTCTCCATTGGATTTTGGCCTCCGTGCCCCTGTGTGACCCTCACATTTCCTGAACCCCATGTATCTGTTTTTACAGTGTCTTTTAATGAAAGATATAATACGGACACAGTTCAGTTTGTATTCCTGAATGACTCTGAGGAGGACTGCGTTTCATATAAGTTTTTGTGAATAACTGGTAAGGCAGACATACCCTGTAACTTACTTGGTTAGGTTTGTGAGTGTTCATGTTTTTAAAATGTCCCTTCCTGTGGGGGTGTTTTTCCATTTGACGTGCTCTATTTCCTTAGTAACTGTTGCTCTGTTATGGGAGGGACTTAATGACATTTTTCAAGTGCAATATTGAATTAATTTATTTCCTGGTTAGTCCTGCCCATCTTCCCAGTATAAATAGAACCTCCATGTGTGTGTGCGTGTGTGTGTGCGTGTGTGTGCGTGTGTGCATGTGTGTGCGTGTGTGTGTAGAATGATGACCATGTGCTTGCTGCCTTGGGGGGGATCTTGACTGTGACCTTGCGTCCTGGGTAAGTTGCCTCTTCCTGTATTCCCCCCTCTCCTTCTCTCTTGATTTAAGCTACTTGGGTTTAGGGAGCTTCCTGGGCCTCAGGAGTAGCATGGGAAGCAGTGCCTTCAGGGCAAGAGGCCCAGGGTCAGTCCTGCTCTCCTGCTGCCAGTGTTGGGCGCAGTTCTTGCGCCTCCATGGGGCAGCGCTTGCTCTCTCTCTGTAGCCTGAGGGCATTTAAGTCAATGACCTCTGAAGGCCTTTGCTGGATAGGACTTTGTGGGAAGTGTAAGTGCAGCAGGCTCACCACTTGTAATCATCATCTCAACTCTTCTAGTGGGGTGGTGGGAAAACCAGCCCGGAGGGTCCCAGCCAAGCAGGCTGAGGAGCAGCACCTCCACCTGGGAAATGCCCCTTGCCAGGCGCAGCTAGGGCTGGGTTAATTGTGTAGGTGTTTGCTGAGCCTTCTCTGCGCTGTGTATAGTACTCAGGGAAGCTTCACGTAAGTGTCTTCCTTCACTCATGTGTTCGCTCAGGAAATACGTATTTACTGGGCACCTGCTGGGTGCCAAGGGGAACTGGAGGATCTGCTGGCCACTGCCTTTGCTCTCATGGCACTTGTGGGGGAGACGGGCAGGCATGGTGCAATCAGGACACCCGTGTGGAGTCGCAACTGCAGATGTTTTGGGAAGCCGACCAGGTGCTGCGGGTTGTGTAGCAGGGTCTGGACTTAGACTGGGGGCCATCAAAGAAGCATCTCCAGGGAGGGTTGTTTGGGCTGAGACTGGAAAGCTGAGTGGCAGCTCATGAGCAGGAGGCTCACGAGAGCAGAAGATTGGAGGGACGGCCGGCAAGCAGCGTTTGTTCAGCTCCTCCAACTTTTACCCTTCCACGTGTTTGCTCCACAGATGCCCAGCATGGCTGTGCTGATTGCTGGTTGGTTTCTAAACTAAAAGCACACGTCTTGTCCAGAACAGGGCCTGCAGGCTTCTGCTGACTGTGCTGGCCCTCAGAGTTTTCTCTGGGTCCTGATCACCCACCCTGCGCTGCCTGTTGGTCACCTGACACACTTACTGAGTGCCGCTGGGTTCTGGCCCCTTCTGGGTGGTCACAGTCTTTCACTGAGCAGAACGAAGCTTGCACCTCTGCTGCGTATTCCTAGAAAGGGTAGCTAATCTTTGTTGCTAGCAGTGAGAAAGAAGACTTTTTACAGCATTTATAATTGCATTTTACCTTGAAAATTGCATTGGGGGAGACTCAGAGTGTATATAGGAATAGGCACGTTATCCATTGATGCGGTAACACAGCTGTGTTCACCCTGCTTTTGTTGGGAACCGCACACATCACTGTCCTAAAAATCCTGGCCATGACCACGCTTAGACCTCATGGGAGCTATTACACACCTGTGTCCAACCTCTCTTTTAGAAGATGTAAAGTTAAGGATTGGTGGGGGTGATTAAGCCAGCATAAGAAAACTGGGAAGTTGGTTGTTTCTTCTATTTTGATCCACATTGGCCTCAGTCTTTCCCATAGCCTTTTGACATGTGGGATGTATGATAACTTCATTTTTCTAATTGACATTTTGACAAATAATAACTGCATATATGTGGGGTACAATGTAATGTTTTGGTATATGTATGCATGGTAGAAATATTCAATTCAAATGAATTAATATATCCATCACCTCACCAACTTATCATTTTTTGTGGTAAGAATGTTAAAAATCTATTATTTTAGCAATTTTGAAATATGTGATACTTTTTTTATTAACTGTGGTCACCATGCAATGCAGTACGTCACTAAAACGTATTCCTCCAGTCCATCTGAAAATTTTGTATGTTTGATCAACATTTCCCTTTTCTTCATCGTTCTTCCTCCTGCCTCTGGTAATCTCCTTTCTACCCTCCTTCTGTGAGATTGACTCTTTCAGATTCCACCTATAAGTGAGATCATGTAGTACTTGTCTTTCAATTCCTGGCTTATTTCATTTGGCTTAATGTCCATCCGTTTCATAAGTGAGATCATGTAGTATTTGTCTTTCAATTCCTGGCTTATTTCATTTGGCATAATGTCCTCCCGTTTCATCCATGTTGTTGCAAATGACAGAATTTTCTTCTTTTTAAAGGTTGTATAGTACTCCATTGTGTATGCATACCATGTTGTCTTTATGTGTTCATCCACTGAAGGACACTTAGGTTGCTTCCGTATCTTGGTTATTGTGAATAGTGCCGAAATGAACACGGGAGTGTAGATATATTTTTGACATACCTATTTCAGTTCCTTGGATATGTACTCAGCAGTGGGATTGCTGGATCATATGGTGATTCTATTTTTAGTCTTTTGAGGAACCTCCATACTGTTTTCCGAAATGGCTGTACCAGTCTCCATTCTCACCAACAGTGTACACGGGTTCCCTTTTCTCCACATCCTTGCCAATACTTCTCATCTTTTGTCTTTGATAATGACCATTCTAATGGGTGTGAGGTGATAGCTCATTGTGGCTTTAATTTGCATATCCCAGATGCTTAGAGATGTTGAGCATTTTTTAATATATCTGTCAGCCATTTGTATATCTTCTTTTGAGAAACATCTTTTCAGGTAATTGCCCGTTTTAAAAATTGGGTTGTTTTCTTGCTACTGAGTTGTTTGAGTTCCTTACATACTTTGGATATTAGGCCCTGATCAGAAGTATGGCTTGCAAATATTTTCTCCCAGTCTATCGGTTGTCTCTTCATTCTGTTGATTATTTCCTTATGATAACCTGATTTTTAAAAAAAGTGAGGTAGCATAACTTCTGCAATGAAACAAATAGACAAAATTCCCACAATAAAACAACAGCAAAAACCTCCCTGCAGTTTGGTTTTCTCTCTGAGTTTAGAGAATGAGAACAAATAAAGTCTAGCATATTTGCACACCAAAAGCATCATCGAAAAGGGCAGAGAAAAATCAAAGCTTTAGGGCAGGTGGGCTTCTGTTTTTATCTGGCAGGATAAATTCCATTTCCCAAAGTTCATGATGCTAGTGCAACTAGTTTTCTTCCGAAGTTCCTGTAGGACCTGCATGTTGGCCATTTTTAGATGGAATGTTAGAATTCAGAGAAAAAATGTTTTCTCACATTTTCAAGCACTTCAAAGCTACCATTTACACAAATAATTTATTTTTTAATTAAAATGTTACCTGTTCTTTAAACTTGAGGACTCCTACTGGGCCATACCTTATTAACTGAGAATGTTACTATAGATACATGAAGGTAATAGAATTGGATGTCTTAGTATCATTAAAGTACTTCATTAATTTATAACATACTCCTTGTAATTAGTACGTATCAGTGATGTGTTACTTCACTACCTTCTGTTTATAGCAACATGTGATTAACAGAGGGCTCCTTTCTGTTCTGTGCTCTGTTCTCTTAAGTTCTTTTTCTTTAGTTTGATGATGAAAAAGAAGAATGAGATTACATTTTCTAAAAGTTGGTTATAAATTGATTAGGATGAAGTGATAACATAAAAGAGGTTTCTTTTCCTGAATATTGGAGACTGATATTCAGGATTCTGTTTTAAAAGTCTGATCCTTTGGGCTTCTGTCATTCTTGTTAATATTGCTTTATGTTTAATGGAACATTAAAATATCTGAAAAACATTTTGTAAAATGCTTTTATTATTATTCTATTTTTTTTTTTTGAGATGGAGTTTTGCTCTTGTTGCCCAGGCTGGATTGCAATGGCGCGATCTTGGCTCACTGCAACCTCGCCTCCCGGGTTCAAGTGATTCTCCTGCCTCAGCCTCCCGAGTAGCTGGGATTACAGGCATACACCACCACACTTGGCTAATTTTTTTGTATTTTCAGTAGAGACAGGGTTTCTCCATGTTGATGAGGCTGATCTCGAACTCCTGACCTCAGGTGATCCTCCCGCCTCGGCCTCCCAAATTGCTGGGATTACAGGCAAAATGCTTCTATTGTTATGTAACATATGGAGCAGTTTATAGATTAAATTTGCTTTTCCTTCCTATTCTCACTAAAAAGTTAATGTGGGCATTTGTTTTCCTTTTAAGAATCCATTTTTAGGCCAGGCATGGTGGCACATGCCTATAATCCTAGCACTTTGGGAGGCCAAGCCCTTTGTGAGGATTGCTTGAGGCAGGAGTTTGGAGACCAGCCTGGGCGGCTTAGTGAGACCCTGTCATTCATAGATAGATAGATAGATAGATAGATAGATAGATAGATAGATAGATAGATAGATAGATGGATGGATGGATAGATAAGATAGATAGATAGAATCACTTTTAAAAACTGCTCCATGCAAGTCCTGCATTTTCTTCCTGGAGTGCTGACCAGTGGCCATGCACCACAGACCCCAGTCTAAGGCCTTGGGAACCAGCTTGAGAAATGAGTTTCTTCCCCGAGGTGTCTGTGAGGGCAGAATGGCCCAGGAGGGACATTTGAACCTTAAGAGGAGCATAGCTGTGGCCTTGGGGGCAGGTGGATCTCCTCCCACCCTGGCAGCCCCTGTGGGAGCCCCCATGCCCACAGTGGGGTCGTGGAGGCAGCTCCGTGGCTTTTCCTTTCTGTCCTGTGTAAGCCTGTTAATTGTAATGCTTCTGCTGGTCATCAGGAAAGTGACCTCTTGCTTTTCAGTTTCAGAGGCGGAGCACAGAGAGCTGCGGCTGGGACAAGGAGCACCCGCGTGCAGGTGCGACCCTGCAGGATGCTGGCAGCGGCGTGGCCAGGGGCGCCCGTGTTCTGAGGGCCTGAGGGCCAGCCCCTCCACCCGCGCCATGGCCTCCGCGCCCTGGCTGGACGGCTGACGGGAGCAGGGACCGCCGCCGCCCAGGTGCCACACCCAGGTACCGCCCGCCCGCGCGAGAGCCGGGCAGGTGGGCCGCGGATGCTCCCAGAGGCCGGCCCAGCAGAGCGATGGACTTGGACAGGCTAAGATGGAAGTGACCTGAGCCTCGCCCGGCGGCTTCCTCGACGGGACAGCGCAAGAGTTGGAGCACAGGCTTGTCCGGGGAGCAGTATGCCGGAAGCTGGTTTTCAGGCCACAAATGCTTTCACAGGTGAGCATGCTCCAGGTAATCCGAGGCTTTGCCTCCACTCCTGGGAGGCAATAAACTCCCAAACCACTGCATGCAGTGAACCTACCTTTGCAGTCAGGAGCTGAAGGCCAACGCAGTCAAGGGCTCAGGCTGCTGTGGTGACTGATTCTGACAAAATAATAATGTGTTTTCCTTCGCTCTCTCAATAGCAGTTTGAAAAAGTGTTTGACACTTTTTGCTTCTGTTTTTGTTGAATGATAGGATACACACAATATCCTGCAGTATTCGCAGCGTCTTCCAAGTCTCTGTTCTCTAAGGAAATATGTCACTTGCTGAGCGAGGGTAGGGGAAGTGTGGTTTCTTTACAGAACCGGGAAGATTCTCCGAGGGAAAAGATTAATTGCCGATGTGTGCTTGGTGCCTCCCCATCTTTAATTTCTCACATTTATTTGTGTGCTTGGGGCAACTGGGCAGAACTCGTCTTGCAGTGAGCGGGGAGAAGTGGGACACCCCAGTGTGCTGGTGATTTGGCCCTGGCTGGCAGTTTGTAGGGAACCACACAGTCTGGCTGGTGCCCAGAGCCCTCGCCCAAGACACAGGAGATTTTGAATTTGGATCCTGGCTCTTTTGTCTGATTCATGTAACATTCCAGGAAGCCACTTAATCCTCTGGGCCTCTGGCTCCTCGTAGACAGACTGGGCTCCGTGACATTGAGGAACTTCATGGAATCCAGGGAGAATGTGTTTACATAAAAGAGGTTTTGTGGAGGTTGCCTTTCATTTAAGAGAAAGATGGTAGAAATAGTCACAAGAAGTGACCCTATTCTCTGGTTCCGTGAGTCCCAGAAGTTTGCAGCTTTTCAGATTTTGTGGAGGGAGCAGGTCAGGCTGTTGGGATGCCTGGAGAGAGGGGCAGGGGCTCAGGCTTGATTGGCATGGGCCTTCTCCTTGGATTAGATGTCAGCTCCTAGACAGCCTTGCACTCCTCCGCAGTCGCCGTGGCTTCGGCGTGAAGAGATGGAGCGCCGCTGTGGTGCCTCTCCAAGGAAGAACGAGGGGACGGGTCTTCCCAACCTCGGCCGCTTCCGTGCGCACCTGCAGGCGACCTCCTGAGGCAGCTTGCACCACATAGTCTGTGACATGGGGTCTCAGTGACAGTGCCTTCCCCGAGTTGTGGGAGGTGGGTCAGGGCCCGTGCTGGTTAGCTTGGCAGCTGTGTAGATGTCTCCCTCTGGATTGTGAGGGGCTGGTTATTCTCTGGCCCATGTGGATGAGCTCCGCAGCTGTGTACACCTTCCTCCCAGGTTGTGGTGTGCGGGTCATGGCCCATGTGGATGAACTCTGCAGCTGTGTAGACGAAGGGTTGGGGGAGCACGTGCAAAGCTAAGCTCTCTTGAACCATCTTCATACCTGCAGCCCAGCTGTCTAGAAACCCTGTCCTTCCTCATCCTTACTGTGTGTGCTTCAGCTGTTTCCGTCTCAGGAGCAGCTCCCTCGTGGATACTCCTCCCCTCCAGGCAGGGATGGGCAGCTCCCTCATGGATACTCCTCCCCTCCAGGCAGGGATGGGCAGCTCCCTCGTGGATACTCCTCCCCTCCAGTCAGGGGTGGGCAGCTCCCTCGTGGATACCCCTCCCCTCCAGGTGGGGGTGGGCAGCAGAAGCAACTGAGAAGTGGCTGGGTGTGTGCTCAGCCTCCTTGTCCCTTCTCCCCACACCCCAGGAGGCAGCTGGGGAGGAGCGGCACCTAGGATTTGATGTAAAGAAGCTCTTCAGAGTAGTTCTGGGAGGAAGAGGGAACAAGAAAAGAAAAGGAAGTGAGCATGGGACAAAAAGAGCCCGAGGAAAAGTGGCACACTCTTAGGAAGCTGCCCTGACCATGGACCTGACGGCAGGGTGGAGGCCACAGGGTGGCCCACAGAGGCCAGGGTTCTGGGGCCGTCTCCTCACCCTGCTGCACCTGATGGTGGTCCACGTGGCTCCCACTGAGACACCCACGCCATCCTCACACTCTGGGGTGCTGGGGATACCTCTGCCCCAAAGGAAAGGGAAAGGCCAAACTGAGGCTCTGTTTAGAATACTCAGAATCCTGTGGTTCTGCCTGGAGGATTCTTGCAGATAGGACAGTACCTCTCACATATTAAGCCAAGGTATATGTCAGCTGCTACCCCTGGGGCCTGTGTCACCCCACCTTCCTCCCCACTTGCTCACAGTCACCCACTTGTAGCTCCTCCCCAGCTCACGTTTTTTTTTATTTGTAATTTATGAATAAAAGCTTTCTATATTGGTAGGTTCCAGTGAGATGTTTTGATACATGTATGTGTTGTAGAGTGAACAGGTCAGGCTAATGGGCTCTGCTCATCACTGCACATTTTATCATTTCTTTGTGCTGAGAATACTTTGGCTCCTCTCTTTCAGCTCACATTTATGAGTTTCCCAAGAATCTGTTTCCTTACTTTGGCCTCTTCCCCCCAGTGTCAGCCTGGCTGAGGAACAAGGTGTGCCAGCGGCAGTGGTGGGGTGTTCGCCACAGCCGCCGTTTTGGAGCCACAGTGTGCCGGGAGCCGTGCTCCTGCTATGTGTCCTTTGCCAGGTGTCACACCAACACAGCGCCGCGCGGGGCACACTCAGTGCAGGCAGGAACTGGCTGGTGCCAGTGGCCTCTCCAGATTGTCCCACGCTGTGTGGCCTTGGGTACACACGGGTTCCCTGGGGAGCTTCCCTACCACCTGGGTCTCACCCTCAGAGACTGAGGTTTAATTGGTCTTGGCATCACCTAGACCTGCTAAATCAGGACTCTCATCCTCACAAGATCCTAGGTGCTTGGCTCACTTTAAAGTCTGGGAAGCACTGGGAGCTGGCACCCAGCAGAGCAGTGTTCAGAGAGAGGCCAGGGTGCTTGAGGGGGTCATGTCTCAAAAAAAAAAAATCACCTGACTTGTGCCATTCCTTCAGCAGGGGGGATCAAAATAATGGGTCTGCCTGTTCTCAGACCATCATGTGTTGAATAGTGTTCACACTGTTGGGTGCGCCAGCACCTGCAGGGTGGCAGTTTTAGCTTCCCCATCTCTCTCTAGGAAGTAACCAGCAGTGAAATAAGGAGATGTGAGCGCCTGGCCTTCTCTGGAGCTGGGTCCCTGGAGACTTGGCTCATCATTTTTATTCTTGGTCTCCCTTCCCATCTGTCTGCCCACATAGTTTGCAAGAGTCCCTGTGATGTAGGATGCAGGGGCTGACACACTCTGCCTGCCCAGGCAGCTGGGTGAAGGTGTAGCTTTAGAAGGAGGCGCTCAGGAGTCCGGTGCCCAGCCCACTGCCTTAGTTGGGTTGCTGTTCTTAAAATTTTGGATTTTGCTGATTCTCTGGGCTAATAGAAAGGAGTCTTGCCTTAGATAAGACATTGAGGCATCTTCCCTAGGCTTTAAATTTTGTTTTAGGGCCAGGCAAACATCACTGGGCAGTTAACCATATGTCCACTAAAATTTGTCACTTTATGTTCCAATTCTCTTGGAGGGTAGAGGCTCAGAATTCCTCTTTAAGAGGGTTTTGGGCAGCACTCGGGCTGTGGGGGAGGGCTGGGAGACCTGCCATGAAGCTGCGTTTGTTTGGAGCGTGTGAAAGTACCATGAAGGGGGTGGGAGTTTGGAAGGCCCCTGTCCCCATGCCACGTTGGCAATCCTGTGTGATGGAGTTCACTCTGACCTCGTGCCTCCTGGGTGAGTGTGGGTATACTCACATAGATGCGTATTTAACTTCTTAATTATGATCTTAGGTGAATGCTTGCATACAGGAATTGATACATTATTTTTAGTTTTCTCAGCATATGCAATTTAGAAATGATTTTAGTCATTTAGATAGTATTTTATATCAAAAATTAATTTTTTCCTTTTACAAGTAGCATCTGCTCATTGTAAGCAAACTCGGAAAGCGCAAGAGTCAAAAGAAAAATAATTTCCTACACGCATCTTTGCCATGTGACTCTTTCTTCGGGCAACATTTTAGTTTACATCCTTCCAGTTTTGTCTTTTGCAAATTTCTTCCTACAGAACTGTGTTCATAATAGTATTTAATATGGTAACTTGATCATTCCCTTTTAACATTACATTACGAGCATTTTTCTTATAAATACGATTTTAAATTGCTGCATAATATTTTCATGTACATGTACTTGAATTTTAAAATTGTGTTCCTGTTGTTGGATAGTCCACTTTTTGACGGTTTTCACCCTTATGAATAACGCTTTGATGAACACCTTTGTGCATAAAAGCTCTTCTGTATATTTGATTATTTCCTTAGGATAAACTCCCTGAGGCAAAATTATTGGGTCCAAAGATGTGAATTCTGTTACAGCTTATAATTAAATTTCCAGAAGGATTGATTGATCCTAACTTTTGAGGCTGTGCTGAAACTGGTTTCCTTCTGTTGCCAGTTGCCTGTTCACAGTGACTGCGCTCAGAATTGGGTGTGTCCTCCACGGTTCAGCTGTGCGTGGAGCGGCCCCCACCTGCCTCACAGGGCATTTGTGAAGCTCTTTGCAGCATGCGGCTCTAAAGGCCGCCTGAGTGCCATGTGTTGTGTGGAGCACCTTCATGTTACACTTGAGCATGTAAAAACACAGATGTCCTAAACTTACTGTTTTTGTGCTTCCAGGCCCTCTTTCTGCCTGGCTGTCATTCATTGAGCAATGATATAGGTGAATGGACTTGGGAAAGATAAGACTCTGGCTGTCCTAAAAACAAACCCCCAGTTCCTCTGAGCAGAGGGAAGCAGGGACCCTTCCGGGCTGGGTCCGCCGGCCTCTGTCCCAGGTGCCGTCATAGTGGTGGAGATTTCACCTGAGGTTTCTTGTGGTTTTGACTGACTTGGAATGCATCCTTTCTGGGTGTCACCGTACACATCCTAAAGAGGTTGCTGGCTTGAGATTCTGCCTCTTCCCGGCCCATGGTACCACCCTTGGATGCTGCAGAGGTTTTGCACAATTAATTTTCTTAGGCTTTTTAAATTATTTTAATGTTAGAGAAAAACATTTAACCTCAAATAACTAGGTAAGTGAATCAAATTCCTATAGAATTTATAGCGAGTCTTTCTGGTGAAAGGAGAATCAGATCTAATTGTTAAATAAATTAAGGTTATTTCGCTCATAAAGGAGGAGGAGGGCAGTTAGTAGTCTTTGTCTGAAAGTGCTATTTTGTGGATGTTGGTGACCAGGTTTTCTTAGCCACTAATGAGACTGAAAAAGAATCACTTAAATGGAATAGTTGGAGCTGTTTCCCCTGTGGGCTCCGAGTGAAGGATGTAGGCTTGCTGGGGGTGTGACTGGGCTGCTGTGTTCAGGAGCAGCTCCCGGCGTGCCCTTCCCACCCCACAGACCTTCCGCGCATTCCTCATCCCTCTCCTCTGCAAGGTTGCACCTGTGGCTGACCCACGGATGCCCTCAGCCCCCGCCTTCCAGAGCTGCCCAGAGAATGCTCGCTTTAGGAGATATTGAGAGCTGTTCCTCCATAAAAGGAGTGGGGGTGAATTAATGGCCAAAGCTTGGAAGAAGAAACTTAAATCAGTTTCTTTACTACAGAACTTTTCAGTCTTTAATATGGGGCTGTGCAGTATGAAGGTCCCAGGTGGGCAGGCAGCGGGCAGTGTTTTCCAAATGACAAGACCTGGAAGGCATTTTAGAGAGAACAGCAGGCAGGGACAGCTTCTCATAGCACGCACTCTGGAGAAGCCACAAATGTTTTGGGGGTCGCCTCCTGCCATCTGCAGCTCCCGTGTGCCTGTCCCACCTGCGCCAATGCAGTGGTCCCCGGCGGGCTGCTTCTGTTGAGCAAATATTGACGGAGCTCTTGCCAGGTGTATGTCAAGTGCTGCAGAGAAACAGTGTCATGAGACCGTCTCCCTGCCTCCGTTCTCTCCTCTCTCTAGTTCTGCCGATGCTCTTTAGAGTGAGGTTTTAGTGATAAGTTTCCCTTGCCCCAAAACTTTCCAGGGCTGCTTCTTGCTTCATAACAGGAGTCCAGGCACCTCTTCCTGGAGTTCAAGGCCCCCAGAGTTGCCTTCCTTCATTCTTGTGTTGTGACCAAAGTTCCTGACACAGTGACTGTGAGCCCACCCATCAATCATTTGTGCAGTTTTTAATGGGATGCTGTTGCTGATGCTTTCTCATTTCCTGCAGAGTCTCTCTTTCCACCACCTTCCTCTCCATCTTCAGGATCTGTCTTAGGTCCATGTAATCTTTTGTGATGTGTACAGGAGAAGCCTAGACAGTCTGCCTACTTGCAATTTAGTAGGTGTAGAAATGATTGATAGTGGCTTTTTGTAAAAATATCAAATGCTTTTTCTGCAGGGAAGTTAAGTTTGCTGAGAGAGCCATTTGCACATTCTGTGGTATGTGTACTTGGTTTTTCCTTCATGCTGTTAGCCTCGAATCTAGTCCTCAGTTATAAACCTAACCTTAATTAATAACGTTTCTGTGTGTAAATAACATATAATTTATGTTGTTATTCCCATAAGCACCAAACTCTTCTCCATTTTCTTCCTGGTAAACCATTCTATACTGTTTCAAGATAATCAAATGTGATTATCTTTTTTTTAGAGGCATCGTGGTAGTCTCATGTCGAGATGTGTACTTACCCTTTTAAATAAGGATGAGAAATAATTTCAGTATTGCCTGAAATTATATTTATTTTAAGGTTACTTGAGTGTGTACAACATAAAGATAGTTATAAATATCTTTTTATAGCTGTTAAATAGCTAAAATATCCAAAGCAATTAAATATAAAAATTATAAAGTCAGAAACATTCCAATTAATATTTAATGTGACAGATGAGTTTGTTTGCTGAAAGCTTTCATTTTCCAGCTCTTTTTATTTATGCTCAGAGCATCCTGCAGGGAGACTTCGTGATGGTGACTGCTCATTGCTGGGTGTTAGGGCTGATAGCACAGCCAAGACCAGTTTGAATGCTGGCTCTACTGTCAGTAAGTATGAGCATTGTTTGAGATGAATCCTCTGCCACTGAGTATCCAGGATCAAAGCAACTTGCATGTCTCATTAGGTTCTTTGGAAAATGGGGGCTTTTGTTCATTGTACATCTGAAACTTGGATGTTGTAGTTATCCCTGAAATGGAGCCACTTAGCTCTGGAGAAATCAAACATGTGCAGAAAGCAGGTGACTGCTTCCATACGTGGCCTCTTGTAGTTTCTTGGGTCCTAGCCTCTTCCTCTGTTAGTGTATGGATGTCTCTGGAGTCCTTAATACTGGATTCTCCTGTGCTCTCTGTTGGCAGATGAGCTCAGAGGCTGGGGAAGGCATTGCTTCCAGGAGGAGCAGCCTGCCCCGGTCACGCCCCAGTTCCTGCTCTGTGACACTGATAGATCAGCTGACCTCTCTGAAGTGCACTCTTTACCACACTGAGGTAGAGATAATGGCCAGTGAGTAGGTTCTGTATAAAGATTAAGTGAAATAACATTTGTAAAGTACCAAAACACAGTCTGGCTTATAGTGGTGCTCGATAAATGTTCTTCCCCGTCTTCTTTCATAGTCTTCTTGAAGTTGACTATACAGAAAGGCCTCATAAAAATCAGGGGTTCATTTAATAAATATTTAATAGTTGTCATGCCATACTTCTGTCCCAGGAGTGTACAGTCTGAGTGTCATCACGATCTGCACAGTTAGCTGCCATAGCTCTGATGACATCACATGCAGGTGTGGAGGTGGGGGCTGGCGTGGGGGTGGGGGCTGGCAGGGTGGGAGCTGTTGTGGGGGTGGGAGCTGTTGGGGTTGGAGCTGTTGGGGGGCGGGAGTTGTTGTGGGGGCAGGAGCTGGCGTGGGAGCGGGAGCTGGCGTGGGGGCGGGAGTTGGCGTGGGGGCGGGAGTTGGCGTGGGGGCGGGAGTTGGCGTTGGGTGGGGAGCTGGCGTGGGGGCAGGAGCTGGCGTGGGGGCGGGAGTTGGCGTTGGGTGGGGAGCTGGCGTGGGGGCGGGAGCTGGCGTGGGGGCGGAAGTTGGCGTGGGGTGGGGAGCTGGCGTGGGGGTGGGGGCATGGGCTGCAGAGGTTGAGGATTTTAGCTTAGCTCCCGGGGCCCTCTGCTCGTGGGAATCAATCTCCAGCACAAGACATCCCCTCTGGTTCCTTATATCCGGTTTGATAGGGCTTTTAGCTGAACTTCAGCCCTGCCACCTGCCTGTGCTGGGCTGATAATCGCCTCTCTTCCAGAGTCTCATGGAGTCGTCACAGGCCAAGGGTCTTCAAACTTGGCTAGAAGTCAAGTCCCGGGTCTCTGTGTTTTTTCAGGATACTATGTTTAAATGGGGGAACCCAGAAATGGGATGCAAAAATAAACAAGTGTAACGTCTGGGTAGTGGTTTATGGTTCCGTTAAAATTTTTTAACCAATAATAGTCCGTATGGGAGTATGGACTCTTTTTCCTCTCAATTTATGTTGGCATTTGTAGAATACTCCAGGGTGGTGTGAGAAAGACATCTCCTGGTTCAAGATTTCCTAGGGGCAAAAAAAGAATACAAAATAATAACGTGGTGCCCTAGCTGGGCGTGTAATTCTGTGCTCTGTTAGCACAATCAGCCTTGCTGTCCTTTGTGGATGCTCAAGTCCCTGATATAAAATGATGGTGCATATACTTAGAACACACAGACATCCACTCATAGACTTTACATCATCTCTAGATTACTTATGATACCACATACAATATAAATGTTGTGTAAATAGTTGTTATACTATATTTTAAAAATTTGTATTGTTTTTTATTTTTTAGACAGGGTCTTGCTGTGTCACCCAGGCTGGAATGCAGTGGCGCCATCGTAGCTCACTGCAGTCTCAACCTCCTGGGCTCAAGTGATCCTCCCGTCTTGGCCTCTTGAGTAGCTTGGACTACAGGCACATGCCACCACATCTGGCTAATTGTTTATTTTTTGTAGAGACGGAGTTTTGCCATGTTGCCTAGGTTGGTCTCAAACTCCTGGGCTCAAGCGATCCTCCTGCCTTGGCCTCCCAAAGTGCTAGGATTACAGGTGTGAGCCACTGCGCCTGGCCTATTTTTTATTGTTTTATTGTTATTTGTATTTTTGCCTCAATATTTTCAGTCTGCAGTTAGTTGAATCTGCAAATGTAGAAACTGTGGATACAGAGGGCTGACGGTACAGCTGTAGAGATTGTACAGAAGAAAATACATTAATAAATGTTTCTAGATGCCATATTGTATTTTAAAGAATTCCTTTAAAGAAGCTATATTCCAGTTGCCAAGTAGACAACAGGCCTCCAGACTCCCTAAGGAGATGGGGGTGTGCCCATTTCACACGAGGGTTCTGTCCTAGGCTTGCTGGGTCCGCCAACCCTGAGGGAGAGACCAGCCACAGCTGCTGTTGGGTTTGCCTGACTTTTATTTTTTTGTTTTTGTTTTTTTTTAGACGGAGTCTCTCTCTGTCGCTCTGTCGCCCAGGCTGGAGAGCAGTGGTGAGATCTCAGCTCACTGCAAGCTCCGCCTGCCTGGTTCATGCCATTCTCTTGCCTCAGCCTCCCAAGTAGCTGGGACTACAGGCACCCGCCACCACACCTGCCTAATTTTTTGTATTTTTAGTAGAGACAGAGTTTCACCCTGTTAGCCAGGATGGTCTCTATCTCCTGACCTCGTGATCCACCCACCTCGGCCTCCCAAACTGACTTTTGTTTTTAATTTTTAAAAACTTTAATGCCCTTTTGCAGCAATAGGGTCTTACTATGTTTTCCAGGCTGATCTTGTATTCCTGACCTCAAGTTATCCTCCTGCTGTGGCCTCCCAAAGCACTGGGATTGCAGGCATGAGCCACTGTTCCCTGCTGGGTTTGTCTGACTTCTTAGGAAAATCATCCTGAGATCAGTGTTTCTGAATCCTACCACCTGTCTCTTGTTATCTTGTCTGTAGAGCCCTAGAGCAGCAGGACCCATGTCCTTGGCACTCACTGAAAAAGCCATGGGACCCAGCAGGCCCTGCCCCAGGACGACAAAGCACGGTGCTACCACGGCGCAGCACTCCTCGTACTGGGAGTTGGGGAGAAAACCAGGCTGGTCTATCATCTACACTCATTTTTTTCTTTTGTGATAAAATTGCAGAAAATTCAGGGTGTTTTCCCTGCCCTTTTGGAGGGATGCTATCTTGATCTCAGCGCACGCTGTTTCACAGAGCTGACATAAGGAGTGAAGATTAATTGTCTGCCACGGCAGGTGCTTTCGCATATGTGGCCGTGTGTGCTCCCTGAGACAGCCCCAGGAGGTGTGGGCGTGATCCGAGTTTGTGGCTCAGGATCTGCACAGGCCCGAGAGACCCTCCTTGAGGACGCAGTGGCCAGTGGGGGCCACCATGTCAGGGTTGAAAGTGGGGCTGTCTCAGATCCTCCCACTGTGGCGTTTCCTTCAGAACCGAGTTGGGGCAGGAGGGGACGGAGGGAGAGAGGCAGGAGGCTGAAGCGCCGAACCCAACGCAAATACTAAGCATTTGATGGGGTTGTCTGTGTTCTAAGTTGGAAAATACAAACTTTTCCATGTGTACCTTAGATAACCTCACTGGCGTTTGTCATTCTGCTTTTGGAATGCTTAGGCGTGAAAGCAGCACAGCGTCACGGTGGTGATGCTTGCGTAGCAGTGTGAGAGTGCAAACCTGAAAATGGGAAAAAATGGGGCATTTTATGTTACGTACATTTTACCACAGTGAACATAAACAGTTTTGAAAAAAAAGAAAATTGCTGAAATACCATTGAGCTTATCAGAAGAGCTCAGATTTGAGTGTGGGTCTTGATGGGAAGTAGGAGAGCAGAAAGATGGGTGGGAAAGTGGGAATGACTGTGGGTGGGTAACGAGGGTCTCAGTTTTGGCTTAAGGACAGGTTTCGAAGGAGATGGGCGGCCCCTCCCTCTAACAACTTGATATGTAGTGATCAATGCTCTGTTGATGTGGGTTTGGCGCTCACAGAGAGGATAGGCAGTGTGCTGGTGGGCTGCTGGTGTCCTCACAGCCTCTGACCACCAGCCTGGACGTGGGGATACGTCTCTGCAGAACCAGGCCCTGCCAGTGACCAGCCCACCCTCCCCGGGGGCACTATAGCAACCGTGTGTTGTTGCCTGGGACTCACTTCCCTACGGGGCATTGGTTCCAGTATTGTGTCCACTCTCATGGAGTATGCTCGTGCGCAGAGATGCAGCCACCCAGATCTTCATCTTTGTAATGATGATCGGGGCTGGGAGCAGTGGCTCACACCTATAACCCCAGCACTTTGGGCGGCCGAGGTAGGAGGATTGCTTGAGCCCAGGAGTTCCTGTCCAGTCTGGGCAACATAGCAAGATGCCACCAGATGTGGTGGTGTGTGCCTATAGTCCTGGCTACTCAGGAGGCTTGAGCCTTGGAGTTTGAGGCTGCAGTGAGCTGTGGTCACACCATTGCACTCCAGCCTGGGTGACAGAGTGAGACCTTGTCTCAAAAAAAAGAGAAAAAAAAGAAAAAAAAAGACGCTGTATGTATTTTGCCCTAAACAGAGTGGACAGTGATGTGTTTATACACATGTGCATGTTCCTGGGCTCAAATCCTGGCTGTACCACACCACCCTGTGTGGCATATGGTGAGCAACCTAACCTCTCTGTGCCTCAACTTCCTTATCTATAATGTGAAAATGACAATAACAATAGGTACTTTAGAGGTTTGTTGGGGAAAATACATCCATTTATGCAGATAAAGCACTTGCAACGAAGCCAGACACATGTGTAAACATGCAATAAATAGTTATTGTTATTTCAGGCACACTGCTGCTACTCAAACATGACTTTATGGCAACAGGCAGTTGTTAGCCATCGACTCACTTTATTGACCAAACTTGGCCCCCAAATATTTGCTAACTCTGAGACCCCAGCTCGCTATCTGCAGAGCCACATGGGCGTCCCATTTGCCAGTGGCATCTGAGGACATCCTTAGAAGAACAGCTCCTAAGGGTTTCCAGGGATGGCAGCATTATCGGAATTCCTGCTGTAAACTCACGTGAACATATGCTCTTCTATTAATAGTTCATTTTTAAACAACAACAAAACAAGCCTCGGATTCTTGAAGATGCCTTGGTAAGTTGATCTTATGTCCCTGCATGATGAATTGTTCTGAATGTATTCCGTGAAGATCGATTTCCCCACAGGAAGACCCTTTATTACCTATTTGTCATTTAGATGCAATTATTTTGCTGCATTTTATAACAAAGTGGAAATAGAATTTAAACAAACATGTCGCTGAGCAGTTTAGACTCCATATCTTTATCGTTACTCTTCCCTGTTGTTTGTCTGATGCAAACATTTCTGGGCCTGGAGAGCCAGTCGGCGTTAGCGGTTATTGACTTTCATTGAATTTTACGCTGGGCACTGGGCTAGGTGCTTGGAAATGACAAAACTGGAAAATATTTCGTGGAATAAAATGCTACATAATTTGCTTGGATGGCAGGCTTCTTTGGGGCAGCTCATCCATGTCACATACACTTGCACAGTTAGTTTATTCTTTAGCGTGGGGTAAAAGAGAGGGAATCATGCAAGGTGGGACGATTTCATTTCTGCATATAAAAAAGTGCCACGGGGTCTTTGATCCACCTCCTTGTGTCTTTTTAAGATCCTGGAGGCCTAAAGGGATTTCTGTTTCTGGCAGGAATTTGGGCTTGGGTCAGAGTCCAGGGGTGAGGGTAGGCCCACCTGTCATGGCACTGGGACTGGGCTGCTGGGTGTGGGGCCCAGACCTGCGGGCTCCAGACGGAGCCTTCTCTTTGTGCAGTCCGTGCACACATGAGCAGCCCTGACTCTTAGAAACGTGGTGATGGGGAGGAGACGGTGAAAAGAGTGTTTATGATTGGAGCTCAGGACTGGAGAGGAACCGGGGCAGTGATGAGCCCAGCTATGTTCACACTCGTATCTGTCATATCACAAGTGAGCCCATAAGAGGGAGCAAAGCCTTCTCTCGCACATTCTTTCAAAATGCTTTGACCAGAAGAAGCCTTGCTGTTGGTGTAGGGATGACGGAGGAAAGGACGTGGTTCACTTACGGGCCATGAGGTGAGCCGCGGAGGCCCACTCCTAGATTTATTGACTTCACATGTGTTCCTGGAGCACTTGCTGTATACCAGACACTGTAGTAGGCACTGGGGACACAGGGCTGAGTAAGGTGGAGGCAGACCCCATGTTCATGGAATTCACACATGTCTGGGGAGACAGAATAGAGTAATCAAATGTATCCTGCCATTTCAGACAGCATTCAGGTCCCGTAGAAAATCAAGTATGGGAAGGAGATGGGCAAGAGATGGGGGGAATGGCCGTTGCTGATAGGAGGGCAAGGTGAGGCCTCGCTAAGGACAAGGGAGGGCAAGGGCACATAGAGAGCAGGGAGTGTGGGCTCAGGAAAGAGCAGCCAGGGCAGAGGACTCGGGCTGGAACAGAGTTGGTGTTTGGGGAACAGTGTGTCAGTTGTCCAGAGGCCACATGCCCAGGAGCAGACAGGCAGGTGGGCAGTCACTGTAATTTCATTCATTTCCAAAGGAAGGGAGAAGCTGGGTAAGACTGTCAGTTTTGGCTAGGAATGTTTGCTATATATTTAATACATTTATATTGTCTTTTTCTAAATCATCGCTTTGAAAAAAAAAAAAAAAACTGTCCCTTTCTCCAACACTGAGTTTCACCACAGTAGAAGGGCTTTATATTTAGGGTTACTGCACTTTATGTATTTCCTGGCTCCTTGTAAGTGCATTGCTCAGATGTGTTGGTGTGAGCGTGAGAGGAGCAGGTTGGGGGTTGGGCGGACTCTCCTGTGCGTCCCCGAGGCCCTGGGAAGGAAGTCACCCACCCCGTAGTGGAGAGGATGCCCCGTGCTCAGGTCTGGACAGCCTGGGCCTGTCTTCAGGAGAGTCTGGTGCAGGAAGCAAATGATGATGTTTTGCTTGGTCTTTGTCCCCCAGATGCAGGCTGCAGCCATTTGGGGTCAGACACGTGGAGAATGGGGTCTGCTCCCAGCCTGGGTTCACTTCTAAGCTGGACCCGCCTTGGGGACTCTGAGGCTTTTTCCTTCTGTGTGGTTTCAGCCCCCCTCTGGCAGGTGACCAGTGCCACCAGGCCCTGCTGGAAGTTATCCTCATGCTTCCCTGAGGTTTGTGGACTGACTTCCCTGCTGGAAGTTACTCTCACGCTTCCCTGAGGTTTGTGGACTGACTTCACAGTTTCCAACGGTGGTTCCTCCTTATCCGGGACGATGGCAGGATGAAACAGCGCAGAGAATCAGTGGTGGCGCTTTGCCAAATCGCTCTTTCATCTGCCATACTTTGTCTCTTCTCACCTAAAATGAGAACATCTGATGCACTTTTCATGATATTTCAGCATTAAATACCGTCTTTTAAAAAGATAGGAACCAACAACGTGCTTTTCCCTTCTTTTCCAACAGATCCTTCAGGCTGTGGGCCCCGTTCCTTTTTGTTTGTGCCCCTGGGTGAGTCCTGGTTTCTGTGCAGGTGTCAGCACAGCCCCTTGCCCTTTCTTCACAACCACAGCTGCTATTTGGTTATAGGACCCTGCTACCCTGACCCGAACTCACACTTCTCTTATAAACGTCCCATTTTCAGAAACTCACTTCTAGCGTTAATGGTTCCCCAGTAGCTCAATCTTGAATTACAGGATTGTTGTCTCCAATAACTTGAACAATTTTTATAATCTAGATTACCAAAACATGTTTTGGCACCTGCAGGGCTCTTCTTTTAATTAAAAAGAGACTTACGAAAAATTAAAGATCTCTTCGTTTTTAAGTGAAAAACATTACATCTTTTGGGATGCTGAATCTGGGTATGTTTTGTGACCAAGAGTCCTAAGAGTTCTCATTTCTAAAGTCTTTCTAACACGTTGCATTTGTTTCCGTAGCTCCTAGGTCAGTGCTGCTTCTATAGACAGCAATTAGTAAACATATGTTGAATGAATGAAATGGTATTTGTGATGATTTGGGGACTCTTCCATCATTCAAATTCCAAATTGCGAAAACCAAAGAAAGTTGAATGGATAAATGTCAACCAGGAAGGAAATCTAACAGTTTTGTCTCGAGATTTTATCAGGAACATGGGTAAAGGTGATGAAAAACATGCTTATCACATTTGCGAATGACAGGAGATTGGAAGGGGTTGCTCTCCCACTGGCCTTCACAATCAAAACTTAGAAACAACAATATTAAAACATTAAGCCAGTCTCCAAATGATATGTGGTTAAATGATAATAGCACATTCTTATGCTGAAATAGTATGTAGCTATTAAAATGATATTGAAAAACAGTATTTGCTGTCCTGGAGAAAGGCTTACGATACATTTTTAAGTGGAAAAAAGTACATCCTAAAACAACATGAAGAGGATGATTCTGTTTTTTAAAATGAAGAATAAAGACTTAATAGACGGATGCATGCCAGAATGCTAACAGGGACCACCCCTGAGTAGGAGCATGAGGCAATTTTTACTTTCTTACCCTTGTTCATTTATAAAGTTTCTTTTTTAAAGTAAGAATGGAAGTGTTTTATCAAAAATGAGTTAATAATAACTGTTCTTTTGTGGTGAATAAAATAAAACATGGGGACTGGAGTCTCTCTTCTGTGGTGAAAAATATATCGGCCTGGTGCAGTGTCATAGACTGACACTAGGACCCATGATCACTTCATGGCGTTATTATCAGGAAAGAGTCCATCTGAGAACAGATAGCAAAACTCTCTTTGCTTTCAGAATAAATGGCAGTGAGTGTATGTTGGCAGTTCCTGCATTGTGAAACCCACAACGCTGTGTGACCTTGGGTGAGTTACTTCACCTCTCTTGGCCTCAGTTTCTCTGTGAAATCAGGAATTAACATGGTCTCTGAGACCCCCTTCTGATGGTGAATGTGTGGTTTGGTGATTTTGTGGCCCTGCATCATGACCTTATTTAGTTCTCTTTCAACAGGGGATGTTTTACTGCCTTGTAAAATCCTCGTGGGACTGCGTGTCTTTATAGGAGCCAGGGTGTAAATGAACAGAATTCAGATTGGTTCTAATATATTTTACCTCTAAAAGAAAGGGCATGGGGAGGCCATGACCTTAAAGCAGGTTTTTTCTGTTGTCTGTGAAGCCTGTGATGATTGAGAGTGGCTGGGACTGGCGGGACGATGTTTGGGTGGAAGAGGGAGGCCATCTGGATGCGCCCTGTCCCGGGGAGGCACCCAGCCTGTAAGGAGGTGATGTCTATCTACACTGAGCGCAAGGACCCTGAACCGGGGGAGGCTGAGGCGGGGCCTCTTGATTCCCACCCTGTCCCCCAGTGGCTAGGCTAGTGTGGCCCGGGAAATGACTTCCATCTCTCCCTCCAGGCATATTTAATAAGAGGCCAGTATTTTCAGATTCTGCCGCTTCTGGACGAATGTCTCAGAGAGCTGGGAGGCGCCCTGGAGGATGGAACCCTTCCTTGAGCGTTGTTGAGGTGTGTCGGGGGTGCCGTGGCACAGGCCCCTTCCCCTGGGGGGCATCACTGTTCCCTTGCTCTGCATCCCCGCTGTTTCCCCTGCCCCTGAACAGGCGTGGAGATGTGCACGGGACACTCGGAGGCCGGATGCTCAACAGAGTGGAGTGCCGCGACGGTGTGGCCGCAGCCTGGCTGTGCCTTCACGACGCAGCTGCAATCAGAGGAGCTGTGGGACGCTGTCCCACGTGGACACAGCCCACTCACTGGGTGCTGCTCCTGTGCTGGGCGCTGCACTTTTATTGTCGTTAAAAATTTATATTAAGATGCGGCCGGGCATGGTGGCTCATGCTTGTAATCCCAGCACCTTGGGAGGCCGAGACGGGCGGATCACGAGGTCAGGAGATCGAGACCATCCTGGCTTACATGGTGAAACCCCGTCTCTACTAAAAATACAAAAAAATTAGCCGGGTGTAGTGGTGAGTGCCTGTAGTCCCAGCTACTCGGGAGGCTGAGGCAGGAGAATGGCGTGAACCCGGGAGGCGGAGCTTGCAGTGAGCCGAGATCGTGCCACTGCTCTCCAGCCTGGGCGACTGAGCGAAACTCCGTCTCAAAAAAAAAAAAAAATTATATTAAGATGCTTAAAAAGTAACTGTACAAATTCAGGCCCTGTTTTAATATGCGTTTCAGCTGTCGGTGGTGTTTCAGAAATGCATGCAAAAGAATTGAAATCGCAAATCTCTGTAGGTCGTATGAAGAAGGAAAGAAAAAAGCAGTGTGAGCGAAACCCAATGAAGAGGTCGTAAAAGTAGGTGTGACCTCTGTGAACCCTGAAGCAGTGGGAACCCCTGGGAAGGTCACGGATCCCCTAAGGGAAGCTGCACGTTTGCTATTTTGATAAACAGAAGGTAGTAATGATGAACAAATACAAAATTATTATTATAATATTATGTATAATATTAATATTATTAGTTAGCATTTAATTATATACCATGGGTCAGGTGCTGTGCTGAGTACTTCATATATAGCATCTCTTTAGTCTCCACAGTGACTTCAAGAAGTAGGTATTGAACCTGTTTTATACCCAAAAGACTGAGGCTTAGAGAGACAATACATCTTGTTGGTGGCAGAGTTGGACTTTCTACCCAGGTTATCTGACACTGAACCCAGGCCCTTAACCTAGTATGTGTGATCTTAAAATGGAGAATGTAAACTACAAGTTCGTTGCCACCATTTTTTTATTTTGTTTTGTTTTGAGGCGGGGTCTCACTCTGTCATCCATTTTGGAGAGCAGTGATGCAATCATAGCTCACTGCGGCCTTGACCTTCTGAGCTCAGGCCATCCTCCTGTCCTCCTGCTTCAGCCTCCCGAGTTGCTGGGACCACAGGCACAAGCCACCATGCCTGGCTAATTAAATTTTTTTTTTTTTTTTTTGGAGAGACAGTCTCGCTGTATTGCCCAAGTTGTTCTTGAACTCCTAGCCTTAAGCAGTCCACCCGCCTCAGCCTCCTAAAGTGCTGAGATTACTGCAGGCATGAGCCACCGTGCCGAGCCCCTATGCGAGCGTTTTCACCATTGGAATTGGAAGCGCTTCACTGTGGACTGTTGAGCTCTGGCGTGCAGGGCCCTGTCCTGCTCTGAGCTGAGGGTGTCTGAGTGCCACAGAGGTGTGGGTGAGCACCCAGGCTCCTGGGCCCGCTCCTGTCGCAGCTCACTTTCTGTCCTCTAGAGCAGGCAGCTTATCTTGCTGTGAGAGACAATTCCTTCCTAAGTCCGTTTCTTTAAACTCAGTAAAGGTTCCACGGTGATTCTTCCTGTGCAACTTTGAAAACAGCGATATCACATTTCTTGATGGCCGAGAATGTTGCCTCTACTTTTGCAGCATATTTTACTCTGTCATCTAACAGTGCTGGGCACCCATGCTGGCAGCCCCAGTGCTAGGGGACCCACGCCCATGCTCTTGTGTTATGCCTGGGCCCCCTGGGGAGCACTGTCCTGGATTCCTGCCTACTGGTCCTCTCGGCTGATGACGGATGGTGAAATTGCAGCCCCCAAGTGACCTTGGTGCCTTCTAGCTGAGAGAGTCACGGATCTCAGTTGGGAACACATGGTGCCAAGGTGCCATGGGCTGGTTTCTGCAAGTTGTTTGCAAGTCCTAGAAATGACAGTGACCTGTAAGCAAGAAGCTTGGGACCTCTATATGTCAGGAAGTGACATGTGCAGTGCTCCCTGGGCATTTTCTTTGTTCCAGAGAAGCTGGAACACCTGGCATCATGCAGAACACCAACACGAGGATATAGTCAGGAGGACCTCATTCTCTGCCCCGTCGATGCCGTGGTGCGCATGATTATTATTTTGTTTACTGGGGAAGAGGCTTCCCCTTTGTGCTGGGCCTGCCTGCTCTGGAATTCTCAGAGGAGCCTCATCATTCTGACTATCTCTGAGCGGGAGCTACAGTGGGAGTGGGCAGGCTCCTGGGACCTGGACAGGGTGGGAGGCTGTTTCCCACGGTGCAGGCTGGGGCCGACTCCTACTAGGCCTGGTTGCACTTGCTCTCACTTGCCATGGGTTTTTAGCACAGTGGTCCCCTCATGCACCTGCTGAGGGGCCTCTGCACACTCACGGGAGGAAGCCTGTCCTCCAGGGCTGCCTGTCCCTGAGTAGAAATGCAACTGTCAGGGTGCTTAGGATGGTGTGGTGTGGCGGGTGAAGGTGGACTTGAGTCCATAACCTTTGTAGAGCAGACACTGACTCAGCAATAAAATGAGGTGACTGTTTATTAATGGCAATTTAAGTCCAGGACTGTCGGCCTCTGCCCTTTCATATGTGCGATAAACTTAGCACGGCGTGGCGGGCTGCAGGACGGAATAGTAAACAAAGTGCGTGGCGGTATGCATTTTAAGCTTTTCTTTTGATGGGTTCTCTGTGTACTGTGTGTAGGATGCCCCGGGATATCAGCTTTCCCTACCCTTGCTGTAAACTTGTGCATGAGTGTGCGACACTGCTGGATGTCACCTGCGCGACTCTGGTGCACCCCTCATAGAGGCTGCTCTGAATGTGGCTCCAGAGCTTCTCTCATCTCATTTATTATTAGAGACATAAAAGTAATTTAGCTGATAGGAAAATGTAATTTTTTCTTCATCATAGCATTAGATTAATTGACGGTGATGTGATTATCCCGAGTAAATCTACCCAGTGTTATAGAATGCCCACAGTGCTTAGGCGCTATGTTAGCACCGCAGTTGGAGGCAAAGATGAACAAGACAATGCATTGTGCCTCAAGTCACTTACATATGTTAACTGACTTTTCTAATTTGTACCAAGGTCTATGACCATACCACCCTGAACACACCTGATCTCTTCTAATTTGTACCAAGGTTACCTGAGGGTACTAACACCGGTAGGAGCTGTATGAGTGCATCTTGTCCAGGGTTTCACCCCCTTGGGAGCAGATGGCCATTCGGAGCTCAGAGAATCTTTGCCTGGCCAAATGGTGGGCGTGGACCTGGCCAGCTTCTGAGAAAGGGAGCCAGGAGCTGATAGGGCAGTGGAACCACCTGTCTGCCTTGGAGATATTTTCTTCACAGCCCTCACCATTGCTTTTAATGACATATTTGTGTGTTTCTTATACTAGGGTCTGTCCCACCACGTTCCTGAGGGTAGGACCTAGGTCCCTTTGTATTAATTGTTCTAAGAACTCCATGTTTAAGAAACCATAATTAGTCAGTTTGACAAACGGCACCCCCCTGCCCATTTCCACATCTTCAAAACTGGAATTTGGTTTATAATTGATCAGGTCTTACAACTACAATTGTTTGTATTTTCTTTTTCTTTCTTGTTGGCACACAAAATATAGTGTGTTACAATTACTGTCACCTTATATTCAATTATATATGAAATATGAAGTCCAGGCACAATGGCTCATGCCTGTAATCTCAGTACTTTGGGAGGCCGAGATGAGAGGATCACTTGAGGCTGGGAGTTCGAGACCAGCTTGGGCAACATGGCGAAACCCCGTCTCTACAAAAAATACACAATTTAGCCAGGTGTGGTGGTGCAGGCCTGTAGTCCCAGCTACTTGGGAAGCTGAGGTGGGAGGATCACTTGTGACTTCAAGTTTGAGGCTGCAGTGACCCATGATCATGCCACTGCACTCCAGTCTGGCTGACAGAGTGAGACCCTGTCTCAAAAAAAAAAAAAAAAAAAGGTGAGAGAGATAGAGTAGTAGGGTGTGAGCCGTAGAAAACCAGTCAATAGAAGGCACACAGCTTTTTTTTTAAATTTTTTTTATTTTTATTTTTTTGGCGATGAAGTTTTGTTCTGTCACCCAGGCTAGAGTGCAGTGGCGTGATATTGGCTCACTGCAACCTCTGCCTCCTGGGTTCAAGCAATTCTCCTGCCTCAGCCTCCCGAGTAGCTGGGATTACAGGCACCCGCCACCACACCTGGCTAATTTTTGTTATTTTAGTAGAGATGGGGTTTCACCATCTTGGCCAGGCTGATCTTGAACTCCTGACCTCGTGATCCACCCACCTCAGCCTCCCAAAGTGCTGGGATTACAGGCAGGCACACAGCTTATTAATCGAGCTTCCTTTTGGCTTGGAAGTTAGGATGCCTTTTCTTCTTCTCTCCCGTAGCTCCTTTTTTTTCTTTCTCTTTCTCGTCTTTTTCTTCCTTCTTTTTTTGCTTTTAGAAAGTTTGTTGGGTTTTGTAAATCCCATACAGTGAATATGGGTTACTTTTTAAGCAATGGAAATAAGTTTACTGAAGTGATGATGATTACATCATTTGGCTTTGTGTGCACAGGGTGAAGGTCTCTAAGAACATCTTACTGAGACTTCAGAGGAGCTGTGTGATCCTGCCTTTGTGTCACAGCCCACCCCTGACCCCCAAATAGGCCTGCCCATGAAGAGCTGGGTTCTGCCTGTTTTCCACATTACCTCCGTGACATGGTATAATCACACTGTTTATTGTTTTTTGTTTGTTTGTTTGTTTTTTCACTAGGGAAGTAACTGGCTAGTTTCATAATACAGATGAGACCAGGCCTCATGGCAGTGAGTGAGTGATTGAGGAGGGCCTGGAAGGGGTGGGTAGGCTGCTGCCTCCCCTCCCAGGGAAGGGGGAGATGTGTGGGGGCCCCCTTGGGGATCCTGTGTAAAATGCTTAATTGCCCTCTAGGGATCTGTCCTTAACTATAGATGATTCCTCACCATATTGTTTGTGGTTACCCTGCCTATAGATTATTAAATAACCTTGTCTCTTATTTATTGCCATTAGACACAGGAAGACTTTAAGCTACTGATAGATAGGTCAGACTATTAACCTATTGTATCTTATGTGCAATTTACATTCTTAAACATTTCTATCTTCAACCTGTATCTTATTTAGTTTCTAGAACATATGCCAATTTTGTATTATATCTGACAGCATGAACATTCTCTAAACTAATTCTTAATGGACTGTTTCATTCTTAGATTAGGGACAGCTTGGGCCATTCGCAAGCTGGAGGAGAAGAGTTTCAGATGAATTCCAGTTAGTACATGTAGAAGAATTGAGGAAAATAGAAAATCACCATCAGAACATCATAATAATGATGCTGTAGGTGAGACCTGATACTGGGTGCTGAAATTAGTCAATGAGAAAGGAGAAACAAGATATTTGAATAGTCTCAAAGTGTCTTTCCAAGTATAAATGTTTATTAATTATGAAAAGAAAATAGTAGGTTTAGAGTGAAGGAAACTGGCAAACACTGAGTGCTCAAGGTCAACATCAGCAACAATAAACATACCCACACGTGGTACCCCAGGGCACGACGCACTGAGTGGGCACACTGCCTCTGTGGTGTTCTTCCCAGTAATGCAGAATCTTATTCTAATCGTGATAAGACACCGCACAGACCCAAATCGAAGGACGTTCTGCAAAACACTGGACCAGCAGTTTTCAAAAGTGTCAAGGCTCTGAAAGGCAAGGAGGGACTTCCGACCTGACATGGCATGGGGGGCGCTAAGGAGACGGGACAAACACACCACAGGCTCCTAGATGGGATCCTGATGGGGGGCGCTAAGGAGACGGGACAAACACACCACAGGCTCCTAGATGGGATCCTGGGATAGAAGAGGGACATTATTCAGAAAAACTGGTGAAATTCAAATAATAATAGGAGTATGCCAATTTAATTTCTTAGTTTTGATGATTGCACTGCAGCTGTCAGATGTAAACACTGGAGAAGGTGGGTTAAGGAGAGTAGACAGGAACTCTAGTGATTTTACAACTCTTCCTCACATTTAAAATTATCTCAAAGTAAGAAGTTTACAGAAACCTTTATGGGTATGTATACCCTTTTAATTGACATTCAGTTTTGCTATTGTTTACACAGTGAGGCTTAATCTGCATTAATGGATGGAAACATAGCATATAAGGAGTCCAGGATGACAGATAATGGCCTACACTGGACTTTGAAATATGTTGTGTATACATTTCTCCTCCTTCCTCAGATTTGCCTTGTGATTAGGCTAACAATCTAAGAGATAAGGCCAATCAGGTTAGATGCTGGCAGGAAATTCATAAAACTGATTATTTCTTGGGAAACTGAAAGCTCTGTTTGTAAAAGGCTAGCTTGATTTCAGTGGATGGCTTTTTGTTAGTGGGAAGTGGAGATTCAGGGCAAAATGCAGGAATGGGTTTTTAGGGTACAGTGGCTGCCCCTCCAGTTGAAGGTCCATGGGGTGCATTCTCATGGCCACCAGAGAAGATGGCAGTTAGTTATTATAAGTATCAATACGGGCCAGGTGCGGTGGCTTACGCCTATAATCCCAGCACTTTGGGAGACTGAGGCGGGTGGATTGCTTGCATCCAGGAGTTTAAGACCAGCCTGGGCAACATAGCAAAATCCCGTCTCTACTAAAAATACAAACATTTAGCTGGGTGTTGTGGCATGCACCTGTATTCCCAGCTACTTGGGAAGCTGAGGTAGGAGGATCACCTGAGTCTGGGAGGTGAAGTTTGAAGTGAGCTGAGATTGTGCCACTGCACTTCAACCTGGGTGACAGAACCAGACCCTGTCTCAAAAAAAAAAAAAAGAAAGAAAAAAAAGTGCCTCTATAGAGTCCTAAGAGCAAAATCATCTTTTGTTAGTATGCTTATCTCATAGTTTTGCCGTAAGTGCTTAACAAATGCTTGAACAAAGCATTTGCTATTAGACTAATATGTTACTACTTCCAAGTATTTTACTTGGATACTGATATGGTTTGGCTGTGTCCTTACCCAAATCTCATCTTGAATTGTAGTTTCCATAATTCCCACCTGTCGTGAGAGGGACCCAGTTGGAGGTAATTGAATCACAGGGATGAGTCTTTCCTATGCTGTTCTCATGATAGTGAATAAGTCTCATGTGATCTGATGGTTTTATAAAGGGCAGTTCCCCTGCACACGCTCTCTTGCCTGCTACCAGGTAAGACGTGACTTTGCTCCTCATTTGCCTTCAGCCATGATTGTGAGGCCTCCCCAGCCATGTGGAACTGTGAGTCCATTAAACCTCTTTCCTTTATAAATTATCCAGTCCCTGTTATGTCTTTATTAGCAGTGTGAGAACAGAATAATACAGATACTTTTGTTGAAATTGCCATCATGAGACCCAACCCAGTAGTCTGCACCCAAGTTCTTTTTTGTTTCTTTGAGACAGAGTCTTACTCTGTTTTCCAGGCTGGAGTGCAGTGGGGCAATCATGGCTCACTGTAGCCTTGACCTCCTGGGCTCAAGCAGTCCTCCCACCCCAGCCTCTTGAGTAGCTGATTACAGGTGCACATCACCAATGCCCAGCTAATTAAAAAAATTGTTTGGTAGAGATAGGGTCTCACTATGTTGCCCAGGCTGGTCTCAAACTCCTGGACTCAAGTGATCCTCCCACCTCAGCCTCCCAAGTGTTGAGATTACAGGGATGAGCCATCACGCCTGGCCTGCACTGAGTTCTGAAGTTAGTATTTGCTCAGGGCAATTCCCTAACTCTTTGACAGTAGTCAGATCAGTGGCATGACTTTGCCTCAGTTACTGCATTGTCTGCTACTTCCTCATATGTAATCTCTGGCCCCATCACACTGCCTACTATTCCTAGAGCATGACATGTCCTTTACACCCAGCCTCTGTTCTTTCCAGCTCTTAAAGTATCCTTATCTTTCTTTTCTCTCTGAAAAATTTCTGCTCATTTTCAGCACTCAGGTCAGCTAATATCTCCCTTATAAAGAAGTATTATCATAAGGTTCCATATTTCTCTATTATAACATTTACCATGGTGTTTCTATTTGAATGAATGAGATTCATTCACTTCTCTCTCATCCATTCATATGATATTGATCAAGTGCCTATTATGGACTAGGTACATGAGGAACTAGAGAGACAGCAGTGAAGGTTCAGACAGGGTCCCCGACTTTATGGGCCTCCACTCCAGCAGGGCAGGTGGACTGAACTAGCTATATAATTACGGTGGTGAGAAAAGGATTTGTTTACCTGTTAGCATTTCTAGATTATGAGCTCTTGGAGGGCATGGATTTTTGTCTTCCTTGTTTTTGAAGCCCCAGTGTCTTAGAATAGCACCCGGCAGCCAGTAGGCGCTCCGTAAGTGAACGAATGAACTGAGCACTTAATGTACCAATTTGTACATGATCTTATGGACGATCACTTTGCTCCCAGCAGCTTCTCAAATTTTTATTGATCTATGAACCGAGCTGAGAAGTTCATAGTTGAAGACTGTCCTGAGCTTCCTGGATGCGCTGCTTCCTTCTCCTGGTACGTAGTAAGGGCAGCGTGTGTGACCTGACAGGATCACAGCAAGGCTGTGCATCAGTCAGGATTCTTCTTGCAGGCAACAGCCACCACCAGCAGGAAGGGCTCCTCTTGAGCCTTGCTGTCTTCTCATGTTTCCAGTGCCACGTCAAGCCCAGGATGGTGCTTTGAGTGGAGCTTGGGTCGCATGACTGTGCTTGGCTGTAAGGAAGGTTGGAATCCAGTGCTGTGCTTGTATCTGCGTTTTCTGTTGCAAAGGCACTCCCTTTCCCACAGACCTATCAAGTGGGGAGGGAAGGAGGTTTCAGTGCTTGGCAAGAAATATCACTGTACGTGTTCACTACTCACTGACATGTAATTGGTCAACTGTTCGTAAATTCCGGCTATTTTGTGTTTAAGCTGATAGAGAATTCTGACAAAGTAAATGTGAGCTTCTGCGGAAGTTTCTATCACAGTATTTTTAAACATGCATCAATATCTTTGTAAATTGAATTGCTCCGTTTAACCTCATCTCATAGTGTGATCAATCGAGGCCTCAGGTCTCTGACCAGGCACTTGCAGTAATTTTTCAAGAACACTGTATTTGACAGAAACAGCCTGGTAGAATGTGATTTGGGAAAAGGGATAATGTCTTCAATTGAGTACGGAAATTATGTCTTTAAACGTCTGGGAATTCTATTCAATCATTCAGTCAACTGTCAACATTTACTGGATGTCCAGTGTTTGCAGTGACCTAACGATTGCTGTGTAGTGATTTGCATTCTTTAGTAAGTTTTTCCAAGAAGTTTTATATCTTCTTTCTAGGAGAGAGTATGGTTGGGCTGGGCGGGGTGGCACACGCCTGTAATCTCAGCGACTGTGGGAAGCTGAGGCAGAGGAGTGCTTGAGCCCAGGAGTAGGAGTGCAGCCCATGCAACATAGAGAAACTCCAGAAATTAAAAAAAAAAAATTTTTTTTTAAATCACTGGGAAAAGAAATAATTATAAGAGAGTACCTGCGTTTCTACCCATACCCGAGGTTTTCTTGTTTGTGATCATTAAATAAGTGGATGGTGTTGCTCTGGTGGTGTGCTGGACATATTTTCTCAAACCAGAGGTGCACTATAGTCCACCATGCTTTGTTCCAAAATTTGTAGTGGAGGTCTACCTCATGCCTCGTTTTGTGCCAGGCACAAATGAAATCCAGAGATGAACATCTTGGGGTGCCTGCCTTAGCAGGCAAGACTCTTGGTTGAAGGGACAGCAGGTGGGCCTTGGGGCCAGGCATCCTTGGGAGATGCCTCCATCCCCACCATTGCTTGGCTTTGTTGCTTTGGGCAAGTCACATGACCTCTTGGAGCCCGTTTCATCCTTGTAGGATGGGGTTACTGATACCCACCTCATTGCACTAAGTGGGCCAGTGAATGTACAGTTCAGTACCTTCCTCATGCAGTTGGCATCTCTATTGTCACTGTCACTTAGAGGCCAGAGGACAGGCAGGACCCAGACACTGGAGTGCATTTGATGCCAGGCTGTGGAATTTGAATTTTACAAAGAGGAGTCATGTTTCCATTTACTAATTACACGATTAACTGGAGAATATGCTAAAGTCCCCCATTGTCACAAATTACAGTTTCTTTCTTACTTTTGCATTTCTGTGTTTGCTGCAGCCCAGCAGGAGGTCCATTAAACCAAAAGGACTCATTATCTCCTCAGGACAGGGATGGTGAGGGAGGAGGCTGGCTTGCAGACACCTGCCCTTGCTGTCCTCAGCAGGAAAGGGTGGGGAGCTCGAGAAGGAGAAGCCCACACGCCCTTCTGTCCTTGGACTGTGTAGACCTTCTTAGGGTGGCTTCATTATTTGCCAGGCAGTAAACTCCCTGATTATCAGACACATCTGTATGCCAAGCGAAGTATTAAAACAGACTCTTTGCAAAGCCTATGGAAGTGTTTTTTGGGCAACCACTCTTGGTACTGTTTTCATGCATGACCTTGGATAATTGACATTTGTCTGTGGTTCAAACTGGAGATGTCCAGTGCTTACAGATACCTAAAGATTGCTGTGTAGTAATTTGCATTCTTTAGTAAGTTTTTCCAAGAAGTTTTATATCTTCTTTCTGTGAGAGTACAGCTGGGCTGGGCAGTGTGGTCCATGCCTGTAATCTCAGCTACTCTGGGAGGCTGGTTGTGGGGGCATCTGTTGCCTGGAGGTCTCTGGAATAATACAACACAGGGCCCTGAGCCCCAGAAATGCTGGCTTATTCCTCTTGAGTTTCCTCCTCAGTTAAGGGATTATTCAGGTTTCCAAAACACACAGTCTCTTATGACCTGAGAAAGGTCTCTCATTTGCATTTGCTCATTACGGTGGGTAATAGACTGGAAGTATGACCTTTCTCCAGTTAACGACCCTTCCCCACAGACGAGGCTTGCGTGCCTGTGTCTATAGCACATAGTGCGCCTGAGCTGATGATGTGGCTCTTCTGAACAGCTGCGGTGGCAGCCCTGAGGCCAAGGCCCCGGCTACTCTAGGGTGGGTGTGGGGTGGGAGGTGTGCTTTCCCACCAAAGGAAGTCTGGTTGTATAGGCAGACTTGTCTCCCCGGTGGTTAGGGCTGTCTGAGGAGCTGCTCTTGTTTCCAAGAGTTTCAGGTACGTAGTGTACTGAGGGGAGCCCCCAGGATTAATACACAAAGTGGATGACACCTCCAGGTTACTAGAGAGGCAAACCTCACCCCCCCAGGACGGTCCCTTGCAAACCCTTGCAGTCCGCCATATCCATCTTTCCCACTGGATTCCAGTTCTCCAAGGAAAAGCCAGGGCCTGGAGCCAGGGCCACGCTGCCCGGTGTCCCAGCCCAGCAGGCATCAGGGTGGGTGGGGAGCCTGGGCTGCCCGGAGGGGTGCTCCCTCTATGCCCTTGTACCCCACGTGGCTCCTTCTTTGAAGCTGTGTCTCAGTCCCAGGGGAGAGCCTTCCAGGATGGAGGTTGAGAGGAGGGGAACGTGCATGGCTCTGTCTTCATCTCTGCGGTGACTTGCGTCGTAGGAGAGCTTTGGTGTGGGCTGTGCTGGCCAGTCATCACAGTGCCCTGCAGGGCGCAGGGCTGAGGGCAGGCTGACCAGACCTTCCATGAAGAGATCGGGCTGGCGGGGACACTGGAGTCCTCACTCTGCTGAGTCCAGCTCTGCCACACGTGGGCTATTCTGAGCTATGGCGAGTCATCATCCTCAGTTTCCCTTTGGCGAAGTGGGCCCAGTGATGCCCAGGAGCACCTTTTGAGGGTTGAGTGTGCAGCTTTAAATGCGAATGCCCACGATTCTGTGTTCTCCAGCCAAGTGTGGGGTACCCAGACCTCTTCCAGTTCTTGCCCTTCTTTTAAGTGGTTTGCATGAGATCCTCCAAGCACTGTCACTTTTTGAAACCCTGGCTTTTGTTTCCAGTTTCCTTTTCCAACAATAACAGGAACTTTGTGTTTAGTGGTTGGTGGTTCCACCTTCACTTAATGGGTTCGTCATCTCTCTGGGCATGTGAGCAGGGCTCGGGATCACGTCTCTGCTATAGAGACACACGGTGAAAACAGGCTTCAGCAGAGAACCACCGTTTGAATTATATGATGGCTTAAAGAAAGCTCTGTGTCTACTTCTGACATCTGTGTTTCTTGGTATGATGCTGGCACCTTAAAACATTTTTGCCCGTGTCTAGTAATATAGGAATTCATTCACTCATTTATTTATTCAACAAAATTTTCTTTGCTATTTGCAAAAATGTTATTTGCTATAGCAAATAAAAGCTATGCTCTATGCAATGGAAGAACACAGGTATGAACTATACAAGATTAATTCCTTTACAAAACTCTTAATAAAGGGAAAAACACTTATGAAAATAGAAGGTATCATTAATAATTATAGCATACACTTACATAATACTCTCTGTGCCACACTATTCTTGGTGCTTTCTATTTATATTATTTCAATTAATCCTCATAGCAACGTGTGAGGTAGGTACTATTTCTGTCTCCTTTTTATAGCTAAGGGAACTGAACCACAGACAGGTTAAGTGGCTTGCGCAAGATTGCACAGCCAGTAAGTAGTAGAGCCAGCTTCGAAATCCAGGCACTCTTGCAGCAGTATCCACTCTTAATCACCTGTGCTACACTGCCTTGGAAAGCAGTTGTTACATTAGAAAAGTGAAGGCAGATAATCCTGTGGGGAATGGCTTGTAGCTTGAGAGGTTCCAGAGTTCACATCTCACTGTAGTAGGGATACACCCAGCCAAAGTCTGAAAGTTAGAAAAATTATTTTAAGAAGTATGTTTGCATAAGTTGATTCCTTCTCTTTCAGGTTTATCTGCCATAATTCATAAGGCTCATACAAAAATTCAATGCGAAAGTTAGGTCTTAAGGAAAACCACGTGATTTGTTTCACTTTGGTGCGGTGGTCTAAACCTCTCTATTTATTTGCCAGTAGAACAATGCTTTATTAGTTTGCTGTTTTTCTTTTTTTTTTTTTTTGAGACAGAGTCTCACTCTGTCACCCAGGCTGGAGTGCAGTGGCGCGATCTCGGCTCACTGCAAGCTCTGCCTCCCGGGTTCACGCCATTCTCCTGCCTCAGCCTTCCAAGTAGCTGGGACTACAGGCGCCCGCCACCACACCTGGCTAATTTTTTTGTATTTTTTAGTAGAGACGGGGTTTCACCGTGTTAGCCAGGATGGTCTCGATCTCCTGACCTAGTGATCCGCCCATCTCGGCCTCCCAAAGTGCTGGGATTACAGGCGTGAGCCACCACGCCCAGCCAGTTTGCTGTTTTTCAAACTACATAATCATGCTCCCTTACAGTGGCCTGGAGATGTCAGTATTCCTTTTTGCTCAATCAGTTTATTGTAGGTAAATGTGTGTGTGTGTTGTGTGTGTGTGTGGTTTGTGTGTGTGTGTTTCTTTTTATCTACCTTCTTTGCTATATACATTTTGCCATATGAAAACCCTGGTAACCACTGGGCACAGGTTTCTATTGGTAGACACCACTTATCCACGGAGGAAGTGAGGACCCGGAGGTGGGAGGCTTCCCCAGCAACATGGCTCACATCTCGTTTAAGGTGCTGACAGTGCTGGAGGCTGGGCTGTTTAAGGTGCTCAGCAGCACTGCACCCGCACTGAGCCCTGGAGCTCCCGCTCCCCACCCGCCCTCTGAGGCCCTCCCAGGCTGGCTCCTTTCTCCCTCTGTAGCTTCCTCCTCAATTAGGCTCTCTTCCAACTCCCAACTCAACCCTGGTTGTGCCAGAAGTGAACTCCTCTGTACCCCCTCCACCTGGGCAGGGCTCTACACTGCCACCCCTTCTGGTCACCTGCCTTCAGGGCCTGGCTGGGCGCCATCCTTATAGGGAGCCTCTCATGGTTCCAGGGACCCAAAGTCCTTTGATCTGCCTCGCCCCTGAGACTTGCAAGTTCATACCATGGGGTCTGGCCTGAGGCAAGCCTCTTCCGGGTCGTTCTTCCTGCCTGATGGACCCTTAAAGCTGCATCTCCTGTTGCTGCCCTGAAGACTCTGGTTGTGTTTTCTGTGTCTCCGGCCTCGCTGCTGTTGGCTTCTGGGTCTTTATTCCATTGCAGGCCCTGTTGCTGTAGACAGCCCTTGGGTTTTATGTGTTCAACTTTCGACCAACCTGCACTTTGGCACATTGCATGTTGTGACACATAAACCATTTTTGGTGTGCTAAGTTCAAAGTTTTGAACAACAGCTGATGAACAAATATTTTGAGCTATGATTTGCTGGCACTGCTTGCAAGTTTGGTTTCTGAAGCATTTATTTATTCAGTCTACATTCATTCCAAAATATTTGCAAGTGCCTATGGAGATCCAAGCATTGCTCCAGAGAATAGAAGCTAAGCCGCCACACCTGGTTCCCACCCTTGGGAAGCTTTCAGCCCAGCCTCACCTCCTTTAAAATCTTTGTGCATTAGGGACTGAAAACCAGGAAATAGAGATTTTATATAAATGAATACATAGATGATTGAATTTAGTGGTGGCTTGATTCTAGGACACAGAATACTTCATGTACTTTTATCACCAATGATGAAAACTTGCGGTGAGTGCTTCAATTGGAATGTATTTGCTTGGCTTTACAAATGACCTTAGGGCTATATTTATAGAATCATTAAGGGTCTGAAGGAGTTCCTTAAATTTTTAGTTATACTTTGCTGCATTTTATTGGGAACATTATTTGCTATAATGGCATCTATGCAGTTGGGGATCCACATAGGTTTTGGGACAAGGACATCTGTACGTAGACATCTACAACCCAGAGGTATGCTCGTTAATGTTAATTTTTGTGTCATTTTACAACATATTGTGCCATATAAATGATCATCCAAAAAAGGAAGCAATAAATTTGGAAGTCATCAAGCCATAGTTTTGGATCATGATTAGGTCCAAACTTTTGCAGACCTGATACCTATCTTGGAGATTTTTATTTTTTTTATTTTTTAGAGACAATCTTGCTCCTTTGCCCAGGCTACAGGAGGCTGGGGTGCAGTGGTACAATCATAGCTCACCACAACCTATCTGAGAGTCTTTTAAGTTCTTTACGTGAATGATTTAATTTTATTGTTAAAATATCCACACAAATAGAGACTGTTAATATCTGCCGTTTATAGGTATCCAAACTGTGACCCAGAAAGGTTAAGTCACTTTCCCAAGATCACACAGGTAATAAGTAGTTGCACCAGGATTCAAACCCGGCAGTCTTATTCTAGTGCCACCATGTTATAGCCTCTCCCTTCTTTGCACCTGAAATTTCTCAGCTCTAAAATAAGGGAATTGGTTTATATAACCTTTAGGGTCTCTTCCAGCCTAACATTATGTGGTCTCTGACGTATTAGCTGGTAGAAGACTGGATGTACCCTCACGTGCACATGTTCACACACACCTCCACAGACACAGACGTGAGCCTGGTGGACCTCCCGGAAGGCGTGCAGCAGGAATAAATCATGCCAAGAGCTATGGGTGAGGAGAGGACCTCGGCACCATTCTGCAGGCACTTTCAGGGGAGCAACACCTGTGTCTTGTTAACTGGCTACTACATTTTGTGATTTATAATGGAAAAAAGTGACACCTACAATACTGAGAACCTTTTTAAAAGGGGGGTTCTCAGGACACAGCCTAGCAGAGCACAGAATGTCTTCACATCTCCATTTTTCACAAAAATAAAGCACACGGGCCTTAATTGAAGATGAGCTTCATGAAAGCATATCTGAGGTTGGTGGCAGATTGTGGAAAACTGACAAAGCATTGCTTTCTTTATTATAAACAAATAATCAACAAATACAAATAGTGGATTATGAATTAGAAATTGCTTGTGTTAGATTGTCCAGAATATCAAACACTACATTGATGCTGTTGCTCCTGAAACATCACTCTTAAGATAAGCAACAAGGGTGAGATTATAAGGAGGAAATTACATAATCATAGAAAATAAAATAACATCGCCACCAATAAAAGATGCCAGCACTAAATAACAGCCCCTGTCTAGCCCTGTCTCTGCCAAGCCCCACTCTGAGCGTTCTGTGGGCATTATCTCCCTGCATGGCCTCTGGAAGGAATCTTACTGCCATTTTAAGCATAAGGAAAACACAGCTTAAATATGTGGCCCAGTCTAGCATTTATTTTGTAGTGGAATCAGGGTTTAAACTGGAGACCCTCAGTACTGAACCCTACTGTTTATCCTGCTGGAAGAAGTTCACGGTGAAACTTTACTCAGGCTTTGGGGCCCAAGTGCAGACCTTCCATGCATGGGCAGAGAACAAAGTGGTCCCTGGTCAGCCCTGAATCCCTGCTTCCTGGGCTTCACAGAGGGTAACAAATGACCACAGAATACTCACTTCAGAACGGTCGCGACACTGCAGAAGACTTTAGTCCCATTCACTGGTGCTGGAAGGCACCTCAGGACTCAGCATCTCAGTGCACAGGGAGCCTAGGGTAGCTTGGGGTGACTTAGTTCAGCAAGGTGCCCTCATGCAAGAAGCCGCCCAGCTGTGGTAATGGGATGGGGAAGCCTCTAAGTCTCCTTTTTGTACAGAGAAAGGCACGCCAGGGACGCTGAGCAAAATAGTCACGGCTCCTTAAAAGCAGGGAGAACATCCTTCCGCGCTGAGCACTGCACACCCTCTTCTGCAGTCTCTGCGAGGGAGAGCCCTGCAGGGCGGATGTCCACCAGGCTGCCGGTTCCAGCCCTTGCTGCCCGTGTAGGGGTGTCCATGGGCGCTTGGTTCTGGGCCTGTGTGGGAATAGTTTTGTATAGTTTGACTCTTATTTCCAGATCATTCGTGTCCTGGGCTGTGTGGGAGCCAGTGGTAGGCAAGGGGTGTGGAATTAGGAGGCCTACCTGGCTTCCACCCCTCTCCCTGGGTCTGTGGAGGCTGCAGCTCCATCAGGCCATCACCCGCTCACTGCAGCTGGGTGTGCCAGGCAAGGAGGTGAGCATGCAGGGTGGCCTCCCAGCCCTCCCCCAGGTGACCTGTGCTCATTTCCGTTTCTGAGTCCCCACTTCCTCCTCTAAGGTCATGGCAAAGAGCCCTGGCGGCTGCTGCATCCAGTCCCATCCCTGCCCTGCCTGGGAGTCCTCAGGGTTCCCTGAGTCTCCCTAGGCATCTGGTAGCCGAGAATAGAAGCTTCTGGCCTTCACGCGTCAGAAGGCACCCGTGGCTGCCCCTTACTTCTGCCTCCCAGCGTTTTGTAGACATTCTTCTCCTGAGTTCCCCCTGCCCCCCACCCACCGCCCTGTTGTTTCCCTAAGTGCCGTTTGTAGAATTAAAAGATACCGTGGACACTTAGAGGAGGCAGAAATACAGGTATTCCTACAAACTGGGTCCCCTGCAGGAAAAAACGTGCCCTTCAGAGTGCCAGAAAGCTAGCCTGGGGGACGGGCCTGGGGCTGGGGTGGGCAGGAGTCCTCGCTGCACCTGCAGCCTTGGGGCCCCTGCCGTGCCTATGCTGCAGTCACTGACTCCTTAGACCTGTGCCTAGTCTCCTACTGAAGGGCTACCCCATGCTTCTGATGCTCATTACACACCAGTTACGGAACTCCCCCGGGGAGGAGCTCTGTTTCAAATACGTTAATTTCTGTTGTGAGGGGTCAGTTACCGTTTATCTAAGTATTACTGAATTAATAGCAATTTTTGGCCAATATGTGTTTCTCGGATTCATTCCATTATTGTGCCATTCCTTTGGTCACTGAACATTCATGATTATGGAGCAAGAAGCTCAGTGCACATGTCACATGGGCTTACACTGTGGGAGGTCAGAGCTGCAGGGGAGACTAGACAGAGAGAAGACTAGAAGACTAGACAGAGAGAGATGGTGATGTGAGCTTCAGCCCCAAATCCGGAGAAATACTCTGTCTAGCCTAAATAAGGCTTAGTCATTGCCACTTGCAAATAAAGAGAGATATTCCTGCAAATATATGCTTGTTAAAAACCAGTAAGGCCAGGTGCAGTTGCTCATGCCTATAATCCTAGCACTTTGGGAGGTGAAGGTGGGAGGATCACTTGAGGCCAGGAGTTCAAGACCAGCCTAGGTAACATATTGAGACCCCCATCTCTACCAAAAAAAAAAAAAAAGGCCAAGTGTGATGGCCTGTGCCTGTAGTCCCAGCTACTCGGGAGGCTGAGGCGGGAGGATGGCTTGAGCCCAGGTGTTGGAGGCTGCAGTGAGCCACGATCACATCACTACACTCCAGCCTGGGTGGCAGAGTGAGACTCTGTCTCAAAAAACAAAACCAAACCAACACCATCACCAAATTTAAAACTATACTTTCTGCTTTCTGTTTATCTCTCTGCATATCTCCAGCAACAGATCTGTTTTTTCCTCTTCTGTCTCAGCAAGCCTTGCTCCAGCCTTCATAGTGCCATGTGCTGTGCCAGGCTGTGGGCTGTAGCTGCTTGCCGCTCAACCTTGGTGACATGCTCTCCAACTAGCAGAGGCGGAAAGCTGGTGTTGGGAAGGAGTGTGGCACTGGAGCTGGTAGCAACTCCCTGGGGAGTCTAGCAGGCTCTGGGTTAATCCTGGCAGTCCTCTCAGGCTGGGCACAACTTAGCCTGCATTGAGCCTGGGTGAATGAATGCCTGCCACACCACTGGTGTCCAGAAGCCTTTACTGTATTTCCTTAATATTGATGTAATCATGATGAGCCACCACTTCTAGAAAACTCTGAACATTTTTGGCCTTTAAGGGAACAAGTTTCTAATTTTAAGACTAAAGAAGGCCGGGCTTGGTGGCTTGGCAGGGCGTGGTGGCTCATGCCTGTAATCCCAGCACTTTGGGAGGCTGAGGAGGGCAGATCACCTGAGTTTGGGAGTTTGAGACCAGCCTGGCCAACATGGAGAAACTCTGTCTCTACTAAAAATACAAAAATTAGCCAGGCATGGTGGCGGGCTCCTGTAATCCTAGCTACTTAGGAAGCTGAGGCAAGAGAATCTCTTGAACCCGGGAGGCAGAGGTTGCAGTAAACCAAGATTGCGCCATTGCACTCCAACCTGGGTGACAGAGCGAGACTCTGTCTCAAAAAAAAAAAAAGACTAAAGAAGAACCCCATTTACTACATTTCTCACTGTGCTGTGTCTTGAGCATCTTCCAGTACCGTACCTGGGAGGGCTGAGTCCACGAGGCGCTCGTGCTCACTCACTCTCCATTTGTGCTTCTAGCTGCTGACCTCTGGAGTGAATTTTTCTGCAGAAATCCTTGGCTGCTCCCCATGTGTGCACCTGAAGAGTTATAGAAAGCCCTGTTCACGTTTCTTTCACACATGTCCTTTATGTCATGGGCAACCTGTGTTCATTGAAATTTTATGATTTCTTTGTATCACGTGTGTATAATTTTCACTGTACAAGAAACTTATATACTTAAAACATCTTCCAGTGTTAGGCCTGGTGCGATGGCTCATGCGTGTAATCCCAGCACTTTGGGAGACGAAGGCAGGTGGATCTCCTGAGGTCAGGAGTTTGAGACTAGCCTGACCAATATGATGAAACCCTGTCTCTACTAAAAATACAAAAATCAGCCGGGCGTGGTGGCATGTGCCTGTAATCCTAGCTACTCAGGAGGCTGAGACAGGAGAATCACTTGAACCTGGGAGGTAGAGGTTGCAATGAGCCAAGATTGCACCATTGCACTCCAGCCTGGGCGACGAGAGTGAAACTCCATCTCAAAGAAAAAAAAGAAAGAAAAAAAAAAACTTCCAGTGTTTTATTGGCTACTGATTTGGACACTTAGTGGAGAGAGGCAGAAATGCTGGTTTGTGTGATTTATACAGCTGTAATATTTAATGGCTTTACACGACTAATGGGCCCTCTGGTTCAAGGTGAAACCAGAGGAGCAAAGTGTGTGCTGATTCTTGTCCATCTTCTTCTTTAGCTTGTGTGTCTGTGTGGACGTCTGTGACAGGAGCACAGATATCAGGTACAAGTGAAAGAAACAAAACTCAGCCCCAAAGTGCACTGACTTCTCTTTTCCCCTCCCTTTAGCGCATTTGAGTCCATTTAAGTTGAAGCAACTATTAGCCACCTACTGTGCTGGCCCCTGGGGATGCAAAGATAATGACGTGGGTGAGCAAAGAGACAAGCAATGACAGCAAGGTGATTAGCACTGTGTTGGGGGATGCGCGGGTTGCCATGGGAACATGGAAGCGGTGGTACTCAGTTCCTGGATGGGGATGGGAATACTGGAGAAGGCTTCACAGTCTTGGCGAAGGGTTTTTCTGTTTTTGTTTTTTGCTAAAAGGTCAGTAGGCATTTGTCACGCAAGGGAATGAGGAGCAAGTCATTCTAGGCAGGAGGAACCGTGTACATGAAGGTGCAGTGATGGGAAGCCATGGTATGCCTGAGAGGCATTTTGGCCTCCAGGGGGATGTGTAGGATTTAGGAAAGACTCAGGAAGATGCTCGGGACCACATGGCGAAGGGCACGTATGCCTCGCTAATACGGACTATGTCCTGGAAGTGATGGAATCTATGGAAAGATTTGAGGTCGAGGAGTGACATGACATTTATCATCCAGAGATAACAGTTTGCTTAATAGAATAAACTTTCATTCATTCAGCAAATATTTTTGAGACTGTATTACATGCCAGAAACTGTTCTGGGACCCAGGGAAATAACAAATAAACAATACTGTGAACATTCCTTGTATTCAGGAGAACTTACATTCTAGCGATTGAAGGCAGTAAATACAATAAAAGTTAATTATATGATTTATTGATTCATTTGTTTTTGCTTCATTTAAAGGTGGTAAGCCTTATAGGAAAAAATAAGGCAAGGAACATAGTCCTGGACCTGGGTGTGGAGAAGGCCCCATTTATCAATAGGTAGCTTTGTTATACTTAAATATAAAGAAAACTTGCTTTCATTTATATTTTTATGAATTTACTTTCAGTGTGCATTTTGGGACTAAGCTTCTGGGTTACATTTGTCTCATTTATGCCAATTATTCTTGCTGTTTTATGCACTTTTCCACAGAGATAGTATTGAGAAAACCTGGATTGGCTGTGGAGCAGAATTAAAGCTCAGCTGTCAGCCTACTGGGGCACTTCCTCCCTCCAGGAAGGTGGAGGAATATGACACGTCGGGGCTCCAGATGAGAGCTGTGTTCAGAGGAGGAAGTGGTTTTTCCAGGTAGATGTGGCCATCCCTTCTCTCTTTAATGATGACAGAATGGGACAGAGCAGAGCTGGCCTCAGCAGGAGCGTTCAGGCTGGAGTGAGGACCAGCGTGAGTTTTCCGTGCTGGGGTTGACGGCCTGGGGAGGCAGCTGCATTGTTCTCATCCTGTGCTTCCCGAGGTCGAGGCTCTGACACCATCCTGCTCTTCATCTGACTGACTTGGGTCCAGCGATGGCATCAGTGAATGAGTCTGTGGGCGGGGCCTGGGTGGTGTTTGAGGTTTGTCTGTTTGGAGAAGGGGTGGGGACAGAAGGGAGGCTGGGGTGAGGGGTGAGGGTGATTCATACCTGTGAGAGGGAGGCTGAGATTCCCCGAGGGCAGGACGGTGGACCACAGTGACCCTGTGGGAAGAGGTCTGGGGACGGATGGCCCATGGCGGCAGGGTGCGCAGAGCTCCTGGGTGCTGGGCCATCAGGCCACACTGCACAGGTGAAACCGGCTCTCAACAGGACATGCCCTCGGGGAAGAACTGAACAGAAAGACAGATTTGTTGTTAATTTTGGAAGGTAGGGGATTTTATCAGCCAGTGTTCCATTGAGGATAATGGGTTTTAAGCCCCTGCTCCTGTTTGTTGACCACGTTATTTTGAAGTCTCCCAAGTCTACTAGAAATATTCTCTTTTTGGTTACTGGGGAGATAGACAAAGGAATTTAGGAAATCCTTAACTGGCACTTAGTACTATAAAGAAGTTCTTTATGAAAGGTCTGAAATGGGCATGTTCAGTCAAAAAATATTTTGTCTTTGCAGAGCTTGGAATTCTGGCCTGGCATAGGTTGTCAGAAATAAGTAGTTTTTCCTAATAAAGCTGTAACTTTCAGGGCAGGTGAGAGGTTCCCATCTCTCTGCCCAGTAGCGGGGCTGGTTCTAGGTCAGCCTGGAGCTCAGCCTCCTGCTGAGAACCCAACAGCCCCACCCGTGCCTCTTCCTACTGCAGCTTGGTGTACAGGGGAGTGCACGCAATAGCTTGCCACCCACTTTGATCCCAGCCTTGAGTGTTATCAGTTACAGGAGCCAAAAGCCATTCTTTTAAGTACCAAGTCTCCATCTGGGAAGGAAGAGACAGTTTAGTTCACCAGCAGACCTTCCTTGTTTGGGGCCTGGGACATTCTCCTGCAGTAGAACATCCTGCCATCCATAAAAGAGGTATGAAGATGCCATCACAAAATTCTGGTGTGGGTTGGTTGAAGAATACAGGGAACATGGGTGTTTATGTAGCCCACGCCCTATGAGGTCAGTGAGGTTTGAGATCTCAGAAGGAAGGCCAGGTGCAGTGGCTCACGCCTGTAATCCCAGCACTTTGGGAGGCTGAGGCGGGCGGATCACGAAGTTAGCAGATTGAGACCATCCTGGCCAACATGGTGAAACCCCGTCTCTACTAAAATACAAAAAAAATGAGCCAGGCGTGGTGGTGCACACCTGTAGTCCCAGCTACTCGGGAGGCTGAGGCAGGGGAATCGCTTGAACCCAGGAGGCGGAGATTGCAGTGAGCCGAGATTGCGCCACTGCACTCCAGCCTGGCAACAGAGCAAGACTCCTTCTCAATAAATAAATAAACAAACAAATAAATAAATAAAACAAAAGGAAAGAAAAGAAAAGAAAAAAGATCTCAGAAGGAAGACGTTTTCAAATTTCATAAAGTTGGGAAGGATTCTAGGCAGATGCCATGAGAAGCTCAAGGCAAGAAAGTCAGGCAGTTTTTACCCAAGTGGGAAAAAAATAGCAAGCTGTGACCCACCTGAGGGCAAGGCTGGGGGCAGCCGGGCAGCCATACATGGGCTGGTGGAGTCTTGACTTATCCCTGGCTCTGAGCTGGTTGCAGATATTAAGAAATAAGACAGGTGGAGAAATCAGCACTCACACCCAGTTCTCAGGGTGCCGGAGGCTGGAAGGGAAGGAGCTGGCTGTTTCCTGAATCAACAGTCCAGGGCTTCAGCCAGACAATGGATTTTCTCTCCAAAACACACAGTGTTGTGCTGAGAGAGAACATTGTGATTTAGGAGCACAGCCAGATGACTGGGTAGGGACAGATGGAAAAAGCCTAGCTATTTATGACCTTGAGGACAGGAGAGAACGATTCCATAATTGAAGACCACAGGTAACTAAAAAAACCATGTGGCCAGTAACTTTAACTAATTCTGCCTTTAAAAATCTTTCACAATTTGCTAATAATATATTATTTCCTTCTTTTATCTCCTTCCTGCCTCATTTTCCATATATTTATTTCTAGTGAGGATATTTACTCAGCTAGAGAAAATTTTCTTCACCCAAAGGGACACCCATAGTTAACTGTGGTTCCTATAAGAACCTCTCCACAGGCTTTTACATCTATTCATTGATTTCTTTAATAATATTGATTGATTGCTTACAGTAATAATACTGATTGATTGCTGGCCATGTACCACACTCTGGGGACTCATTAGTAAGACCAGGCAGACATAAATCCCTGCCCTCATGTAGTTTATGCTCTAATGGAGAAAAGAAGACAAGAAATATGATGTGTATATTTGACTATCATGTTAGATGGAAATATGAGTAGGAGAGAAGAGTGAAGCAGGAAAGGAGGTAGGAGGAGCCGGGAGTCTGGGAGGTGAGATGGGGAGTGGAGTGAGGGAGGCCACGGCGATGGTGATGTTTGCACGAAGGCCTGATGAAAGTGAGGGAGTTGGCTGAGCAGGGGTCTCAGGAAAGCTCTGGGCAGAGGAGCAGCAGGTATGGATGAGCCCTGTGTGCAGGGAGCAGCGAGGAGGCCAGGCATCCAGAGCCAACCTCGGGAGGGCAAGGGGAGGCTGGAGAGCTGGTGGGAGCCACATCAGGGAGGGTCATGTCAAGTTCATTATGAGGACTTGGGTTTTCACTCTGAGTAAAATGAAAGCTGTTGGAGAGACCTGATCTGACTTCCATCTCAGCAGGAACATCCTGACTGCTCTCTTATGAGTAAACCGTGGTGGAAGGACAGGGGAGGAGCTAGGAGATCACCATGGGGAGGGGAGATTGTACCTTGGAGGAGGGTGACTGTAGTGAGGTGGTGGGAAGGGGTCCATTTCCAGTGGGTTTTGGAGGTGGAGCCAACAGAGTGTGTGGATGGGTTGGGATGTAAGGGAAAGGAAGGGGTTATGGATGACTGCAGTGGCATCTCTATCCCCAGTGCAGTTTCTGAGATAGGGAAAGCTACTGGGGGAGTGACTTTGGGTGGGAAAATGAGGTATTTGGCCTTGGACATAGTAAGCTGAGATGTCTATTATACATTCCACAAGGATATGTTGAACAAGTGACTGGAGGAGTCTGGGGTCTAGGGCAAGGTGGAAAGGTCAGGGATAAATGTGGGAATTGTTAGTGTGAGACAGTGACTGCTAGAGATGGCAAAGGAATGGTGTATGCAGAAAAGAGAATGGAGCCAAGGGTGAGCTGGAGCACTCCAAGGTTAAGAGGTCAGGGAGTGGAGGAGGAGCTGAGAGGTGTGGAGAGGAGTGCAGTGCCATGTGCGTCGGGACATGGGAAGGATGCGGTTCCCTGTGGGAGGGAGCAGAGGTGTCAACTGGGGTCTGGTGAGATGAGGCCAAGTTAACCACATGGGGGTCTCCAGGGACCTGGCCAGGCGGTGTTGGTGCAGTGATGGGCCCCAAAGCCTGATTCGGATTTGTTTAGGGGAGAATCAGAAATTAGACACAGTGAGTACAGAAAACTTGTTTGCAGCATTAAACTGTGGGAGCAGAGAAATGGGCCATGGGGCCCAGAGCATCTTTTTATAAGACCAGAAGTTAGAGCATGTTGGCCTTCTCGTGGGAATGGCCGTGTGGAGCTGTTGTTGATATAATCAGTGTGTGTCAAAATGTCCAGAATTCAGGAATCCATTTTTAAAGTTACCTGTCATTTGAATGTTCATTGGAATAATTCAGAGCAGGCGACGGAAGTACCAAAGAACTAATGTGGGATTTTATTTTTCAAAATCCCTGTCTTAAAAATTTATAGAATCACTGATCATAAGAATCGAAGGACTTTTAGAACATAAGACTTTTAGGTGTGAGAACGCAAAGAGGCTTTCAGGCCTTTCAGCCAGGGGATGCCCTTGTTCAGTGAACCCTCCAAGGGAAGCCTCCCCTGCATGCAGACCTGAGCCAGCGCTCAGGGTTCCTGACGCAGCTCCCGCTTCTGCCGCAGGTCGCGAGGCCCCACAGGGAGCACTGAAGTTGTTCAGAGGAAAAATGAAAAGCTGCTGGTGTAGTCCAGGCACCTCACTTTATCATAGGAATCTAGAGATAAAGAGTTGCCTGAGGATACACAGAATATTGAGTGTAAGAGCTGGAAGGAGGCCGGTATCCTGGGTCCTGGGTCTCGGGGCGGTGGACTGTCCACTTCTCCCTTGCTGCCTGTGGCCGTGCTCCTTGCCCAGGCAGTGACGGGCTCTTGGTGGGTGGATGCATGAATGAATGAGGGACTGACCAGAGGGAAAGAGCCTCCCGGCCCAGCCTTCACCACACCTGAGGATAAATGCTGCCAGGCACTCTTGTGCTTCCCATTTTGGGGCCCACGTTTCTGCTGTCAACACCTGTGCATCTGCCTCTGTTGATACTGCCAGGTGGATATGGTCCTCATCACCCACAGACCTCCAATACACATGGAAAGCACATCTGTCAGTGGGCGACGTGGAGCTCCTGTTGCGCTTCATGATTGATGCTGCTTTCTCTGCAGAGCAAAATCACGAGAAGGTTATGCGAGGTTAGTCCCGATGAGGGTGTATTAAAAGCTCGGCACAGTTGACTTTCCATCACTTTCACTAAGTTTATTTAAACCCTGCAGATTGAGAGCTGTGAATGGGCCTCAGCAAGGCATACAAGGCTCTTCACAATGGGATGCCTTGGCGCCCAAAGTCTACCTACCACGTTGTACACAGTGAGATCCCGGAACAAGCAAGTTAGGGCCCCCAGAGGTGCCTTTCTGTGTCTTGATCAGGGTGCTGGTTACTTGGGTGTTTTTCGGTCTGCATAGACTCATTGAGCTGGACTTTCTGATACACACACACATGCATACATACACATATGCTGTATTTCAATCAAATATTTTTTGAAAAAATGAAGTATATTTGTCCTTGAATTCAAAATCCTTTAATGCCTCTGGTCTCACACAAAGTAAAAGCCACAGGTTGTCCAGAGGCCTGCAGGCTCCCTAGGCCCCCCAGCCCCCTCGCTGACGTCACCTTCTCCGCTGCCCTCCAGGATGTGTCCCTGCTGAGCAGGACCCCTGCCACTCCATGCTGATGGAGGAGCTCAGTACACATTTCTCGAAAGGAAAGGAAATGTGTCTGAAGTACCATTGATCCTCATGAAGAAGGACTCATGTGTCAGGATTTCTGTTTAGATGATGCCATAGGGAATTAGGTACTTTATTAGTGCCTTTAAAATTATGAATTTTAATGGCTTTAGAGTTCTATAGACATTTGGTTTTCAGAGATTTTCCCTGTTAAAATAGGATTTTTATTGTGCCTGATTATAAAATCATATATAAAATCCACAAGAAACTTGAAAGTTATTAAAGTGACCCCAGCATCCTCAGAGAAAGCCACTGTTGATATATGGGTGACGTCGTTTCAAACTCTTCTCCCATGTCCATTGCACTTATTGATATTTCTGTTCTTCCAAGAGTTTGAAAGGGGGTTCTTACCTACTTTCGGTACTGTTCTATGTAAGAAGTGAGGAAGAATGCCTCCTCGCATCTTACAGACAGAAAACCACAAAAGCAAATTCATTCATTCATTGGTTATAAACATAGACGGGAATCACTGTTATCCACCCTTTCAAGCCCTGAAGGACTTTTATGACTTTAAAATGCCAGGTGGTGTTTTGATGGAAAGTTGGGTGATTTGTTCAAGCTGCTCTGAAGGGTAATTGCAGGTCTGTAAGTCCGAAGCCTGAGAGTACTTTGGACTTTTAAGAGCACGTTGTTGCATGTTTCACTTATGGTTCTCATAGAATTTGAGACCCATTAAAATCATCTTTTCAGCACCATAATGGGAGCGACAAACCATATCATAAAATGGATTGAGTTTTTAAACATTTTTTATTACTCTCTTTGACGGGAGGCTCTTCTCTGGTAATCTTATTACTTGGGCAGATTTCCTTTTATCATGTCATATTCATCTTTCTGAAGGACAACTATGGTTTCAGCAGCACCACTTAAGATAGGACTTTTATTAAATGCTTTGGGGTTAACTTAATTCATTAACACAGAATATAAACCTTCAAAGTAAATTCCACTTTGTTCCAAGTTTATGAACGGGAATGTCAGCCCGTCTTTGAGTGAGGTCAGAGCGTCACCAGTGAGGCCGGTGCCTTTACGCCGAGGTTGGCTGAGCGTGGAGCTGGCCTGTGACACCAGGTGAGGCATGAGCACTGCTGCATTCTCCTCCCTCAGGTTCCCAGAGGGATTCACGTTGATAACACGCCGGTGCAGTCTCGCAGCCTACTCAACATGTGCACCTTGCACTGCAGGTTTCCCCAGGGGAGTGAGTGCGTGCATCATCCCCACGGCATTCCCATGCTGTCAGTTCCCATGCTGTCAAAAGCTGACGTTTAAGAAGAATCGCCCTAAGGATCGACTTTTCATTTCTGAAAACTCTCAAAGCTTTATCTTCATAATTAGCTAAAGCACTACTTTCTGGATGCTGTGTTTTGGCAACTTTGTGGAAACCACTTTATGGAATCGAATATTTCAACCTCCCTGAAGGCTGATTTAGGAAATTACAAGATGGGGAGTCCTTTTCCCTTTTTGATAAAATTGGTGTCTAGGATAGCCTCCTCCTTGCTGAACAGCACCCTTTAATAAAAAGAGTGACAGATCCTGTTAAGTTTTAGAAGCAGGAGAGTGGCTGTTTCTGGTTGATTGGAATGCCTGCCCAAGGGCCAGTGAGGTCCCATGACCATGCCTTTGGTTTCCTCTTGGCTGTGGTGGCTTGTTTGGTTGGAATTCGGTTTAGAGATGAGTTCTTTGCAGTCAGTTTTCCTCTCCTCTTTCCTCTGCATTTCCTGATTTATGTTTTGTGTTTTACTCATTATTTTCCATCTTCACTGAATTTTACTTCTATTTATTTATTTAAGAGACAGGGTCTGGCTCTGTTGCCCAGGCTGGAGTGCAGTGGCGTGATCTCGGCTCACTGCAGCCTCAAACTCCTAGGCTCAAGCCATCCTCTCACCTCAGCCTCCCAAGTAGCTGAGACTATAGGCACATGCCACCAAGCTCAGCTAATTTTTTAATTTTTTGTAGAGATGGGGTCTCACCATGTTGACCAAGCTGGTCTTGAACTCCTGGCCTCAAGCTATCCTCCTGTCTTGGTTGCCCAAAGTTCTGGGATTACAGGTGTGAACCACTATGCCCAGCCTGAATTTTCCTTTTATTATAGGATATCTTACACCTTGCAGGGGAACAGGCAGTGAGTATATAAATTAATAAAACATTGTTGTCACCTCTGTACTAGGAAATGTAAACTTACATTGTTTATGGTAATTTATGCTAATCTTAGAACCCATTAATTCTTGGCTTACACGTCACTGGCAGCTAGATTTGACCTCTTTGCTATTTACAATGTAAGTACATGGAAAAGGCACCCGTACAGAGAGCAGGTTCTAGACTTTAATGTCAGAAATGATGGAGCCAGAATCACTCTCCATTTTCAGGTTTGTGAATGATAGAAGTGTGAACTAAATGAGTCAGTGTTGCTATATGAATTTTAACAGAAATAACTAATGTAGACTACTTTGCCAATTCACAAAAAAGGCTGATTTTACAGCTGAGATGTAATGCTGTATATAGGTCCTTATTTTGTGACTGAGATCGTATCTGTGAAAACTAAGGCTTTAAAGGAGTGTAGGGGAAATTGAAAACAACTTTTTGTTGCCTGTTAACTAGTAGAATGTTGACTCTACCAAGCAGATTAAATTTAGTCTCTGTGAGGCTTGATTTGTCCTGCTTAAGATTGAGCATTTATCATTGCATCCTGACCGAGTTTAGGTTTACATTATTCAAATTTGTTAAGCTACTGGTCCTTAAAATTTTTTTTAACATAGCCTTTTTGTATATAAGTTTGGAATTCACAGAAAACCTTAAGATATTCCATTTCCCCCCTAGTTTTAGGGCTCCTAAAATTCCCTGTTTTTTCAAAGGTTATAAAATATTAGGACATTCCCTTTCTCTGAATCATTCTTTTCCTTTCTCCTCTCGCACATGGTATAACCCAACTGGCTGATGTTAGTTTGTACACAACTAGAATGACCTTCAGGACAAAAAAGGGTTTCCTCTCGATCCGATGGAAATCTCGGGTTTTATGTTCCACTACAGGTAATTTGTTCTCCAGCTTCGGGTAAGTCAGGCATTATCCCTGGCCTGCTTCCTCACCTGGGAGGTGAGGGGTGGATCAGTGTGTCTAGGTCCCTCTCAGCATTAAGATTTGATGACTCTGGGATAACTCCACAACACAGAAAAACCCATCAGAAGCTTTATGTAGAAATGCAGAGAAGCTGAATACCCTAAATGTGGAGAAGATTGTGTTATTACCAGAAGTGTTTACAGCGATTCTAAAGTCTGTTGTTGACTCTGGAAGTTGTTTCTCCTAAGTTTTTTTTTTTTTTAATAAGAAATCAAATAGGAAATTTTGGCAAAGAGGAATGCCACTTTCTTCACTTAGAAGGGCATGACTTTTTTTTAAGAAGAGGAGTGATTTAAATCTTATAGGTTATAATACGTCTATAGCTCCTGGAGGAGACACTGGTTCCTGAGCAACTCATTCTGTATTCCAGTCCAGTATTATACATCTGAGGTTGCCATGAATTTGTCACCAAAATGTTTCTAATGTTTAACAATCCATGATTTCCCTCAACTTCTAGCTTGGCAGAAATACTCAACAAGTTCCACAAAGAATAGACAACATATTTTTAAAAATTTTCCATTGTCTTTCTCTGACTTGAGTTTTACTTCATGGAGGACCCTCTCTGGTTCTAGTCTGTCAAAGTGTAGTTTAGGGGTCAAAACTACATTGGTTCCAAAGTTTCCCAAATAGCCCATTGACAGAACAGAGCTCTAGCGACTGGGCCCTGTAGTCAGCAATTATCCAAATACCTGCTTATTTTAAGAGATTGTATTTTAGTTTTCTTCTTTGTAAATTAGCAAATACCAAATAAACATTCCAATAAAATACCATTAACTAAAGAGGAGGCTTGCTGTATGTGAGCTACCTCTTTCTCAGTAGACAGTGGTTCTCCATCTGCGCTGCCCATTGGAGCCAGGCCAGAGGGTGCCAGAAAACCCACGCTGTCTGACTGCACCTCAGGCCAGTGAGATAGGACCTGTCTGGGACTCTGACCCCAGCAGTGCTGAAAGACGTCCAGGTGATCCCAATATGCAGCTAAGAGGAGGGCCTTTCTCCTAGGGTTATCAGTTTGTTTGAAATATCACAATAATCTCGTGATTAGAGGACCTGAATGCACTGGGCTTTTGGGTGGCACAGTGTGCTGGGGACAGCCTGTCCGGAGTTGGGATGGAGGTGGAAGCCTGCCTCTGTCAACACCAGTTTTGTTAAGTTGGACAGATATTTACTGTGCTCTGCAGTTCTCATTCCAGCTTTAGCATTAATTCTTAGCACTTAATCACATTACAGCAATTTTCTAGTATTTTCTATATCACATCAAGAAGCCAATAAATTAAAATTCTCAATCTGGTCATTCTGATTCCAGTGGCCATGTGATGGAAAGACCTTACTCTGATATTGGGCTAATGACTCACTGCTGAGATTTAGATTTTATAAATTTGATTTTTTTTAATTTTTAATTTTTTAGAGACTGGATCTTGCTCTGTCACCTGGGCTTGGGAGCAGTAGCATGATCATAGCTCACTGCAGCCTGGAACTTCTGGGCACAAACGATCCTCTTGCCTTAGCTTCCTGAGTAGCTGGGAGTACAGGAGTGTGCCACTGCACTTGGCTAATTTTTAAACTTTTTTGTAGAGACAGGGTCTCGCTTTGTTGCCCAGGCTGCTCTAGAACTCCTGGACTCAAATGATCCTCCTGCCTCTGCCTCCCAAGTGTGGAGAGTGTAGGTATGAGTCACTGTACCCAGCTGAATTTGAAATTTAATAGGTTGATGTTGTTTCCGTTATCTAAGAAGTAAGAGCCAAGCACATTAGTAGCACAAGCCTTGTTAGTGTTTCCTGAGTAAGGTTGAGCCTACTTAAGACAACAAGTGATTTGGGGAACTTTGTTATGCATGGGGCCATGCCCATTACAAGTGAGTCTCTCACATTCCTTAAAGTGGATTTGGAAACTGAGGCAGTGCTATGAGATGAGGCAAAATGGAATAAAATGGGAAGAATAATATCTGCTCTAATTATTTCACAGGGTTCTTATGAGGCTCAGATCAAATTATTCATTTATTCAACAAATGTGTGATTCACCGAGTGCCTGTCACAGGCTGGGCGGCCCTCTAGATTATGAAGGAGATAAAGAAGGGAAATGTTTGGCCTTGGAAGGAGCAGCAAATTAGTCACTGCTCATATTTTTAAAATAGTTCATGTCATAAGCTCTTTGAAGAGGGCTAGCTCATTCACTTCCGAGTTTCCATGTCTCAGTACCTAGCACAGAACATAGAAGCGGCTAATATATTGGTTATATGAACGAATGAATGAGCCACAGAATTCATTTCCTTGCAAGCATGTCGTGTCTCCCCCCAACAAGTTAAAATTAGTGAAGTGTGGATGTGGTTTCATTTCTTGGGTAGTTTAATGTTCCACACCAACTTGAATATGGTAGTCTAACCTTGGATCCTTTCAAACCACAGCAATGGTGAACTTTTTAGTTAAGAGTTTGATTCAATTCAGATTAGTATTCCTTTTTCCCAATCACTGTTTTAGCAACACAGGGAGTACCTGTTTTCGGTTAATGCGCTTTTCATGTTTGGTATAAATCCATAGTCCAATATTTCTTTTGGAAAGGAAGATAAATTTTTCCCTTGACATCCCTTTTTTCCATTAAGTTAAAAAAATGTTACTTAGTAAATGTGATTTCAAACAGCTGGGTTTTAATCTTTCCACCTTATGGAAAGAGAGCGTTTGGCTCCAGCAGCACCCCCACCACGTGGCCCAGCCTCACTCTGCACACAGATTTTCTAACCTGGATGGCGCCGCTAGCGAGGCGCTTGTGGGTGTGCATTTGGGCTGTGTTCACATGTTATTCTAAACTAGGTCAGCAGCTCGGCTGGTTTCTTTTTCTATACTCTTTTAGGAGAATGTGAACAAATGGAGGATTATAATACGCTTTTTATACAGGTTCACAAAAATACTTTGAGGACTCTTAAGTTGTGTTTCTTTACAACAGGTGAAGGTTATTGTCTTGCGGGCCACAGTTCGCCGCTGAGAGGCAGGCTGGGCTCTCATGGGGTAGCCCCACACATGGTTAGCATCGCTGGAAGAGGCCTTGGTGTGCCGATGCCCAGCCTTTTATTTGAATGATTGAAAATCTGAGTTGAAAGGACCTTGGACTTGATCCAGGCCTGCCACCCTTATTCCAGACAGACAGAACCAAGGCCTGGAAAAAGGAAGAGGCTGTGACAGTCAGTGGCGGTGAGGAACCCGGGACTCCTCCAGAGACTCTGTCTTCCCGCTGTGTACTGAGTGGGCCGTGCTGTGTGAATCCTGCCAGCTTCTGTGGTTTCCTAGGGCCAAGCCCACACTCAGAATGCAGGATGACAGTCACTGTAAGATGTAATGGACCTTTCTGTGCTCAAGTGTATATAATTGTGTAACTTCCTTTATTCTTCATTGCTTAAATGGATAGTAATGTGTTAAGTGTGCAAATTTATTTTAAAGTCCTACAAAACTGAATTCCATTTTCAAATATTGATTCGTACAGACTTTAGGGAGCCTGTGTTCAGTGTGGCCTATAAGGATTTGGGTATGGGACCTGCCCTATTTTTATAGTTCACCAGCATGGCCCTTTAGCAGAAAGCACACATGATTTTCCCATGTTTTACATTGTAAATTCACTGCTACCCATGCCTGGTATTATGCCTGATTTTTCTTAGGCATGAGAGGAATGAACATCAGAGAGGTGAAATATGTTGTCCAGATTCTCACCACAGGACAGTGGCAAGTGGGAGATAAAATGTCTGAGTGTTCTTTTGTTAAGCCAGCGCTCCTGAGTTCTGATGGCCCCTGCCACGGCTGGCTGCACGGGCTCCCCCATTCTCGGAAGTGTGGAGAACTGCCAAGGATGTTTTCAAACCGAATAATAGAGCCCCACAGCTATGACTTTTGCAGAGCAGGTTGTGGAAAGAAAGAGAGCACCTGTGCTACTGTGTGGGCAGTGCCGTAGAGTGAGGCGTGCAAGGTGGGCCTCGGTGCCCCTGTGGAGTGCAGGAGGGCACCATCCTGTGTGTTTCAGACGAGGAAGGTCCTTACCCAGATGGCCCTTCTCTGAGTTTAGTGTCCTGGGCTCTCCAGATAGTCTGAGCTCCCAAACAATCATGGCATGCAAATGGGGGAAAGAAAAACCAACGACAGTCACAGCTCAAGAGCACCAAGCTTGCATTGACTGCTCCATGCTTTATATTGTACTTTTTCAGAGTGCAAATTCACCTGCACCAGTGGTAAATGCTTGTATCTTGGTTCGCTGGTCTGTAACCAACAGAACGACTGTGGGGACAACAGTGACGAAGAGAACTGTCTCCTGGTGACCGAGCACCCGCCTCCGGGCATCTTCAACTGTAAGTCTCTCCTCCCACCTGGGTGGCACTGTCTGATGTGGTTCTGAAACGGTTAGGAGGTGGGGTCACTGGGACATGGGAAGGAGGTTGTTTTCTGGTTAAGGAAAGAGATTTGCATTTTCACAAAGGAAATGTTTTCTTCTTTTAGGATAGAGGGACAGCATGTTCAAAAGTCAGAAATTTGTTCTGTTCTCTAAAGTGGTCAGCGGAGCTGTTTTGAAATAGGCTTTTGCTGTTTGTCTGAGCAATGCCTGGATTCCAGGAAATCATGTATTGATTTAGTATTCTTCATACCAACATTACTACTTCAGAAGTAATTTTAAATAAGCAAAGAAAGATATGTGGAAGGTACATAATTAATCATGCAACTGAAATATGAAAGTAGAAAAATTTACATGGGATCCTTGAAGGTTCTGATCATGTGTTTTTCTATTAGATACTGGATGGAAACAGCTTGAGTGAGGTTTTGACATGTGTGAATCCCCAAGGCTGAGGCTTTGAGCATTTCTTGAATTTGAAGAAGTGGAGTCAGAGTTTGAAGTTCGTTGGTTTTCGATCTCATGGTTTTTGTGACAAGGAAAGAGAAAGAAGGCAGCTTTGAAAGCCCGCTGAACTTCTCTTAGGAAAAGTGGCTTACTGTTTTCTGTGTTTCTCTGGGCTAAGTGAAGGGGGTTGAGGCTGAGGATCTTTCTGCAGTTGCACACCTTGGGAAGAGCGTTGGCCGGGCCGACCCTCCTCACACGGCCTTCTTACTGAGATCATTTTATGATGCATTGAGCTTCTCTCCCCAGTTTTACTGACATTATTTTGAGGAGTTATATTTGAGACAGATTTTAAAATTTTTGTTATGGAAATTAGACTACATAAATACCAGTGCTGCAAATGTGAAAATGGGAGGGGATTTAAAAAAAGAAACTATTTTCTGTATTCCTACTGTATTTTTATATGGGGGGCAAGTTACGTATGTCCCCAATATAAAAATGACTGTGCTCTAGCAAATTTTAAGCCTGCTATTTATGCTTGCTAAATTCAAGAGTCTTATAGTACAAATAGTTTTTCTCAAGTTTTTCTATTGTATTCCCATTTGCATTTTCTCCTACCAAGCGCTCTTTGAGTCCCATCTCTATACTTTGCAAAGACAGTTCTTGGAGGTTCAGGCTGGGCGCGTGCTTGCCTGGCATTGGGTCCGTGTTTTGTGCGGTAGTCTCTGTGTAATACAGCTTGCCTCTCACCTGGAGTCATCTGGCCTGCAGGCCCCTGCTCCCCCAAGGCCCAGGATGGCCCGGAGGCACTTGCTCTGGGTGTGCTACTTAGTGCATGGAACCAGGGCTGGGTGCAGGAAGAGGGAGGAAGGCTGCAGGTCAGGATGGGGGACTGGGAGCTGGGTGAGCACCTCCCTGAGGATGAGCAGGCAGCAGGCCAGAGGGTCGGGAGCCCTGAGGAACCCTGCTTGTTGGCCTTTCCACATGGATGGAACAATGATGTTTTCATCTCCTGAGCCTCAGTGCCCTCATCTCCACAATGGGGACATAAGAATGGTTATTGGAGTATCACACAGGACAATCCACAGCCAGCACTTAGAGCAGCATATTCCAGGCGCTAAGCACTCAAGATTACCTCAACCCAGGCTTGGGGTCTTAGAAGGAGGTGAGTACAAGCAGCATCTTACTCTGTTTTCTCTGGACTTGACTAACAGCAGACACACCACGGTAAGCTGTGTAGAGAATATCAGGACCTTGTGTGCTGCCTTGACTGGGTTCAGAGTTCTGGAGCCCCGGCCTCTGCTCTGGGGCGCTCCACAGGCCTCTTCTGGTCTGCGGGCTCCTCCTTTACTTCAGGGCCCTTTTGCCGAGGGCTTCCTTGTTTTCAACCCTCCTTCCTACCCTTCCCTCCTCCCTCGCTCCCTTTCTTGTCAGTATTCTTTCCGGTTTTTGAGGCCTATCTCCAGATCGCTTTTCCACTCATTTTTTAAAATGCGAGCACTTTAATTCTGCCTAGAAGCCGAGGGAGCAGTTACATCCATCAGTGGCTCAACTTTGCCCTAACAGAGGAGTCTTACGATCCTGTTGGCAAACTCTTGGCCCCCTACTGTTCAGATATGACTAGAACTTTTGTCTTTATAGCTAAAATGGGATATTATTTACAATATACTCTCTTCTAAGAAGACTGGAGAGCCAGGAGACGGAATGACAAAGGGCAGGACTGTGGCTGTGGCTTCAGATTGATCTGGGTTCAAGGTTCGGCCTAGGGGAGTGACAGCTCCTTTCAGCTTGGTTTCTCTCCCTGTGGAACAGGCACACTTCCTGCCGTGTAAGCATCTAAAGGAAAGAACGTCCATGGGAAACACAGTCTATGTCATCGTGTTGCAGTTGCCATCTCCACTCCCCACGTGGCCCTTCCTGGGGAGTGCACTGCTGTGACTTTGTATGGTTTATCTGTAATGTCAGAGCCATTGTGTACACGGAGCAGGAATTCACGGGTGTCCACAAGTGCACTTGCCCAGTGATCCTGGATGATTCTCCCTATTCTGTCCCCTGGGGAAGGCTGCCACCTGGCCTGTGGCTGCCCCCTACGTTCCCCTCAGGTTCTCTGCAGGAGCCCGAGGGAGCTGGGCGAGTGGTCATGGGGAGACGCTCACGGCGCGGGTTGCCTCTGGATTGTTCTGTGTGGCTGGGAGCTCCGGGGCAGGTGGTGGTTTCTCTGTCTTCTGCTGCAGCTCACCTCTGCCAGGTGTGTGGCTTCCCAGGGGAGGAGGCCAGAGGGTGGCCTCGTATTGAATGGCTATATATTCTCTTCCCCGTATTCTGTTGGGCAGCGAACAGGGATATTTCACTTCCTGTTAATAGCTGTGAACAAGCCTTAGAGCCTCGGGTGTTAGTGGATGACACTTTTTATTGGATCCTTCACCAGCCCGTTTCCTACAGCAGGCAGACAGCCTGCCTTTCATGGTGTGCTGCTCTGACGGTAAGGTCCCCTTCCTCTCCACCTGGACGGAATCAGAGTATCCCACGAACTCTTGTCTATGAAGTGCCATGCTTCAGAAAGGCGATGCCTCATTCTTCTTCCTGCTTAGGAGCAGGATTGGCTTGTGTGATCTATGTCACCTTGTTCCCACCTGGGGGATATACTCAGTGTTCCGGATCTGAGGGCACTGAGGCTGAAGCGAGGTGAGACCTTCTGGATTTCCAGATGAGCTAGAATCAGTTTAGTTTCCTGGCCGTGCCGTTAGCTTTGAGTATGCTCCATGGCTCAGATGTCTTGGCCATATCTCCCATTTGATATTTGCTAAATTTCAGCATGAATTAAAGTTAACAAGAAAATGTTACTGTTATTTGTAAAGCCAGCAATACTAAGAATCACAGAAGCTCTGAAAGTTGCTCTAAGTAGCTTTTATCTTCAAACAAAAATGTGTTTGGAGCCCAGGCTGAGGCATAGTGGGTTTCATCTGCCTTTTGCCTCTCCTCACCATGGTCAGGTTATGGTTGGACCGAGGCTGCTTTATTCTGCTGAGAGACCAAAGGGTTTTGCATGGACGTGGAGGTCTGGGCTGACATCCATTATCTCCTGGGGAATGAGTTTTCCTGGCTGCATCTTTCTGTGGAAGAGGAAATATGCTGTCAGCCTAAGTTGCCAGGTTTTGTCACATCTTTTCTCTGGCTGCTCTATCAAAATATTGTACCCCGAGCACTAAACATACAAATTACACAAACACAATTATTTGTTATTTACACAAATAAAATAATTATACAAATTATTCCTTATACAAACAAAATTATTTATGAAGTACCTTCTCTGGTCATTGTACTAGGCCTTGTGGAAACGAGGAATGAAGGAAAATATAGACCCTGCTATCAAGGTGCTGAGAGTGGGGAGGCGAATTCACACCTGCACAAAGATAACTAAAAATGGGCCCAGGGAGTGAGGGCCGAGCGGGTCCAGTCATTCGTAGTTCAGGGGATAGAGAGATTCATCCTGGTTGGATTAGTGGTCACAGTGGCTTCCTGGAGTAGGTGTGCTGGATGGCAAGAGGAGAGGACAGAGTGCCAGGGCCCAGAAGAGCATGAGCGTAGGTTGGCAATGAGGGTGGCGCTGTCTTGGGACAGAAGGACATGGCTGGGGCCCGCGTGGGGCACGGCTGAGAAAGTGGGTTGGGCCTAGAGAGACAGAAGCCAATGTATAAGGCTGCACCTCCTGCCCTGGTCCTAGGACGGGCCACCTGCTGGCCGGCCGGCTGCGGGGAGCCTGAGGCTGGCATCCCACTTGGTGGACCTGCCACCTCATTGTTCCTGCCCAGCCAAGCACGTCCTGTGGTGCTGTGTTTCCAAAGCCCCTTGGCCACATCTTAGTGGGGGACAGCAGCGTTCCTTCGACCGTCCAGAAGCGATAATTGAGTGGTCTGTGCAGCCTGGCAAGTGCCACGCCCTCCGAAAGCCTTGGTGAGCACAGACCCCCGAAGCCAGCGCTGCTGAGGGATTCTCACCACTGGACCTTAAGAGTAAGGTCAGCGTCGACAAGAAGCCACAACTTTCCCTTTGAGCTTCAGTGGAATTTCCACTTAACTGAGAGAATCTGATTCGGGGAAAGCAGGGAGAGGAGCAGCTCCCCCTGCTACTGGAGGGTTGGGAGGAAGCTGCTTCTCTCTATATAGAGACCTCATCAAACTGACCCCAAATTAAATGAACTGGAGCTGATAAAGTACACCCAGTTATGCCAGGATTATGACTTTAGGACTTTTTCAGGAGGCAACTTTTTCCTCCCATTGCCATTTAGGGTAATAACAACCAAATAAAATAAAATCCAACTTATTAAAATCTGAGCTGATTATTTTACTTCCGAAACCAGCTCTTCCCACCTTCGTCATTTTTTCTCCCAAAGAGACTGGCATCCTACTTGTCACCTGTAGGCACCAAGCTATGACTGCCCTCCTTCCCTTAAGGCAGCAACTTCCCACCTCCCAAGCATTTTGTTTATTGAGGACTTGGGGATCAGGCTCATAACCACATAGCCACATAGGTAACCTGTGCATAACCTGGGCTTGCAAATGCCAGACGCTTCTATTTTTTCCCTATAATTATTGCAGTAAACCTTAACCATAATTCTCTATATTAGAGAATAGTCACCAAATGTCCTTTTCGAGTTCATATTTCTCCAGTTGTGTTATAAACATGTGTTTCGGTTTGTTCTGTTTATCATTTGTTTGCACCAGGATCCAAAGAAGCCCCAGGCATCGTAGATCGCTTTGCTCTTGAAGGATCTCTGATTCTGTAGGTTATCCCTCCATATCTATTTCCCCTCCCTCCCTCTTCCTGTCGTCGTCGTCGTCGTCTCCTCCTCCTCCTCCCCCTTCTCCCTTTTGTGACTTTGGGTGGAGGGGTCTGGCTTGCTTGTTCTGCAGTTTCCGTACTCTGGATTTTGCTGGCTGCTTTCCTGTGGAGTCACTGAACGTGCTTCTCTGTCCCACACCATTCCTGCCACGTGGTAGGTAATGCAGAGGTCTGGGGAGACTCAGGTGTGAACGCTGTGTGTGTGAAACTACCGCCTCGGTACAGCTCTTCCATCAGGAGCACATTGTGTCTGCTGGTTTCTTGTGTGATACCGTCAGGCATTTGGGGTTGCAAAACAGTCAACCAAATTCTGTCCTTTTTTCTCAAGTAATTAGTGGGGATACATCTATAAAGAGAAATTCCCCATCAACGATTTGATTACCCTGAAGTGTATATCATATAGGATTTATTAACTTAAGGATGGGGGTTCCCTGTCACTCTGCACAGGTGACCACTGAGATTTCCTCTGTGTGTTATGATGAACTGATGAATTGAAATATGTTTGATGTATACACTTAACATTTTTAGGAACCCCCTCTGCTACACTTGGATAGCCAACTCCCAGGTCGCATCTGGAATTTGGGGATTGTCAATGACCTGTTTAACTCCAGGTTAAACTCCAGGCGTGCAGGGGCTAAGCCCTCTCCCCTTCTCTTCCTTATGATCTTTCTTAACATTTTCTTTTCTCTAGCTTGCTTTATTGTAAGAATGCAATATATCATAAATATGACATACAAAATGTGTGTTAATCGACTTCTTATGTTATAGGTAAGGCTTTCAGTCAACAGTAGGCTATTAGTAGTTAAGTTTTCGGGGAGTTGAAAGTTATACACAAATTTTCCACCACACGGAGATCACAGCCCCAACCCCCAAATTGTTCAAAGGTCAGCTGCACATAGTGGACACTCAGAGTGTTGACTGGAGACTGTTGATCCTTTCTCTGCTGCCTCCCAGCATCCTATGAGCATGGCTGCCAGGTGAACAGTGCCCATGAGGCTCTGTGGTAGACTTGGTGCCTGCCACGGTGCCTGGCGCATGTAGCATATGGGGCATGGCCCTGTAAATATTTGCTGAGTGTAGGGATGAATATTATTATTTTAGAAAACTCAAGCCTGACCAGAGGATGAAAAAGGCTTTTGCTTGCAAGGCCTAGTACCTTGCAAGTGGAAGCAGGGATTGAAAATATCCACGTGATGCTGGCAGCCTGCATGAGAAGACAAAGGAAAAGACTACATAAGGCTGGTGCCCACAAACTGCCTGTCCTTCCCATGTGTGTTTAGACTGCCATAAACACCCAAACCAACCAAAGTAGAAGCCTACTCTGGTAAGCATTTATTCTGGGACCAGCAGTGTGATAGGCTTTTACTGTGCGTGTGACCAGTCAGGGCTTCCCAGTGCTGCAGCCCTGGAGGGACAGACCTTTGGCCTCTAAATATCCATCTGCTGTGTAGGAAGGACCAGTCCTGCCAAGCACAGAGGAAATGTGGAGTGCTTCTGGCCGGCCCTAAAGACATGTAAGTGTGTGAGCAGGTGTGAGTCTGTGTGTGTATGCATGAGATGTGAGTATGCCAGAGTGTGTGGGACTGTGTGTGGTATTTGTGCACAAGTATGTGTGAGAATGTGTAGTTGTGTGCACAAGTGTGTGGGTGTCAGAGAGTGTGTGTGAGTCTGGTGTGTGCATGCATGTGACTCCATGTGGTGTGTGCATGCATGCGTGGGTGTGCCATGGGTGGAGTGTGTATGCAGGTGTATGAATATGTCCATGTGTGTGAGGGTGAGTCTGTGGTGCGTTTGTGCATGAATGTGCACGTGTGTGTATAAGAGTGCATCTGTGTACATGTCTATGTGTGTGTTTGTGCATGTGTGTGTGTATGCGTGAGGGTCTATGGTACATGTATTCATGAGTGTGTGTGCGTGTGTGTGTGAGAGAGTCTGATGCATTTGTGCATGAGTGTGTTTGCGTGTGTGTGCATGTATGTGTGTAGGTGAGGGTGTGTGATGCATGTGTGTGTGAGAATGTGTAGGTGCATGTATGTGTGTGGGTGTGTGCATGTGTGGGTGTGTGTGTGTGTGAGGTTGAGTCTCTGGTGCATATGTGCATGAGTGTGTGTGTCTGTGTGTGAGGGTGAGGCTGTGTGGTGCATGTGTGCATGAGTGTGTCACCTGGAGTCACCACCACTCACTGCCTGTGGCTTTAGGCAAGTTGTTCAGCCTCTGTGTACCTCGATTTTCTCATTTATAAAATGAGGATAATATTGGTATCTCTTTCAAAGGGTTGTTCTGAGGATTTACTGAAATAGTGCAGGACAGGCAATTAGAGTAATACCTGGCCCACAGTACATGCTCAGTAAGCATCATCTATTGGAGGGTCCACTGCTTCCTGGGGATTGGAATTAGGTAGGAAGGGAGCTGCTGTTTGCCGAGTGCTCACTGTTTACATGCATCATCTCATTCATCTCTCAAAAGCACCCTAGAAAGGTCATAAGAATGCAGCGCTCAGGGCGGTGGGGTGATTTACTCAGAGTCACACAGCCAAGGCGTGCCGCTGCTGGGGTGTTGAACTCAGGCCATGGTTTTGTTTGTCTTTGGAGGTGCTATTTTCCCCTCCCATGGTATTTTTCCAGTAAGATAGGGATTTACTCATCAGTTCTTAAAAGGCTTGAAGGGCTTGGGTGGTGGGGATCAAACCAACCGTCTTCTGTTCAGAAGGGCCACAGAGGATGATTGTTTTCAATTGATACATAGTTGACGATTTTTGGTTTCATGCTGGATTTTCAAACAGATTATGAAAAATTAACCTAAGAGCCCCTGTGTGTCAGGGATCATTGATTCTGTTGATTCCTTGGGATTTCCTCTACAAACTGATAAGCTATCCCTTCTTCGATTGTGTCCTGTCCAGGTAGTACTCGTATGACCCAGAAGCCAGCTCTCCTCTCTGACTCACTGTCTTGTCAGGAGGATGGAGATGATGACAGCTGCCCTGGGGAGGCGAGAGGCAGCGTGGCTTCAGCATGGGGGCGGCTCTGTTTCTGCCATCACCATCCCCGCTTCACCTGCTGCGGGCGCCAAGAGCCCGCCTCAGCCACATGTGGGCTTTTAGCCTCTGATCCCCAGTTTCCCTCTGACTCTTGTCTGAGCGCATTGGCTCCTTCAGCATCTCCAGCTGTGCTGGGAGGGGTGGGGCCTGCCTCGGGGGCCTTCTGGCATTCAGCAGATTGGACTTCCCATGTTGACGTTGCTGACTGCAGGGGGTGTGGGTCAGGGGTCTTCCAGGTTGTGGTGTTACCTTGGAGCGAGGCTGGGGTGAGGGGCTCTGGGTTTCCACAGACTTAATTCTGGCTGGCCTCCATCAAGGCCATGTTCAATGAATCAGGCTGTTGTGCAGAGCAGCCTGTGTGCTTTGGACAGGGCTCCCCGCCCGCCCCCCCTTTTTTTTGACTTAAAGAATCTATGGCAAAGCAATTACTGACTGTGACAGTGACCCAAGGTGGTATTTAAAACAAGATGTGGAGGGCAATATGCCTCTCTCTGGGTTCGCCACGGGATCAAGTTGCAGGGGCTGTCACTGGCAACACGCTTCTGCCTGAACGGTTCTGTGGGATGAGCCCCAGGGAGGCGCTGGCAGCCTCACACCCTCCCCTCCCAGTCCCGCCCCTTGTGTTGGCTGCCTTTGTTTCTCCAAGACGGTTTTCTGATCAATTAAAATCGTGTAGGGTCTTAAATGGTAATTCTGCCTTTTCAAATAAACAAAGGCGGAGAACAAATGGGAGGGTAAGTTTTAATAAACCTTAGGCATCATTTCCTCCTGCTGTGACACTAAATTTACTTGGATAAAAACAACCTCTTAGATTTACATTTTGATTCTGTTACTGCTTTCATGTGTGCGGGGCTGTCCCACTTCAGATGAAATTTATCCACTTCTTTAAATATTTAGTAGTCTAGCGTGGATGTTAATGAAAGTCTGGCGGTGCTATTTTGAGAATTGCAACAATGATAGTAATTTTCAGTGTCAGATTCCTGCTTCGCAAAGGGAAAGAGGGATGGGAGAAGGGGGAGGGAAAAATGGTTTCAGTTCTAATAGAGTTTGCCATCCGCTGGGCCGTGCCAGACAGATGGGTCATGAATACTGTCTAGACGCTCTCTGCCTGAGCGAAGCCCTGGTCTCTAAGGACACGCAATGAGACGCCGGCTTAAGTAACTGGGGAAAGTCAGGGCAAGCTCTCCTGTAACCAGATAGAAATCAACGTGATCCTGCTTCCTGGGGGAGGCCAAGGGGTGGCCGGGAGGGTGTAGGGAGAGGGGGTGCTAAGAGAAAAGGCCCGCTGTTACTGATCAATTTTAGTGCAAACTTGACAATTATTAGGCATTAGGGAGAGCGTGAAAGGACAGTTGTAGGATGATAACACTATTGATTTAAGCCGTACTGCCCAGAATGCAGAATGATATATTTCAGACCCAGGCTTCAAAGGCCGGAGAGGAGCTGGGGTGAAAAGGAGGATGTTGTCGTGTGTGCTTAAGACGGGAATGCAGCCCGCGGGGTGACCTGCGTTAATTGTGTATATTAACACACTCAGCACTGCTCTTGTGGAAACCGTTGGTCTTGACTGTTCATTTAGCCTCTTAATTTGCAAGGGTTTTAGAGGCTTACCAGGCTTGCTTTCTCTTTTTATGAATTTCTGCGAATTTCTTCATGCTGGGTCTCTTCCGGGCAGCTCCACAACTGGCAGAGCTGTAGGAAAGCGGGTAAAAAAATCCCCAGCGCCTGCCTGGCTGCGCTTGGGTGCCTGCGTAGTCGTGATGCTTGTCTTCCTAATTATTTTCTGAGTGGCGGGGATGGAGTTTATGTGATGTCAGAAGTGAGTTTCTGCTCATGAAGACTCCCAGTGTAAGTGTGGTGGGAGTCGGGAAGGAGATATTGAGGTAAAGATGAGATTGGGGGGCGGAGGCTGGGGGACCACCGATAAGGCGGGAGGTGACGCAGCAGCTTGCCGTTCGGCTGGGAGGTGCTTTGTCGCTTGGTTTGATGGCCGCTAATCACGTCTTGGTCTTGAAAAAAATTATCCAAAAGGGTACTACGGTGAAACTTGGAAGGGACCATCTTTGAGTAACTGAAGAAATAAAGCTGAAGTCTAAAGCTGCCATGAGATACGTCGTGGACTGCAGAGGTGGGTGACCCTCCGAGGGCTGGACTTCTGGATTCATCCTCTGGGCTGGTGCCTCTTTCAGTCATGGCAGCTTTAACATGGGAAAGAAACCCCAACAACCTAAACTTTGCAGTAATCATTTTTTCACTCCTTCATCCATTCTTGTTCTGTCCCAAGAGCTAATAACAGAGGGAAAAGAAGATATTTTTTGCTTCCTTCCCAGAAAGAAAACAGAGATCAAAGATAAAAAATATTTTCAAAGTAGACAATCACTGGAGAGGGAAGAAAGAAATCTTGTTTCAGGAGTTTGCAGTAGTGAGCAGCGAGTGAGTCTGTCCTTTTTCCAGACAGCTCCTAGAAAAATTGCCGTGGTCCTCCGGAAGGTCCAGCTGTCCTTAGAGGGGCACCTTCTTGCCCTAGACCCTTTGCTTGCTGTTCACACCAGGACCATCCACTCAGGGCAGAAACTTTTCATTCCCTGGGATGGCCTGTAGGGAAGGGGCACATGGCAGGGGGCTGGGCTGTGGGCATCAGCACTTCTCCTGCCAGCCATGAGGCCTGGAAGGGGAGCCTTGTGCTAAGTGACACTTAAAATCTTGGGACCATAAAGTGCATCTCCCCATTTCAGAGACTGGTGGCTCAGTGGGGTGACCCCCAGGCTCATACGTGTGCTTGGGAGAGGAGAATCTCAGATTGCCCTGCCTCCTTGAGAAAGGCCCCTGTCTTCCTGCGGGCGTGCACCTGTTCCGGAGAGGGCCCCTGAGCCAGGCTGTCTGCTGTGGATGGCTCTGCCATGGCGCTATCTCCTTCATCCTTATCTATCTCTTCATTGTTAGTGGAGGGTGTTGGGCATCTGTTATTTGCTTTATTCTAAAAATTCAGAGAAAAAGGAACTTGAGCTACACTTCAGGCCTTTTACCCTTAGATCTTGGGGGAAGGTCAGCTATGGTTCCAGGTAGGGTGTACCGCCGCAGGCCCTTGCATGCCAGCTGTTCTCCCTGTCTGGGTTTGGGCAGGTGGTGGGTTCAGGCCCAACCGCTCTCTCTGTCATGGGGCCGGGGTGGTGGCTGAGCCAATCAAGCAAAATGATGGACCTTCCATCACGGGATGTAAGCCCGTGTCTTGACTTCACGTGACTTTTTGTGGAAGGACAGCCAAAGGAACACATTACCGAGAGAGTTCGCTCTTCCATTTGCATAGGCTTTGGAGATAGAAGTGTTGAGTATTGTTTCTTCCTTGGTGAGAGGGGTTGGCATGAACCCAGAATTTTAAATGCCAATCTGACCTTAAAAGGCTGGCAGAGACCCTGCCCTTCCAGGCCTACCCGTGCCTCCCACTGAAGCCCCATGAGGCCTCTAGATCAGCGGCTGCTGCCTCCTCTCACCCTTCTGGTTCAGTGTCTGCTCTCATGTTAGGAGACGTTAACTGGAAATGACAGGACCTGGGGCCAGTGCAGTTAGCTTCTCTCCCCCCACCCCCCCCCCCAAAAAAACACACAAGATCCCAAGACTGATTAGTTTTCATAAGTTGTTGAAGGAGAAATAGTTGTTGAAAGATTATGTCTGGACAGGGGGCTGGAGGGTGTTATAGAGAAAACATGTTTGGGGTAGTCACTTGTGGAAAATTATATGCTGAGTAATACAAAACATCCCATCTCTGGGATACTTCATGGAAGGTATTTTTCTGAGTATTGAATGCGTGAGAGGCATGGGCTGGGCTCTATGGGCAGGTGCAGGGCTGCAGGGGCTAGGTGACATGGGAGGGTGCAGTGTGTGTGAGACGGAGGCTTTGCCTCCCAGCTTTGTTCTGTCCAGTGCTAAGTGGTGTCCTTGAGAAGGCCCACAAAGTTGTGGCACGTATCTGCAGTGCCAGTATGCAGGACAGAAGGAACATCTTACTAAGCCTGGGTGCTCAGGGAGGCCACCATCATGGGCTGGCAGGGTCTGGAGAACCCCTGCTCTTCAGGGGGAGTGTCGTGGGGAGACGCCTGGGCAGGGATGCCACATAGGCTTGTCATGGAAGCTTGCGGGGAGGGGAGGGCTGACTTTGAGGAGCACCACTAGAAAGGTAGGTGGGGTCAGATTCTAGAAAGCCAGGGATGTCAGGCCAGATCGCTTTCATTCTCTTTCATGAAGGAAGTCATTGAAGGTTTTTGAGCAAGAGAGGCTACGACACAAAGCTGTTGTATAGCCGGAAGGTCCTTAGAGATGGCTTAGTTTAGTTCTGCACTCAGGAAAGGAAACTGAAGCCTGAGATTACGTGACCACTTCAAGGTCACAAAAATAGTCTTTGGCAGAAGTCCTAATATGTATGTTTCTAGTCTGTCTGGGCTACTATTACCAAATACCATAGACTGTGATATGGTTTGGCTATTTGTCCCCTCCAAATCTCATGTTGAGATGTAAGCCCCAGTGCTGGAGGTGGGGCCAGGCGGGAGGTGTTTGGGTCATGGGGACGGATTCCTTGTGGCTTGGTGCTGTCCTTGAGGTAGTGAGTGAGTTCTCACAAGGTCTGGTTGTTCAGGTGTACGGCACCTCCCCCCTCACTCCTTGCTTCTGCTTCCCAGTGTGAGATACCAGTCCCCTTTTACCTTGCATGATGAGTGGAAGCTCCCTGAGGCTCCCTGGAAGCAGATGTCAACACTATGCCTCCTTATGTAGCCTGCAGAACCCAGAGCCAATTAAGCCTCTTTTCTTTATAAATTACCCAATCTCAGATATTCCTTTATAGCAATGCAAGAGATGGCCTAATACAGATGGGATGGCTTATAAACAATCAAAATGTGCATCTTACATGTCTGGAGGCTGGGAAGTCCAGGATCAAGGTGCTGCCGGACTCAGTGTCTGGCGAGGGCTTGCATCCAGGCTCACAGACCGTGCCTTCTGGCTATGTGCTTACATGGCAGAAGGGGAAGGAAGCACTCTGAGGTCTCTTTCCCATGGGCATGAATCCCAATCCTGAGGGCTCTGCCTTCATGACTGAATGCCTCCCAAAGGTCTCACCTCCTAAGCTTGTCACTCAGGGGTTAGGATTTCAACATATGACTTTGGGGGTGGGGAGAGAGTACAAAAACTTTCAGAGCCTAGCAGTGCTTCCCATTTCTTAGGACAGTTCTCCTTCCACTAGACCCTGTCCTCACACCAACTTGTCAGGTTAGGCAGTGTCAGGGTGGCAGGAGGAAATCACCCGGAAGGACCCTCCCTTGCAGAGTAGGCAGCCTATGGTGAACGTGGCGTGTGCCCCTGAGAGTAGGGACTGGGCCTAGCTAGGAAGGCTGTCAGAGGGGCAGGTCCCCAGTAGCTGTGCCTTTGGGATTATGTAAAAAAGGGTTTGGAGGAATCCACATGAAAGCCACAGCAGGAGATGAATAGGGAGGGAAGTCAGAGTGTGCCCGGCACAGCAGGGTCCCAGTGTGGTGTCCCCAGTTTTGGGGTTCACGGTGGCAGCGGCGGCTCCTGGCCACCCTCCTTGCAGCGCTTGGAGGATGCAGCGGGTGCAGACTGGGTGCCGTGGAGGGGGGCGAGGAGGAGTCTGGGGCTATCTCCTGGCAGAGGGATAGCTCAGCAAAGGTGGTGGGTGCACTAGAGAGAGAGGAGGACCCCTGTGAGCAAGTCTCTGCGAGGGTAGGATCGAGCCTAGAGAGTGGAGATGTGGACGGAAGAACTCCAGTGCACAGGAGGAGACTCTTCTGAAGCTGGAAAGGAGGAAGGCGGGAGTCCTTGCTCCTGGGCAGAGCTGCTGCTATGAGTCAGCCTGGGGCTGGGGAGTTGGAAAAATACCGACATAGGAGGGATCTGCAGTCCTGACAGTCAGCATCTTGGTCATGCTCTGCAGTGTTCAAAAGAGCTTTCTGCGTGTATGAACTTCTCTCCACAATTCCACCAGGTCGCGTGTTTACTAATTGCTAAGTGCTTTACTTGAGTCATCTCATTTAATTGTTAGAACAACCATATGTGATAAGAACTCATCGGACCCCTCCTTAGGATTAAGGAGGTCAGTGGCAATGAGTCCAGCCTCAGCCTGAGGGGTGACCCCCAGCGAGAACCTCCAGGAAGGCCAGAGGCAACGTCCTGGGGCAAGTGAGGGGGACCACGGGGGATGCTACATGGAATGCTGCTTTCCAAGTGCAAATGACCAGGGAGAGAAAGGGCACAGAGATGGGCTTGTGCTCTGCTCAGCATGGGGAGCACCGCAGGGGTGCACATGAGCGAGCGTGAGGTCACGGGATTTGCATCATGTGCAAATGAAATGCAGGAATCACAGGGACAGTCATCGTTTTAAAAGAAGCAGGACCCCGGTATCTTGCCCTTTGAAAACAGATGATGGTGGACTTTGTTTTGCATTGCTCCTGGTGTGCCTGTGGTTGCGTGCACGTGCTCGCGTTTTGGAAATGAGGAGGCCCGTGAACTGGTGTCCTGCTGTGTGTGAACTTGGGGTGTGAGGTTCGAAAGGAGCAGGACCCTTCATGATGTTTTTCTTGGAGGCCCAGCCCTGAAACTTGTTTGTGTCATACATGACAATGGATTTGTGCACTTTTTGTATCACAGGAATGAGTTAAAATCAAGAGTCAGCAGCTCCGCTACTCCGTAGTGACCTTGGTTTATTAACACCTCAAGCCTGGTTTTTCGCAGCTGCCGGCAAGGAAGGCAGGTTTGATCCCTGGAGTCACTTGTGACGCAAAAAAAAAGCATTCTGAAATGGTGACTTGACCTCTGTTATTAACTTTAATGAGATAAATATTAGATGGAACATTTAGCCAAGAGAGGTGTTTCTTTGTAAATAGTGTTATTATTTTCAGGTGTCTGAGAGAGACGTTGATCAGGGCATGCGATGTCTTTGAGCCCCCGCTGAGATGAGAGCCCCAGCTCTGAGCAGTGCCCACCCATCCTCTGCAGGGCGCCCGGTGCTCCACCTGCCCTTCCCTCTGTTGCCCCTCATTACCTCCCAGCCCCGTCCCCAGTACTGCTGTGTAATCTGTTCAGTGGGGACAATAATGACGCAATGTGTGATCCAGAGTCTAGCACCTCGTGGCGCCTTGATGGAAATAGAAAGCTGTGATCACAGCATTAAAATATGCTAACAGGCTGCGGGAGCTAATGGGCGCCGTGTTCACACTGCAGATGTTCATTCCGGCGCTGCCGCCGACTGCGGGGACAGAGCCGGAGGCTGCGCCGTGCACACCCAGCTTCTCATGGTGGTTTTGTTTATTGCCGGGGTGTTCTCCAAAAGGGGCATCCTGCCTCCTTTATAAGGTGTGCTGTCTTTCTGGCTCTGCGATGATATAAGACCCCTTTTTGTCTGACTGTTAGATGCGCAAGCAGACTCAGTGTTCACGTGGAGGGAATGTTAGCAATGATAACAGGGTGCAGTCGTTTGATGAAAATAAATTGGATTTTATCCTGTTTGTGGTTAATGTTTATCTAGTTGGAGTTTCTGAGCACTAGAAAGGGGTTCCAAATGCATTGTCTAAATTTGTGAAAGAATTCCAGTATACCACATTTAAAGGGATGATTTAAGTGCATTATATTAAGTTGTGAATAATATGGAATTTTGAGTGTCTGGCTTGCAGTGCTGTCTTCCATTTGCTTCCTGGGTCGGCCTGGGAAATGACTCCATTCTCTTCATCATCTTTGCCCTTATTACTAGCCAGGCACCTCACTCCTTATTTTCGTGCTCTTACTTTGGGGAAATCCATCGGATGAAACATACACTCAGTGAGTAGACAAGGCAGCCAGAGGCTATCTGCTTACAGGTGGGTGGCTTTGTCCACGCTGAAGGATGCCTGTCTCTGCAGAGAGGGTAGCAGCAGGACATGCCTGGCCCGGGATGGCCATCCACCTGAGCCACAGGTCTGGGCACAGGCACAGATGAGCTGGGAAAGGGGCTGGCCTGGTCCAGAAGGTGCTGGAGGGCAGAGAGGCACTGTGTTGCTGTGACAGTCCCTGATGAATGGGGATGTGTGGGATGTCATGTTGCCTTTGGAGATCAGACCACTCCAAGCCCTCAGCAGCAGCCTTGGTCCTGATGTGTTCATTCATCAGGCATCCCACTTGGCTGCGCACAGTGCTGGATCACCTGCGGCGGGAGCAGGGCATGCGCCCTGGTGGGTGCTCAGTCCGCGTTTGTTGAGTGGATGATCACAACCCTGCAAACATGTCACTGAGCTAGGCAGTCCAAAGGGTGTCCCTCCAAGGGAGGCGAAGCTGGTGGATGCTGGACACCTGTATGTGCAGGAGCTGGGGGCTGGGGAGGGGGCATAGGTGCTGCCTGGGAGAGGCACCAGGTGTCCTGGCACCAGGACCAGGGATGTTCCTCAGGCTGGGCTGGCAGACAGGTCATTTTACCCAGTGGGCACTTAGGCAGGAGGCCTGGGGTTTCCAGGCTTTTTGGGGGCTTATGCAAATATTGCAGACCTGAAAAAAATTCTGCTTCCAAGATAGGCAGCGAAAACTGCCAAATTAAAATGCACACATTTAATTAAATGTTGACAAAACGTGATGGCTTGTCAAATAGTCACCTGCAATTCATTGTCTCAAGTGGGATGTGGTGCTTTTTCCTGGGTTTGATGTGACATCTATGAGGCCCGTAAAGGTCATGAGATGCCCTTGGGTAGCCATGGTGAGAAGAGGCTGGAGGCTGCAGGGGCACCTGCTCCTGCTGAGCAGGTAGAGGAGACACTAGGAGCAGCTCAGCATCCCCCCACAGCCTGGACGGCTCTGAGGGTGGGTCGTCATTCCCTCTGATGAGCTGGGCCGGATCACTTGAGATACAGGCAGAAGGTGGAGAGGGGGCCAAGTCATGTCCTCCCCGTGGCTGGGGCAGAGCTGTGCATCTGGCTTCCTCCTTCCACACAGCCCCAGGGAAGATATCCGGGGGCTTGGCAACCTCCCCTTCAGCTGCATTCAGCCCCACACCGGGTGCCATTTCTGGTGATCTAACATACAATTGAGCAACTCTTGGTGGTGCTAAGATAAATGGATGATAAATTGCAGTTGTATATTTTTAAGATTATGAAGAAAGCAAACATTTAAAATACAAGCCTGTTTATTAGTCTGTTTTACTCAGAGCCCCAGCTTCCGAAGTCTGGTTGCCCTGAATTCCATGTAGAAGTCCTGCCGGGACTTCTGGCAGGAGCGCCCGCCATGTCCCGCGCTGTCTGCATTGTTAGGAAACGTGTCCTTGCTTGGCTCCCAGCATATGGAGGAGAAGTGAATGTGTCACTGCTGTGGCAGGAACACATCTTCCAAGAACTAAGGGACATCTTGTCACGGACTCCTAGGCAGGAAACAGGGCAGAGTTCCAGGTGTCAGGTGCTGTGGTTTGAGGTGTGAATAAATAATTACCAAAATGACTGGCTGTGGTGGGGAACGAGGAGCATGTACACGTTTTGCCTGAAAGTGGGAGCCTGAGTGTTAGCATGGTCCCCCCGCCGTCTGCCTGCCTTCCTGAGCGTGCCACATCTACACGGGGGTGCCCCTTCCTGACCGGGGTGCCCTCTCTCGCCTTCCCTCCTGCTCCCTGTGCACCTTGCCAGGGTTTCCCTGGGCAGCTCTGGTGAAGGGCGTGCGTCACGCTATCCAGGCCCTCTCCACGCCTCAGTGGCCAGTTGCCTTTCCTTTCTTTCTCTTTCTATGATGCTCCTGTATTGCCCCTGGATTCCTCTAACCCACATCATGTTGGATTTTAATTATGTGTTTAATGACTTCTCTCTTACTAGATTATGAGTAAATCCCTCCAAGGGAGGGTCTGTGTTTTGTTTATTTTTGGTCCCTGAATGTCCAGTGCAGGGTCCATGTGCATGCACATATACACACAAATCCATCAGATACACATGTATTCATAATAAGTTTGCTTTTTAAAAGGGTATTTTATATAAATAGAAATGGGAAACTATTATATTTGCAGACATGAACCAATGTATGCTATCAGTGCGGGTTTGAGCCCCAGCTTCAGGCTCAGTAAATCATAGGTCAGCAGAACAATGCCACCCATTTTTCTTGGGATATGTGGTTTTTTCTAGATTCTGTGGCTTACAGTGCTATCCAAAATTCCTTCCACTCCTCCTTCACCTCCTTTCTCAGCTCCCAGGATTTCTGTCTGCCTGGGGAAAACCCTCACCCTGTGTTTTTCCTCTGGTGTGAGAGCAGAGAACAGTCATCCACATAGAAGAACACTTCTGTGGCCTAGTGTGTGGGGCTTCCCCACAGCCCAGCAGTGGACACCTGCTGTAGTGTCAGCTCCACAGGCCGGGGGGTCAGTCCCCAAGGCTGCCCCTCAGACTCCAGTTGCAAGTCCAGGCCTCAGGAATTTCTGACCGACTGGCTTCAGGTTGGGGTTCTCACAACCCCCTTGCTATGTTTGATTAATTTGCTGGGGGGTGCTCACAGAACTCAGGGAAACACATGTTTACATTTACCAGTTTGCTCCAAGGATATTGCAAAGGACACAGATGAAGGGCTGCGTGGGGCAGGGCATGGGGAAGATGTGGAGTCCTGTGCCCTCCCTGGGCACCCCCCTCCAAGAGCCTCTGCATGTTCCGCCATCCAGAAGCTCCCTGAACCCTGTCCTCTTGGATTTTTATGGGCGCTTCTTGATGTCAGCTTTCTTCCCCGCTGGTGGGGATGGGGCCTTCTCTGAGGAGGATCGTATGAGCAACAGGAAAGGCTGGAGGAGAGAGATGTTTTGCCTGGCAGCTGAAAGGCGGACAGAAAGGACAGGAGAAGGTTGGGGAAGTTCTGTTTCCTGAGGCCTGACGCACCCGACCTTCTAACAGAAGACTGTAACAGGGCTGTGGGGTACACAAGCCAGGTGCCGTGGAGGAAAGCCTGTAGATAGATCCACATCACGGCACCACCACTTCTCCCCGTGGTTCACAGGCCCTCCCCAAGCATCCCAGGGCCCTCTGCTGTGAAGGCGGCTCCCCCTGCCTCGCTACCTGGGCCCCCGCTCCCCTGTGCAGTGTGCTTATTTCAGTGCTGGTCTGACTTGCTCTTTGTGGTGGTAAGCTCCATGAAGGCAGGACCATGCTCAGGGAGTTTCCTGTCCTTCACTGCCCCAGGGATGTGGCAAATACTTAATCAGTGTTTGCCTATGGAGTGAACAGGTCCATGAATGGTCTTGGAAAATGATGTATCCCAGCACCATGGTGGTGGTCATTCATACGTGTTCTCATGACTTCTTTGCTTTTCCTAATGGTGAGTTCGGTAGGCCAATTCATTTCTTGCTGAAAAGTGTGGTAAAGGCAAGTCTCCTAACTGGACCAAGACTACAGCCTGCAGAACGCGCAGGGCCTGGGCATGGGGAAGCACGGATGAGGAGCCTGCTGCTGATGCTGAGCAGGAGCCGTGGAGGGGTCTACACCACTCTGCTGACTCTGCGTGATGAGGATTCAAAATGCCATTCACGCAAAACAAATTTAGCAACTAAGAAGTAGAGCGGCGCGCTGCTTTAGAAGCACTATGTGTTAGCAGGTGTGGTACACACCTGACTTTGCTTCTGTGGCTGAGGAAGGGGAATGAGTCTTCTGTGCGTAAATCTTTCCACAAGCACCATCCTGGGTGTCCTGCCTGACCAGACTTGTGAGCCAGGGCCAGGTTGAAGCATGTGCCCAGGTGAAAATTATGCATTATTTATTCATGTGAGCAACTCTGCGCCTATTTTGAAACATTCACTGCTTTGTTTTGTTTGTTTTGTCTAATTGCATGAAAGATGTGGTAGGCAGAATAATGCCCCCCAACAAAAGGTGTCCACTTCTTAATCCCTGGAACCTGTGAATATGTTACCTTACTAGCAAAAGGGACTTTACAGATATGACTAAGGCTAAGGACCTTGAGTTGCAGAAATTATCCTGGACCATCCAGGCAGGCCTGGAGACATGAGTCCTCTAAAAACAGAGACTCTTTCCCAGCTGTGCTCAGAACCAGAGGTGACCACCAAAGAGAGATCAGAGCCATGCCATGTGAAAAGGACTTGACTTGCCATTGCTGGCTTTCCAGATGATGAAGGGGCCTCAAGCCAAGGAATGTGGGCAGCTTCTAGAAGATGGAAAAGGCAAACAAATATTCTCCCCTAGAGCTCTGGGAAGGAACACAGCTCTGCCACCTCCTTGATTTTCACCCAGTGAAATTAGTTTTGGATTCCCAACCTGTAGAACTGTAAAGTAACAAATTTGTGTTTTAAGGCCAGGTGTGGTGGCTCACGCCTGTAATCTCAGCACTTTGGTTTTGGAAGGCCGAGGTGGGAGAATCATTTGAGGCCAGGAGTTCGAAACCAGCTTGGGCAACATAGTGAGACTCCATCTCTACACCAAAAAAAAAAAAAAAAAAAAAAAAAAAAAAAAGCCAGGCATGGTAGGTTATGCTTGTGGTGCCAGCTACTCCGGAGGCTGAGGCAGGAGGATCACTTGAGCCTAGGAGCTTGAGGTTACAGTGAGCTATGATTGTGCCACTGCACTCCAGCCTGGTAACAGACTGAGACTTAGTCTGAAAAAGAAAGAAAAATTAAAAAATAACATTTGGTGTTTTTTTTTTCTTTTTGTTTTTGTTTTCCTGAGATGGAGTCTTACTCTGTCGCCCAGGCTGGAGTGCAGTGTGTGATCTCAGCTCACTGCAACCTCCACCTCCTGGATTCAAGCCATTCTCTTGCCTCAGTCTCCCAAGTAGCTGGAATTATAGGTGCCCGCAACCACGCCCGGCTCATTTTTGTATTTTTTGTAGAGATGGGGTTTCACCATGTTGGCCAGGCTGGTCTCAAACTCCTGGCCTCAGGTAATCTGCCCACCTCAGCCTCCCAAAGTGCTGGGATTACAGCTGTGAGCCACCGCACCCGGTCAAATTCGGTGTTTTAAGCCACTGAGTTTGTATAGCTTGTTATAGCAGCAATAGGGAAGAGATACATATGGCTTTGTCTATAGAAAGATATTGCTTAAATAAAAAGAAGAAAACCCTTCCAGGTCTACATTTTCTCAGGCAGTGCTTGCGCTTTAAGGAGCACGTGCAGGATATTTACATCAGCAGCAAGTATATGAATCGTAGCCTAGTCTCATCGTTAGAGGTGCATAAACTCAAGGTAAGCATACCCTAAGTTTCCGCTCAAGGTCATACCCTGGCTCCAGCCCTGTCACATGGTTAATGTTCCACAGCCAGTGACTGAGCTGGAGCCAGGGCCACTGCCCCCACGTCGTCACGCCATGGTCATTGTCATTTCACTGCAGTTTCTCCAGCTTCCTTTTGAAGAGGAACACAAAGGAGAGGTGCTTTGCAAGGATACAGTATATTATAAGAATAGGGACATGTTTGAAACTAGTAGTTAATGAACATTATTTTCCTAAATTCATAGCTTTTATTTTGTTTTTTTTAAGAGACAGGGCCTCACTCTCTTGCCTAGGCTTGAGTGCAGTGGCGCTATCACAATTCACTGCATCTTTGAACTTCTGGGCTCAAGGGATCCTTCTGTCTCAGCCTCCTGAGTAGCTGGAACTACAGGCACACGCCACCATGCCTGGCTAATTTTTGTGTTTTTTGTAGAGATGGGGTCTCACCGTTTTGCCCAGGCTGAGCTGGAACTCCGGGCACAAGCAGTCCTCCTGCCTCAGCCTCCCAAAGTGCTGGGATTACAGGCATGAGCCATGCACCCGTCCTTAACTGATAGTTTTAGAGCAGTCCATTAGAGTGGACCCATGTCATCTGACGAAGCCATGTGTCTGTTTTGTATTTTCTAAGAGATTTGGTGCTGAGTAAAGAAAAAGAAAATTCTTCATATCTGATGAGAAGGTAGTGCTGTTGAGAGAGACCAAAAAAGGACAATTAGTGATGAGGGTATTTAAGGCAGACAGTTCATACCTCCTGAGTTTTTGGAACATGTGTCTCTCTTTGGTAAAATATTTTGGGGATAATCCCTATTATATGTGTATTTAATTATTTTAATATTATATACATATACTATTATAAACTTCCTAAGATAAACACAAAATTATAGATTTTGCTGAAGAGCAAAATAAAAATAAAATTGTTCTCCCCTTTTCTTCCAACACCAAATGAATCAGCCCACTGGGGTGTAGTAGGCAGCTCTGCCTGGAACTGCCTGCCATGCCGCCCTCTGTGTGCCTGGAACAGCCTGCCATGCTGCCGTCTGCATGGCCGGGGCCCTTCTGCAGCCCCCACTGCACCAACCTTTGTCCGCCTTTATTGTTGGTGAACACAGTGCCCACCTCACCATGCTGGGGTGGCCTGGCTTGCTGTCTCTTGAGTACCGTGGGAACTGAGGCGGGCTGGCCTTGTCTCCCCAGCGCCTGCTCACAGAAGGTGCCCCATGATGTCTGTCGTGCAGATGAATGTGTCCACGCGTGCTGGGCTAGTACAGAAGATCGGTAGGCAGGGGTCTTCGTGGCCAGGGCCTGAGGAGGACCGATAGCCTTGGGGACTGCATGGGTTTTGAGAGTCTGGGGGAACCAGGGGGAAGTAGGAGGACATAGTAAACAAAGGTCAAGAAGAGCGAGGAAGACGTGGGGATGGGGACACGTACCTGACTGAGGAAAATGGATTCTAGGAACACAAACGTCATTGAAGAAGGAGAGTGTGTGTTACTGGTTGAGGGTGTCCTGGTCCTTGGCATCTTGAACAAATAATCAGACAAAACACACAAACAAAGCAAGGAAAGAATAAAGCAACAAAAGCAGAGATTTATTGAAAACGAAAGTACACTCCACAGGGTGGTAGCATGCCCTAGCAAGCGGCTCCTGAGCCCGGTTACAGAATTTTCTCCGCTTTAAAGACTCTCTAGCGGTTTCCCATTGGTTACTTGGTGTACACCCTATGTAAATTAACTAGTGGCCTTTGATCAGTCTGATTGGTTGCAGGAAGGGGCCAATCAGAGGCTGAAGCAAAGTTACAAAGTTACACCCTATGCAAATGTCTGATTGGTTGCAGAAAGTGACCAATCAGAGGCTAAAGTGAAGTTACAAAGTTATACTCCTATGCAAGACTTGGCCCCTGACCAGCCTGATTGGTTGTGGGAGGGGTCCAGTCAGAGGTACTTTCAATTTTTCATCTGCCACACAGAAAAAGTGGGAGGGGGCAGGGTTGCAAGGGAGTAGCCTCTGGTCCTTGTGTTACTTGGGCATGGAAAGTTGGGGTTTTCCTTTTGATTTAGTTCTAGGAAGTCGGTGTGAATCGGCCTTAGGTTCCCTTCCTCCAGATCCTATTCTCCTGCCTCATGGGGTCACTGCTTGCCTGGGTGGATGAGCTGGAGCTTCATTCTGTGAAAGCAGTGGGCTGGCTTCAGATCCCGTGACAGCTGCAAGCACAGCAGAACCAAGGCAGGCACTTGTGGACTTCTTCACTGGCCTCAAAAAAGCAGGTGGTGTTGTCAACTGTGGTTACACTGGACAGAAAGAACACTGTTACCAGGGGCCAGGTGTGCAACAGTTCTGACTAGGGCCGTGGGAGTAAGGCCGGGAAGCAAGGGGTCCATGCAGTTACTCTGAGCTGAGACGAGCAGGCTGACCGCTAGACTGGGGGCCACAGGGGGACGGGCCAGGGATGCATCCAGGTGTCAAGCCAGGGTGCATGGTAATGTGACTCTCCAGACCACACAGCCAGGTAGGGGGCTGGTTTTCAGGATGAGATACCAACTTTGGTCTAAGAGAGGTGACTTCTACATAGGGCTGTGAGACAGGCACTGTTCAATAAGCAGTTGGAACTAATTTTTTTGGATTTTAATGATTCCAAAAAAGAAATCTGGGAGCTACAGAATTAGCATTTATCTTCTTCCCTTAACTGATACAAATTCTTCTATGCCAAGCCTTGAAGAGCGCCCAAGAAAGGCGTATATCAATGCGGAAGGTGGGAGTCCAGGAGGCCAGTGTGGGCTCAGTCATGGTGGCTGTCACGGGCGGAGCAGGGACAGCAAGGATGTCTCCCAGAAATGCAGAGAGCCTGAGCAGAGCCCCGCCTGGGAGCTTTTCTACAACAATGTAGCCAGAGAGGTTCAGCCTTTCCAGTGGGGGGCAGCTCGTGGCCTAGACTCGGTGAGGATAGTATACTCTCACGCGGAGATGTTCCTGGAAGCCTCACACACCTGTGGCCATGCTGTGGTGGCCTTTGCAGGGCTCTCTAGGGCAAGCTGAAGGCAGATCCCGACTGCCAGGGGCAGCAGCCAGGGATGGCTTACAGGGCAAGCAGAGCATTTTCCTACCTGTGGTCCCGCTGGGGGGCCCGAGACCAAGAATCTCCACGAAACAATTGGTGACCCCTGAAGATGCCACACCGGGTTTCTAGAATCACACGTGATGTGTGTGTGCACCTAGGGAATGGGAGCTCTTCCTGGGTGTGGCCATGTCCCCCCTGGACTCCTAAAGGTTGGCCTTATGGGATGGGTGACAACCAGCTGCCAGGCTCCCTCCCTGTCCCCCAGTTCTCCTTTTCTCTATTCCCTTCCTGTACCTCTTTTGGAGGCCATGCTGCCTGCCCACCCGCCTCCCTGGAGGTGTGCAGCCCCCTGAGCCTGGGGTTCAGAAGAGCAAACCCACCGGCATCCCAGGGCACCTGCCTGACGAAGGGAACAGGATGCCTTCTCTGCATTCCCTTCGTTGCCCTAAGTTAACACTATAGCTCCATTCTGTTATTTTTGTGCTCAAACAGGCTTAAAAACAGTTGTTAACACATATTCTCATCTCCCAAATTGTCATTTTTTTGAGATGGCAAGGAATACATCACGCCTTTGGATGGCTTTAATTTACATCATCTAGTGTTCACCTCATTCACACGATTCTGATACTTATTTCTAATTCTGAGTAACTAACGGCAGGTGACAGGGCAGTCACCCAACAGCGTATAGCACCTTGGGGCTTCACAGAAAGAGCCCTGCATGAGGACCTGTGTGTCACCCACACTTCAGGCCAGCTTGACAGCCACCCCCGCCTTTAGGGAGCTGCAGCAGCTAAGAAACATGTACTGCAGAATAAGAGAAAAGGACCCAAGATTGCTTTTTAAAAATGTGTTTCTTAACTTGTTCTTTGGCATAATTTCTGCATTAATGGATAGTACTTCTCAGCCTTTCATGAAATTTCTGCCTCTTATATGTGGAGAAAACAGAGGCTGTTTTAAATTATAAAGGAAAGCTTTAATCTAGTCCAAGAAACTGGGGGAAATAGACTTCTTTTCTCGCTTTCAGCCCCATTTCCCTACCTAATGTTAAATATGGCTATTTCTCCCAATTTAGAGGGTTTTCTTTGTAGAATATGAATGAGCTATTTACTGGGTAACAAAAAGACAAGCCTTTCAAGTACAAATGGAGCTTTGGAGATCTCTCAATTTGAAAGACTAATCTCTGCATAAACACAACTGTTTCTCCATATTGCTGGGAACACTCCATCTATCTGTTTGGCCACATTTTCTATTATGGTTTTTATAAAATGAAACGATGGCTAATAGCTCAGCAGAGAAGTATTTGGGCACAGTAGCAATAGGGATGTGTTTACATTGCTTTAAACTGTGTTGTGAGCAAAGAATAGTAATTTTCTATAGAAATTGCTCTAATCTGATCAGTAGAATTAGGCATTGCATATTTTCATTTCTGTACCTTTATCGGAGCTTATGTCAACTAATAATCTCATTTAGATACTTGGGTTTTTCATATTAAATATCTGGTTATACCTGCTATATCTTTCAGCCTCAAAACTCTTAGATCAGGTCTTCCTTTTTCTTTACACAAGTGGATAGCAGATGTGACAATACCACTGTCTGCCACAGGGAATAATTTGAGGGGCCACCGTGTGTCTAGAACCTTCCACAGGGAAGTGCACCTGAATGTGGAAAGATGGTGCCATTGCTCTTAGAAATGCCCTTTAGGGCTGACAGAGCCTGACTTTTTTTTTTTTTTTTTTCACATCGCTGTAGATGGGGCTTTTGAAACCCTCCTTCCCTTCAGCCCCCACCCCCACCCCCACCCCAAGGTTTTAGGACAAAATGGGATGAGTGAATTCATGGCTTGACAGACTGAACAGAAAAATGAGGCTCCGTGCTCCATATTCATGTGCATCTGCCCCTCATGGTGACATGCTAATTGGTTGGCCGGTGCACAAGACAAGGAAGTGCAGGTTTCCTGTTGCTCACACAGTGCTTCCTGTCTGCTGTGGCAGGAGCCGGGAGGAAGGGAGCGAGCCAAGAGGGGTGCTGCCCACCGGAAACGATGGCGCGAGGCCGCAGAGCTAAATGGGGGCCTCTCCAGGGAGTGCTCTGTTCACGGCTCCATCGCTGTTAGTAAGTATCTTGTGATTTCGGAATTTAAATGAGGTTGTGTTTAACCTGCATAACATCTGGCTTTTAAAATCTGACTTTATTTTCCTTTTATTTCTGTGCATCGGCTCAGGCACACTTAGTGGTTGCTTAGGTGTTGAAGTCAGGTTACCAAACAGCACGCCCTCTCTTTATTCTCAGGCTGCGTGTTTCATTGATTCTGAAGGTCAGATGGCTGTGTTCAAGTTCTGTTAGTATATTGGTGTCAGAAATGAAAAGATGATGTAACCCTTTATAACTTCTTAAAGGCTCATATCATGTCAGGAAATTAACCTGTAGGAGTTATGGACAAATGCCCATCCTGATGATTTTCAGCCATGAAAATGAGTAAAGGGGAGATGGGCATACGAAAGGCTGCATGTGTTGAGCATTTGATTTTGGAGGAGGATGCATTTGTTGTTTGATGGAGTCTACGACCTTGCCCTCATTCCAAAGGGCAGCCTTTGGCCCTGGGCATGCCCTCATTGGCTCACAACACCTACAAACCATACAACATTTGGCATCAGGGTTGTATCTGTTGGTGGAGGACACAACGCCAAAAGGAAATGGGATTTCCTGGTTAGGCCTGCGGCTTGGCAGATGATTGTTATGGGAAAGACACTGAGTCTGTTTAGGCAATTTCTTCCTCTTTACTAATAAAGTGTTCCTATTTTGAAAGCAATGCTGAGTTGTGGACATGTGTATAAACCGTAATGCTGTAAGTTAGGCCTCTCTTGTCTAGAATCTCAGCCTCTTCATACTCTCTCCCCCTTTTTTGCCATATTATTTTCCTTATCACTAACTATATATTTTACCTGTCTCACTTACTATCTGTCTCTCCTCTCAGAGTGTTACTCCAGGAGGGCAGAGATAACTGTTTAGTCCAGGCTGTGCCTTCGGTGCTCAAAATAATGCCTGGGTGCAAAATAAATATATCTTGAATGAAATAATGAAGTAATCTTTAAAATGGTGCTCCGAGCATAATTTTCATATAGTAACACATAGTTTGCAATTAGTTGTCTCTTTCAGGGATAATGGAATTGTTCAACATAAGAAAATCAGGCCTGGGCACGGTGGCTCAGGCCTGTAATCCCAGCACTTTGGGAGGCTGAGGTGGGCAGATCATTTGAACCCAGGAGTTCAAGACTAACCTGGGCAACATGGCAAAAGCCTGTTTCTACAAAAAATACAAAATTAGCTGGGGGTGGTGGCGGGTCCCTTTGGTCCCAGCTACTTGGGAGGCTGAGGTGGGAGGATCACCTGAGCCTAAGAGGTTGAGGCTGCAGTGAGCTGTGATCATGCCAGTGCACTCCAGCCTGGGTCACAGAGTGAGACCTTGTTTCACCAAAAAAAAAAAAAAAAGGAAAATCAAACAATATAATATACCACATTTATAGAATGAAAGAAAAAAAATGAGATCTTCTCAATAGACACAGAAAAGGCATTTGACAAACTCTTAACCTTCTTTGATTATAAAAACACACAAAAACCTAGAAATAGAAGGAACTTCTTCAACAAGATAAAAGGCATGTCCTCGTCCAGCTGGGTGCCTCTAACAAAATACCATATACGAGGTGGCCTGTAAACAACAGAGGTTTATTTCTCATTGTTCTGGAGGTCGGAAGTCTGAGATCGGGGCACCACCAGATTCTGTGTCTGGTGGGGGCCTGTTTCCTGGTTCATAGATGGAACATTCTTGTTATATCTTCACATGGTGGAAGGGGCCAGCCAGCTCTCTGGGATCTCTTTTATAAGGACACTAATCCCATTTATGAGGGCTCCGCCCTCATGACCTAATCACCTCCTGAAGGCTCCACTTCCTAATATCCTCACATTGGTAATTAGGTTTCAACATGTGAGTTGTAGTGGGGCACAAACATTCAGTCTATAGCAGGGTATTTATGAAAAACCTACTAATACCATACTCAGTGGTGAAAGCTTTAAACCCTAAGACAAGGAACAAGAGAGGATACCCACTTTTACCAATGCTGTTCAACATTGTACTCCAGGTTCTAGCCAGAGCAACTAGACAAGAAAAAGAAATAAAAGGCATCCAATTGCAAAGAAAAGAATGAAAACTATCCCTGTTCAAAAATGACATGATCTTATGTATAGAGTATCTCCGAGATGCCACAAGAAAGCTACTAGAACAAATAGATGAATTCAGCAGAATTGCTGGGAACAACATCAACATGCAAAAATCAAGTGTGTTTCTATACATGTGCCATGAACAATCTGAAAAGGAAATTAACAAAGTCATTTCATTTAAATTAGCTCTAAAAGAATAAAATACCTAGAAGTAAATTTAACCCAGGAAGAAAGATTTGTACACTGAAAACAATACAAAATATTGCTGAAAGAAATTAAAGAATACCTAATTAAATGGAAAGACGTTCCATATTCATGGGTAAGAAGACTTAGTATAGCTAACACATAAATACTACCTAAAGCCATCTACAGATGCAATACAATCCCTATCAAAATTCTAACAGCCTTTCACTTTTGCAAAAGCTGATCTTAAGATTCATATAGAATTTCAAGGCACACCTTACAGCCAACACACTCTTGAGAAAGAACAAAGTCAGAGGACTCACACTTCCCAGTTTCAAAATTTACAAAAGTACTGTAATCAACACGGTGTGGCGTGGACTTCAGGATAGATGCATAGACCTATGAAGAGAACTGAGAGTCCGGACATCCACACAGCTATGGCTGGATGATTGGATGATTTTTGATAAGGGCTCCAAGTCCATTTAATGGGAAAGAATAGTCTTTTCAACAAATGATGCTGGGGCAACTGGGTTCCTGCATCAAAAGAAGGGAGTTGGACCCTATCTCATATCAGGTACAAAAATTAGCTTGAAATGTATCAACGACTTACATTTAAGAGCCAAGAGCATAAAATTCGTAGGAGAAAACATAGGGGTAAGTTTTCATGATGTTGGATATGGCAGTGGATTCTTAGCTATAACACCCAAAGTATGAACAACAAAAGAAAAAAAAACAGATAAATTTGACTTTATCAAAATGAAAGACTTGTGTGCATCCAAAGACATTATTAAGAGAGTAAAAAGACATCCTACAAAATGGGAGAAAATATTTGCAAGTCATTTATCTGATGAAGGCTTATTATTCAGAATATATAAAGGACTGCAAATCAAAACCCCAATGAGATACCATCCCACACCAGTCAGAATGGCGATCATTAAAAAGTCAGGAAACAACAGGTGCTGGAGAGGATGTGGAGAAATAGGAACACTTTTACACTGTTGGTGGGACTGTAAACTAGTTCAACCATTGTGGAAGTCAGTGTGGCGATTCCTCAAGGATCTAGAACTAGAAATACCATTTGACCCAGCAATCCCATTACTGGGTGTATACCCAAAGGAATATAAATCATGCTGCTATAAAGACACATGCACATGTATGTTTATTGCGGCACTATTCACAATAGCAAAGACTTAGAACCAACCCAAATGTCCAACAACGATAGACTGGATTAAGAAAATGTGGCACATATACACCATGGAATACTATACAGCCATAAAAAATGATGAGTTCATGTCCTTTGTAGGGACATGGATGAAGCTGGAAACCATCATTCTCAGCAAACTATTGCAAGGACAAAAAACCAAACACTGCATGTTCTCACTCATAGGTGGGAATTGAATAATGAGAAGACATGGACACAGGAAGGGGAACATCACACACCGGGGCCTGTTGTGGGGTGGGGGGAGGGGGGAGGGATAGCATTAGGAGATATACCTAATGTTAAATGACGAGTTAATGGGTGCAGCACACCAACATGGCACGTGTATACATATGTAACTAACCTGCACATTGTGCACATGTACCCTAAAACTTAAAGTATAATAATAATAAAAAAAGAACTACTAAAAGACTCAACAACAAAAGGACAAATAACCAAACACAAAAATGGGCAAAGGGCTTAAATAGACATTTATCCAAAGAAGATATGCAATGACCAATAAACAAATGAAAACATACCAAGTATTCTTAGTTATTTGAGAAAGGAAAATCAAAACCACAATGAGATACCACTTCACACCTACCAGAGGGGTTATGATTTTAAAAATCAGAAAATAACAAGCATTGGCAAAGATGTGGAGAAATTGGAACCCCTTTTTATTACTGATAGGAGTTTACAACGATGCAGCTACTATGGAAAACAGTTTGATGGTTTCTCTACAAGTTAAACATACAATTACCATATGATGCAACAATTCCACTCCCAGGTGTACAACCAAAATAATTGAAAACAAGGACCGGAACAGATATTTGTACCCACTGTTCATTACAGCATTATTCACAATGGCCAGAGAGTGGAAATAACTTACAAGTCTATCAACTGATGAAGAGATAAAAAATGTGGTATATACACGTGATGAAATATTACTCAGCCATAAAAAGGAATGAAGTTTGGATGAACCTTGGAAAACATTATGCTAAGTGGAATAAGCCAGTGACTAAAATATAAGATATGACAAATATATGATACTGCTTATATGAAATATCTAGCATACACAAGGTCAGAGAGACAGGAAGTGGATTAGAGGTTACCAGGAGCTTGGAGGAGGGAAGAATTGAGACTTTACTGCTTGATGGTTACAGAGTTTTGTGTTCAGGGAAGAGATTTGGAAATGGATGGTGGTGACAGTTGCACAACAGTGCAAATGTTAGTAACACCACTGAATTGTGTCTCAGTTACTGGGAGGCTGAAGAGGGAGGATTCTTTGAGCCAGGGATTTGGAGGCTGGCCTGGGCAACATAGTGAGACTCCATCTCTAAAAATAAATCTAATAATGATTAAAGTGGCAACATTTGTTATATATATTTTACTACAATAAAAAGTTAGAAAAAATCGTGGGACTATTTGGAGTGCAATTAACAACATTGAGTTTTATTTCTCCTTCTCCAGACTAACATCTAACAGGTCTGTGGATCAGAAATGATGGTGGAGCAGTTGCCCTTTGACATAGCGATAGACCGTGTGGAAATGGTATTCAGTAAGCCCTTGACATCCAAAGGGGTGCACATGCAGACCTTTGCAAATCTCCAATAGAGGGCTGCAGAAATGTTTGTAGAGTCTCTTGACTTTCTTCAGACTCATATTTTCATAGAGAAATAAGTGTTTCCTGCGTATTTTCTCACCTGCAAGTTTAATCTCTCATGAATGGTTGTGTTTCATGAGGAAATAAAGTTTTCAGCACTTTGGAAGTGTGTATAAGGATGGTTAGAAAATCATACTGTCAGGTTGAGATGTGGATTCTCATCCTTCCGCCGGCACCTCACCAACCCAGCACTTGGCCACCATCCTTGTGGCACGTAATTCATGTCTGCCACAGCAAAATAGCCAATGTCCTGGAGCCCTGAGCCCTGTGAGATGTGTAGGAAGTCACCCTGCCCCTGTCTGGCATCTAGTATGAGCTCTAGGCATGTTTGTTGATTGAGTTAGTGAGTCAGTCACTGTCAGTCAGAGGCACATGCTGGGATGTGTTGCGGGAAGTGGATCGCTGACCCTCTGGTCATGGCACTCCCGCCTTCCTGCTCTGGTATGGGCCTGGATGAGGGTGCAAGGGTGTCTGCTGGGGTCAGTTCTGCTTCCCCAGATCCCAGCCACCCTCCTCAGCCACACACAGCACTGACCTCACTCCCCATGCGCTGCCCTGCTCTCAACTTCCACTTCTCCCCAGTGTCTTGGGCAAGCAGAGTGCCCACAAAGACCCCTGTTAGGACGCAATGCCTAGCAGGGGTCTTTGTGGCCCTGGTAACCGCCCTCTCCCTCTCCACCGGCCACTGCAGCTGCATTCACCTCTCCACGCCCAGGCTGCCCTGGTGAAAAGAAGCTCGTTTGTAGACAAAGTGTGGGAGTGTCTTTACTGTGGGTGAAAGAGCAAACTTGGGGATCTCTTTGCAAAGTGCTGGAGATTGTTAATGATGTCATAATTAGTAGGCAGCACTCAAAGTGTTATGACATCATTAACCAGTGATTGTTGTACTCCGTGGCCTTTCTAACTGGCTTGTGATTGGGCCCCAAGGCTGCCTGGCCCTCCGTGAGACCATGTCTGAATAGATACCTGAGAGTTAGACCCATGCGCTGGGTCTGGCTGAGGCTGTGTGTAGATCACAGCAGCGTGAGCACTGGCTGTACCTTTGCCCTGTCCTGCTGCTCTCACTGTCTGCTGTGTCGGGACACTGAGCAGAAGTGGCGGTGGAATGCACACAGCACAGCGTGTCACAGTGCGCATGGGCTCCCCACTGGAAGGGATGTAGCATTGTTTTTCTTTCGTAATGGAGAGAAGAGGGGAAGAAAAGGCCCAGGCACTGGTTCTCCAACTCTTGTACATCCGGTCACTGTCCTGAGATTCAGAAGGTCTGGGGTGTTCTGAGAATTTGCATTTCTGACAAGTTTGCAGAGAGTAATGCTGATGCTGCTGGTTCAGGGACCCACTCGGAGAGTCAGTGGCCTGGAGCACTGGAGGGCTCCGTGGAGCTGGGGAGGGTGGAGGGATGACGGCCTCGGGATGGCACAAGGAGGTGCCGGGTGAAGAGGAGGTGCCGGAGGCAGGATGGAGCAGCTCACAGTGGTACCTGGGATGGCCCCGTGGCTTCTGCCAAGCCAAATTCTCCTGTTTCATAAGAATTGCTCACCGGTGAGACTCCATTTTTCTTGAAGAACAGTGTTGTTTGTTTTATTTTATTTTCTTTCAGGCATATATAGAATCTTTGGCACTATAAAAAGCATTTACCGCATAATTAATATCTAATTGTTCCCAGAGAAGACACAATCTTATAAGGGGAAGTCATGGGAAGAAGGAAGCTCTGGTCATAAAAACACGATTTCCACCTTCTGTGCAGAGAAACTGCACTCTTAATTGTAGGCAGAAGGGTTTCGTTTGGGTGACTTCATCTTCACCACTGGAAGACGCTGCCCACCTCCCAGCCAACCCCCTCCCCAGACCGAGGGTGGACGGGCCTGGCCGTCAGGGAAGGCCTCGCATTGTGCCATCCAGCCGGGGCTTGGCCATGGCCAGTCTGAGGCAGTGTGGGCTCCTGCGCCTGTTGTCTTTGAAGTCCCTGCAACCAGATCAGCTCTCTGCTCTCTGAGATCCCAGGGCTGTCGAGCTCATTGAAGCCTGCAAATGGGACAGCACTGGCCTTCCTCCTTTTCATTCAGCCACTGGACGGGGCTGGCCCACGAGCCAGCAGATAAAAGAAGTCATTTAAGCTTTGATTTCAGATAAAAGACTTGAGGTTCATGAAATGCTCCAGCATAACAGTGCAGCTTCTGTTCTGTGCTGCAAAACACATTAGAATACAAACAAAGGGGCTGCTCCGTGGAGCCTGCAGGATCCCGACCCTGTCCAGGCTGGGTGCCAGGTCTGAGGGTTTGGGCGTCCTCTCCGCCAATGAGAAATCCACCTGGCGGCCTCCTCTGTCCTGTTCACCCACCCACTCCCATCCACTCTGTCTTCTTACCTTAATTTGCACCTACTTGGCCTTAATGTTGGCAGAAAGGTTACGGAGAGACAGTTTAAGGTCAAGTGCAATAAAATGATTTCATTTACACATCACAGAGGTCCCTGGTTAATACACTGCAGAATGTTCTATTCTCATGAATAATCTTGCTTCACAAACATACTCCTTGTTTGTTTTCACTGGGTAGAAAGGGACAGGTTTCATAGTTAACAGCGAGCACATCTGAGCAAACACGTACCTCTTTTTCTTGAGTAATGTGTAGAGAACATTTTGTGGTAGTGTTTATGTCTGTCTTTTGCAAACGTTAGAAGATAGTGTTAATTCTTTACTCATCATCTCAGTATGTCATTATCATTCTCTGAACAGCATTTGTTTGTAGAAGTCAACATTAATTAATCTTCTCAACTGAAATGAAAATACTTTATGGGAATACACTGAGAACCCCCCGCCCCCGCCTGCCAGCACATCAGATGGATTGAAGCATTTGAAGGCAGAATATAGTTCACAGAAAAAGCAAACCTAATTATAACCTAAAGATCATACATCAGGTGAGTTATGTTCATTTCAAAACAGAGACATTAAAAATGTGTCTTCTTCTTGCCCAGGCAAAAATCCCACAAGGGTAAGAAAGAGCACGTGGCCTGGATTCTTCATCCCATCTCCAGCTTCTCTAGTTGTTTATTGTAGGCATTTATCCCATAGTCTAGGTGTTTCTGCATGAAAATCATATCACAGCCAGACAGATTCAAAAACCTAGTGGGGGCTGGGCACTGTGGCTCATGCCTGTAATCCCAGCACTTTGGGAAGCTGAGGCAGGATGATAGCTTAAGGCCAGGAGTTTGAGTCTCTACAAAAAGTAAAAATTAGCTGGGTGTAGTGATGCATCTGCAGTAGTCCCAGCTACTCAGGAGGCTGAGGTGGGAGGCTTGCTTGAGCCCAGTTGGAGGCTGCAGTGAGCTATGATCGTGTCACTACACTCCAGTCTGGGCAGCACAGTAAGATCCCATCTCATATATATATATATATATATATATATATATATATATATATATAACGTTTACATTTTATATATATTTATAATATACATATTATACAGGGGCGGGGCTTATACACCAGATCCAAATTCAAACACTTTCTTTTTGAGAGACGCAACCTCAGGCCCCAAAGTGAAGTTCCTGAGAGCCTGTGGCATTTGTCTCTGATCCAGGAACCACCTTAACCCCAGACAAATAGGACCCATGCTCTTGCTGATGTGGTTTGGCTCTGTGTCCCACCAGATCTGTTGCTGAATTGTAATCCTCAGCATTGAAAGTGGAGTCTGGTAGGAGGTGGTTGGACCATGGGGGTGGTTTCTTGTGAATGACTTAGCACCATCTGTTTGGTGCTGTTGTCGTGGTAGTGAGTTCTCATGAGGTTCGGTTGTTTGAAAGTGTGCAGAACCCGCCTCGTGCTCTTTCTCTCCTGCATTAGCCATTAAGATGTGCTTGCTCCCCCTTTGCCTTCGCCATGATTGGAAGCTTCCTGAGGCTTCCCCAGAGGCAGAAGCCACTATGCTTCCTGTACAGGCCCCTGCAGAACTGTGAGCCAGTTAAACCTCTTTTTTAATATAAATTACCCAGTTTCAGGTATTTTTGATAGCAGTGTAAGAACAGACTAATACAGCCGCTAAGCCGTGAGGAATCCTCAACCAGCCCAGCCCCTGCAGCCCTTGGGCTGCACATTTCCTAGGTCAGCCTGCAAAAACCCTGAGTCAGACATATCCATCCCAACCTCAGGAGTTAGACACGTGTCAGATTCAAATGGAAGCAACATTGGGAAGCGGCTTCCAGCCCACTGGGTGCAGATCCAAGCCATTGCTCCCTCCATGCAGGACAGAAAGTGATGGTGTGGCCAGTGCAGCAGTCCTGATACCCCAGTGAGGACTTCGGGGCCAGGTGGGTCTTGCTCCCTTCCTCCTGGACCCAGAGGATGGTCTGCAGGGGAGCAGAGGAACTGGGATGGAAGTGAAGCCAGTGCCTGGCCAGAGGGAGAGGGGCCACAGGTGCAGATCATGAGAGTGTCTGGAGACTCCAGAAGTAGAGTTGATTCTACCCCACACCTACCTGGCACCTTGTCTCAAAGACAACAACAACAAACAACAAAAGGTCTTTGTCTCCCGAGGTTAGGATGGCTATGTCTGACTCGGGATTTTTGGGTGGCAGTTAGAGAGGACTCAGGCTGACCCAGGAAATGTGCGGCCCAGGGGCTACAGGTGCTGGGGTTGGTGGAGGATTCCTCATGGTTTAGCATGAGCTGAGTCCTGCTTATCTGGGGTTAAGATGGTTTATGGGTCATAGACAAATGCCATGGGCTCCCAGGAGCCACAGTTTGGGGCCTGAGGGTGCTTGCCCTGGGTCTGGGGTGGCTCCTCTTGATTGCTGGGAAGCACCCAAAGAAGCCTTAGTCACATCCAGTGTTGACGTGACTCCAGAGGGAAGTGGAGCAGACAGGAGCCTCAAGGGTGCAAACGTTAAGTTTGCTGTTTTCAGTCTGTGCTTGGCACTTTCCTCACTAGATCTTTTTCACTTAGGTTAAACAATTCTTTCTCCCAGTATGAGGAATGCCAGATTCACAGTGGTGGCTCTGTTTTTTGTTTTGTTTTAAGAGATGTCTCACTCTGTGGCCCGGAGACAACAGGATCCCTGGAGCCCAGGAGCTCAAGGCTGGTTCACTGCAGCTTTGATCTCCTAGGCTCCAGGAATCCTTGTGGCTCAGCCTCCAGAGTAGCTGGGACTCTGGTGCTCGCCACCACACCCCGCTGATTTTTTTTTTTTTTTTTTTGTAAAGACAGGTTCTTGCTGTGTTGGCCAGGCTGGTCTTAAGCAGTCCTCCTGCCTCAGCCTCCTAAAGTGCTGGGATTACCGGCATGAGCCACTGGGCCCTGCCTGGCTGTTCTGTTTTGTATCAATTAATGCAGTGTGTTTTGTGGCCAATGTCCTGGGTGTCTTTGTAGCTTATGGTGCACACGGACTCCCATTACCCTAAAACACAAGAAATCTTGTGAACAGCCAACAAGACCTGGCCTCTTCCCTCCAGAATTCACAGCCTCATCAGGAGTACATATGAAACAGCTAGCTCACAATAAGCAGCCGTGCATGACTCCATGCTAAACTGTGTGGTGCAAATAATAAAAGACACAGTCATCAAAGGAGTCAAGGACAATGGTGTAGAAAGGTGGGGTATGACTGTGCTTCTGACTCTAAGGAAGAAGAAAGGACATTGCAGAGGAACGAAAGAATTTGAGCAAAGGGATGGAGGAGGAAATGGAAATGGTCTGATCACAGGTGCCCAGGAGATCGGCCTCATTGGAACAGGGTGTTTGTCAGGGGAACGGGAGGTCAGCCTCATTAGAATGGGGTGTTTGTCAGGGGAATCTGAGATATAGTTTGGATTAATCCGGGGGGACCAGACTGAAGGGTCTGTAAATCTGTAACAGATTTAAAACTCGGTATGTTGGCACATGGATGCCTTAAGTGCCTGTGGCTTCCTTATGGAAGGGGCTCTGCTTTGTGGGTGAGAGGTGGCAAAGTCACGTTCAGGGGTCACATCTGGTCCAGACGCATGTTTAACTTGGTGTGTACACCTCACTGTTTTAAAAATGAAGTCCTCAGTGTTTAAAAATTAGAAGTAAATTGCCAACATTAAGACTGAATTAGGAGACTTCATGTTGAAAACCCAGCCTGGGCCGGTGGCCCACATCTGTAATCCCAGCACTTTGGGAGGCTGAGGCAGGAGGATCGCTTGAGTCCAGGAGTTTGAGACCAGCCTGGGCAATGTAGCAAGACCCCACCTCTAAAAAAAGTTAAGAATTAGCCTGGCATGGTGGTGTGCACCTGTAGTTCCAGCTGCTCAGGAGGCTGAGGTGGGAGGATCCCTTGAGCCCAGGAGATCTAGGCGGCAGTGAGCTATGATTACACCACTGTACTCCAGCCTGGGCAACAGAGCAAGAACCTGTCTCAAAAAAAAAAAAAATCCAGTCATATTTCTTGCAAAAAATGGGAAGATGCAGTAGCAGGTGGGCCACGTGTCCCCTGTCCCTAGGCCCTCTCTGTCTCCTCCACACAGAGGCCAAGAGCCTCTGCAGGATCTTGAGGCCCATGATGTTGTTTGCTCACAGCCCACTTCACTCACTGTGGGACCTGCTTGGTGCCTGGTGAGGACTGTTCCTGCCCCTAGATGTGGTCTCCAGCAGATATTTGCTTCAGCTTATATTTTTGGACAAAGGAATGGAGTGACATGGATAATATTTAAATTGGAATGGACTATGCCTTTTATCTGAAAAAGTTCTCTAATTATATTTTTCTTATCCTTTTTGATGTCTCAAGAAAACTCACTAAGATCCGTTTATACAAACATGTTTGAATTTGACCTCACAATGGACTAGGCTTTGTAGGAGACTGAACTCATGGTAATGAATATTAGTAATTTTGGTGGAATTTTTCTGTGGTAAAGAATGAAACAAGGAATACCAGGAGGATTGGGCCCTAATTTTCCCCAGAGGGGTCCTTCTTTTAGGCCTCACTTTATCTTCTAGCAAGACAGCTGTGGTGTTAGACTTCTGCTCCTTGGCCTAAAAAAAGCTGGGGCCCCGACCTTCCTGGGCATGGGCGTTTGTTGATGGAACCATGGTCAGAAGAACAAGGAAGGAGGTCCATGAGGTGGGAAATGCACGCTCACCCGAGAAAGCATCCAGCAGCAGGTCCTCTGTGGCCACCCAGCTGCCTCCATGACCCATGAGAAACAGTAGCAGAATGCTTCTAGAAGAGCCCTCCCACCTGCCTCTATCAGGCGGGATACTTGTCATGCATTTCTCTTCAGTACTGGCAGAAGCCCAAGCGGAGAAAACCTGACTCTGTGCAGGCAGCATGGCTTGGATGTTGATCTTTGGAAACAAAGAGGAGGCTTTCAAAGGCTGAGGGGAGAGCTCAGGTCATGGGATTATGGAAAGGCAATTAGAGGTGTTTTCTAGACCAAGCCCCTCTTTTCATAGCTGAGAAAACTACAGTTTGGAGAGCAAAGAAGTGAGCCCAGGGGATATCTAAGTGCTTAAGTGACCCCGCACCTCTCGCTCCTTTTGATGAGCCATGTTCGCATTTTGGAAGGAGAAAGGGGGTGCAGAAGAGGCGTCTGATGCAGGCCCTGCTGACAGGCAGTCAAGGGCATCCCTCAAGTCGATGTAGTCAAGGGCCAGAGCTGCAGGAAAAATCCAGCAGGCACATCTCACTGGTTAGGGGAAACTGGCGGCTTTTCCGTGGTCCCGGGCTCGGATAATGCATCTCAGATCAACGAAGGATACCAAAGGCAGGTGCTTTTTACTCATCTGCTCCCACTGACTCCTTCGTCCCCCTCCTTCCTGCTTCGGACCTACTTCTGATACAGTGAGGGAGAAAGACAAGAGTGGCAAGACAGTGTATTTTCTCTGGAACATAGTCCATCCTCCCCTCCTCACGGTCTCTGCCTGAGCTCAGAGCCCCATCTGCTTTCCCCCAGACCCTCTTGACTCGGGGTTGTCTGAGAGCCTGCAGCATTGGCATCACCTGGGGCTTGTTGGACATGCTGACTCTTGGATTCCACCCAGGCCTGCTGTAGCATATCTTCTACTGTAACGGAATCGCCAGGTGATGAATATACACATCCAAGTGTTGGTGTGCTGCCCTAGAAGGTCAGGATTAACAGTTGGTATTTTCCCGTTGTCCCAAGCACCTATTCTCCTTTAATCCATTCTGAACATCAACTGGGTTCTAGTTTGAAAACAAAATTCAGCTGTGTCTGTTCTTTGCCTAAAATCCTTGCTTGGCTTCACATTGCTTTTTTCCTATATATCAACAATAAACAAGTGGAATTTGAAATTTAAAGCACAAAACCATTTATAATAGCATGCAAGAAATTAAATACTTAGGTAAATCTAACAAAATATGCATGAGATTTATATGAGGAAAACGACAAAACTGATTAAAGAAGTCAAAGAAGTCAATGGAGAAATATTCCAAGTTCATGGATAGGAAGACTTAATATAGTCAAGATGCCGGTTCTTCCCAAATTCATAAATGGATTCAATGCACTCCTCATAAAAATCCCAGTGAGTTGTTTTTTGGATACGGAAAAACTGATTCTAAAGTTTATATGGAAAGGGAGACTGCCTGGAGTAGCCAACACAGTACTGAAGGGCAAGAGCAAAGGAGGAGAAATGACGCTGCCTGCCTTAAAGACTTACCATAAAGCTACAGGCATCAAGATAGGTTGGCAAAAGAACAGACAGATGGATCAGTTGACAGAGCAGACAGCCCAGAAGCAGATCCACATAAAAATATGGCCTATGAATCTTGACAAAGAAGTAAAGGTAATACGGTGGAGGCAAGATTATCTTTTCAACAAATGGTACTGAAACAGCTGGCTCTCCACATGCACACACAAAAAATTGAATCTAAACATAGACCTTACACTTTTCACAAAAATTAATTCAAAATAGATCACAGGCTTAAATATGAGACATAAAACTTAAAACTCCTAGAAGATAACATAGGAGAAAATCTAGATGACCTCAGGTTTGATGGTGATGTTTTAGATATAATACAAAAGGCATGGGGCATGAAAAAAATAATTGAGAAGCTGCACTTCATTAAAATTAAACATTTCTGCCCTGTGAAAGACACTTTTAAGTCATTGAAAAGAGGGCTGGGTGCAGTGGCCGACATCTGTAATCCCAGCACTTTGGGAGGCCAAGACAGGCGAATCACCTGTTGTCAGGGGTTGGAGACCAGCCTGGCCAACATGGCATAACCCCATCTCTACTAAAAATACAAAAATTAGCTGGACATGGTGGTGGGTGCCTGTAATCCCAGCTACTTGGGAGGCTGAGGCAGGAGAATCGCTTGAACCCGGGAGGCGGAGGCTGCAGCAAGCTGAGATCGCACCATGGCACTCCAGCCTGGGCAACAGAGTGAGACTCCATCTAAAAAAAGAAAGAAAAGAAAAGAAAAGAAAAGCCACAGACTAGAGGAAAATATTTACAGAGACAATCTGATAATGGACCAAACTATACGAAGAACTCTTAAAACTCAACAGTAAGAAAAAAGAAAAAAACCTGATTAAAAAATTGGCCAAAAATTTTAATAGACACCTCACCAAAGAAAATATGCAGATGGAAAATAAGCATATGAAAAGATGCTCCACACCATATGTTATCAGGGAAATGCAAATTAAATAATGAGATCCCACTGTATACCTCTTAGAATGGCCCCAATCCAGAATACTGACAACACCAAGTGCTGGGGAGGATGTGGAGCCACCGGAACTCTCATCTATGGCGGGGGGCAGCCACATTGGAAACAGTTTGACGGTGTCTTTCAAAACTCAGCATAATCTTACCATATGATCCAACAATTGTGCTCCTCGGTATTTACACAGAGGAATTGAAACATTATGTCCACACAGAAACCTTCACATGGAAGTTTATAGCAGCTTTATTCATCATGGCTAAATCTTGGAAGCAACCCAGATGTCCTTCAGTAGGAGAATGGATAACTAAACTGTGGTACATCCAGACAATGAAGTATATTCAGCACTAAAAAGAAATGTGCTTTTTCTTTTCAAGCTATGAAAAGACATGGAGGAAACTTAAATACCTGTGACTAAGTGAAAGAAGCCAGTCTGAAAGCTACGTACAGTGTGAGTCCAACTGTGTGACATTCTGGAATAGGCAAAACTGTAGAGATAGTAAGAAGATCATTGCCAGGGTAGCGGGGAGGGAGGGACGATTAGGAGGAGCACAAAGGATTTTTAGGGCCGTGAGCCTATTCTGTATGGTACTGTAGCAGTAGATCCATGGCAAAATACATTTGTCCAGACCTGTGAGAATGTACAAGAGTGAACCCTAACGAAGGCCACAGACTCTGGGTGATGAAGGAGTGGTGGTGTCCGTCCATCAAGCGTAATGATGCGCCACTCTGTGTGGGATGTGATCATGTGGGAGGCTGTGCGTGTGTTGGGGGTGGGAGGCAGAGAGCACGTGAGAAATCTCTGCATGTTCCTCTCCAATTTTGCTGTGAACCTAAAACTTCTCTAAAAATTAAGTCATAAATTCTGACTGGAGCTTCATTAAGTGGAAGAATGCTTTTAAAGTTAGATTTGGGTCATGATGACAAATGTTAGAAATAAGTGACCTGGAGTAGGAAGTGGAAGGTCATCCAGCCTCACAGACACCCATGACTCCCAGTGAAAACCCACGTCCTGGCTGTCAGCCGTGTCAGCCAGAGCCTTGACTAGTGTGTCAGCATCTAAGAAACATATAACATTGACCTAAGCAAAAGTCCAGCATTCTGGCCTGATCGTTGTCTTCCTGGGAACTCTGGTGTGGGAGCTGTGGATGCACATGTCCTAGGGACGGACATGGGGTGGGGCAGACATGCATGCCAGACAGACAGACACGCCAGTGTGGGCTGCACAATGGCTGAGCCTGACCTGGAAGCTGAGAGCAGTTTGGAACATGTGTGGCTGTCCTCCCGTCATCTTCTGCCCTATCAGAAGATGGGCAAATTCTTCTGCCCTGTTGAGAGTGAACACCCTGCTTTGAGAGGTTGCCTAGCTGGGGAAGCGGGGACAGGACACGTGTCTGGAAGAGGACAGAGTCTTGAGGCAGACACTTCCCTCTCCTGTGCCTCAGCTCTCACCTTGATGCTCCAACTTTGTGGATGGCTTCCTCTGGACAGAAGGGGTGATTCAGGTTCAAAGCCTGAGAAGCGGGGGCACGTGTAGACGCTGACTGTGGCTTGACGCTGACTGCTGTCAGCAACATGATTTCTGAGGCATGTGCTGTGACACGGTTGTGCATGGCCCCGTCTGCTGGGAAGACTTCTGGTGGCCCTCGAGCTGTGACCACCACCCAAGACTGGGCCCCTGTTGTCACTGTTCCTGTCCCCCAGTCTCCACCCCCTCCCCACCGCACGCACCTCTTCTGGGGCAGCAGTGTTCTCTCGCTGGACACCATGGCTCATGTATTCATTCATTCAACAGGCGTTTATCAAGTGCCTGCTCTTAGGCAGGGTCCTGAGCTGGGCCTGAGGCTCTGAAGGGATCCAGGCAGGGCAGCCATGTTCTGTTCTCCATGAGCCCCTCTAGGAAGGGAGGATGGTTAGATTCATCATTATGGGAGTGTCTTGGACAGAAGGCTTCAACTTAGAAAAGATCTCCTGGAGGAAATGACAGAGCGTGAGAGGTGAGTGGAGTTTGCTGGGCAGGAGGGGGAAGGCAGAAGGCTCACAGGGCAGGAGGGCAGAGGGCGGAGCAGGGCTGGAGTGGGGCTGGGGGAGACAGAGTGACTGAAGTGACAGGACTGGAGGGCCTGCAGGGGCAGTGAGGAGCTCTCCAGACTGAGGAGGGAGAGTGAGCGTCTCTGTGGCCGAGGTGGACAGTGGGGAGGCAAGCAGGGACAGGAAGGCCAACGCTGCCTTCCAGGAAGGAGACCCAGTGGGGAAGCCTGGCCTGTAGTGAGGGCTGGGGGCCTGCAGAGAAGGGCAGTGCCTGGGGGCATATCAGGTGGAGAACCAGTGCCAAACTCACACCCCTGGGGACGGTTGCCTCTGAACCCGCTGCCCACCTCACCCCCGACTTTCAGATCCTTCTGCACACACTTCCTCTGCCAGGGACAGGACAGGAGCGCAGGCAGCTGCATAAAAAGGAGGCCCTGCAGACCACGCCATGTGCTTATTCTGTGCAAACCCCACCGTCCCACCTTCCCCACAGCTGACTCCCATGAGCGTGAGCACACGGAAGCTCTGTATTGGCAAAAAACACTCAGCTGAGCAATGAGACAGGGTGATTTATTTACAAGCATTTGAGTATTTCAGTTCCCCCCATCACCACTCAGAAACAAAAGTGAAAATTGAGGCCAATTGCATGGGAAGGAGCACAGCATGCCTGAGAGGGCCGGGTCAGAGCTGTCCCATGGGGACTGCAGGGGCCGCCTCTCTGAGCCCCATCAGTCTGTGTGGAGAGGGACCCCTCAATGAGGAGATGAGTGGACTCAAGAGCAGACAATGGACTGGGACTAAGTTCCTATGGGCCCTGGGGGAGGTAGTGACAAGTTATGGGAAGGTGAGGGGTGGAAGTGCACTGTGAACAAAGGTTGTCTAATTATGCAGATTAAGTCTCTCAGGTAACAGCCCTTTAGTTGAAAGAATAGGTGAAGTCTGTCCTGGGCATGGAGACTTTGAGTTTTCTCTCCTATGTTAAGAGTTAATTTTCTGTGATTAATATAAATCCTAGGGAGGGGAGTCTAAGACAAATGCATTCCTTCCAGAGGAACTTCCCTAGGTCAGATGAGGGACCTTCAGAGAGAGCCCACCCCCATGCTTCAGAAGGGAAAGAGGGCAAGGAAGCAAGGTGGAGAGAGGCCTTGGTTCTGAGCTTATTTCTGAGGCCTTTCAATCTCCATTGTTCAAAGCAGTCAGCATGCCAGAGCACCATATCTTGGGGTGTTGTTTTCTGAGCGCATGTTTTCAGGACAGGTTTTATCCCTGGTCTCAAACCCATCTCTCCACAGAGAGAATATATTGAGCCCCAGTCCTTTTGGCTCAGCATCTAGCCAGACCTGCCACAACACGGCTCTGTAGTTACTGAGTTTCTCACTGTGTTCTTGGGCTCTCAGCTTTAACTGGTGTGCTGAGAACTGAGTTCTCTTCCTTGAAGCTCCCATCTCCAAGTCTAGTCCTCGATCTTTGCTGTGGAAACCTTTGTGAAACACTTGTGCTGCCCCTGCCTGGACAGACCCCTGGACCCGGGGGTCATGTCAGGCATCACGCAGCAGTGTGGCTGCCTGTCTGCTGTGCTAAGAACCCTGAGCCTTCAGCCAGCATGGTGGGTGGGAGCCCTGGGGTTGGTCACATCTATCCTGAGTGGGGCTGAGGCATGTGGGTGCTGTGCCTCTCTTCCAGGCTTCTGGCCCCTAGTCGGCAAGCTAGGATGTGTTTGCCGGATGCTTACCAAACGCCAGATACTGTGCGTGTTGTATCATTTAATCTTCCCCATCTCTGTGAGGGTAGACGTTATCTCCACTTTGCAGATCAGAAAAGTGGGACTCAGAGAAATGAGACCCTTTCCCAAGCAGCTCAGACAGGAAGGTGTTGTGGGCAGGTCTTCCCAGGTCTTACCCAGCAGTACTCACTAGCGCTCCGTCTGTTCTGAGCCCCTCCTTCCTGGTCCTATGAAGGTCTCTCTCCTCTCAGTAGCAGGCCCCACATTCAGCTCACTTGCTCTGTCTCCTGCCATCTGCTTCACAGCTCAAGACCCCTGGGCCCCCTGCTTAGCTTAACCCTGGTCTGTCCCTTTCTGACTTGGCCCGTGAGATGTCTATGTTCTCTTTCCCTCCATCCAGGGAAGGAGCAAAAGCCCCTTGCCATCCCTGTGTGACAGCAATGAGGTGAACCCAGGGGCCGAAGCCCACCCAGGGAGTTGATGGTAAGACTCACCTTCGTTTTCCTTCCCCTCCTCAGAAGTGTGGCTCCTTCCTCTGCATTCGCTGGGTGATGCTGGGGTCTGTAGGCTGAGAGGAGCAGGAGATCCAGTGGCAAGGAAGACGAAAACACAGAGCAGGCCAGGCACGTATTTTTGGATTAGTTTTAGAGAACAAGTTCTAAGCTGTGCTTTTTATGTTGCCTTTAGAAAATGTTAAAATACTTTCTAGGCTGGGTGCAGTGGCTTGCGCCTGAGGCAGACGGGTCACTTAAGCCCAGGAGTTTGAGACCATCCTGAGTAACATATGGGGAGACCCTGTCTCTACAAAAAGTAAAAAAATAAAAAAATTAGCTGGGTTCGGTGGTGTGCCAGCTACTCCGAGCTACTTGGGAGGCTGAAGTGGGAGCCTCTGTTGCTGGAGCATCGAGGCTGCAGTGAGGTCATGGCTGCAGTGAGCCATGATCACACCACTGCACTCCAGCCTGGGTGACAGTGAAACCCTGTCTCAAAAAACAAGACCAACGAATCACTTTCTATCTCACTATCTGTATTCTTACAGAAATTTTCTTCTGTAGGAATTAAAAAGATCTGACTCCCCCTGCCCCCACCTGGAGAGACAGGCACTAATGCACATATCTGACCCAGTGCCAGTATCTTCCTTGATTTTTCAAATGGGTGTCAGTAAATGTGAATCGATTTGGATATTTGGGGGTAGATTTAAATATCCCTGGTGGTTATACTAGCTTGCTTAAGCCCACCCTTGGATGCAGTCATATTATTAGATGTATTTAACATGGTAGACGATCACTCTAAAACATTAGAATATAATTTGTATTTCTGCAGCTCTTCTGAGACTTGTAGACAGGCACGTCACCCAGTGGATGAGCTCTATCACGACACCGTCTCCCTATTTGGAGAAATATTCTGCAGCGTATTTACTGACCAATATTTGCTGAATACCTGTTGTTTACTAGGACTTCGCTAAGTATTGGGCATCCAGGGATGTGAGTGGAGAGTGTCGGAGCTCCTGCCTTCCCTCGGTGGACCTGAGCTCCTCGTGGGGAGGACCTGCTTTGTGGGCCTGTGCTTTGCTCTCCAGGTGTCTGGCTGGCACAGTGCTGGCATAACTATTACTGCTTGGAGCTGCCCCTTTTCCACTGACCCCACAAAGCCTCTGGTAGGAGTGTAGTTGGTGGTAGAAACACGGAGTTGGGAGCCAGGAAGGCCTGAGTGAGGGGCTCGGCCTCAGCCACCAGGCTGGGAAACTTGGCCACGTGCCCTCGTGGCTCCTGGGCCTCCGCCTGCTTCCTGTTGGGCATGATGACCCTGTCTGCTCTCCATGTCTGCAGGCCAGGGACATGTATAGGGCATCAGTTCCATGGTACGGCATGACAGTAGTGACCATCCTCATGCTGCTTGTGGCTGCTGCCCCTGCTGCTCTGAACCCACTTGTAGAACAGAGATGTGCCCTGCTGGGCCCGGGGCGTGGCCTGGGATCACCTGCCCACTTGCTGTGTTCTCTCTGCTGGGTGCTTCAGTTTTAGTAACTTAATAATTATCCCTATATGTCACATAGTGCCATCTGTGTGATAGAATTTATGTATCAAGAACCCAGGCCTAGGAGCGGTGGCTCACGCCTGGAATCCCAGCGACTTCAGAGGCTGAGGCAAGAGGATCGCTTGAGCCCAGGAGTTTGAAGCTTCAGTGAGCCATGATCACGCCACCACACTCCAGCCTGGGCGACAGAGCAAGACCTTGTCCCTAAGAAAGATGCCAGGATAAATAAGTATTATCACTACAAAAAATAGGAATAGGAAGCATCAGCTGTGGTTAAAAATGCAAAAGGGTAAAGCTTTATTCATTAACTGCTTTAAAGCGGGACTTTTCCCTTCTCTTCTGGTTTAGCTTTATTCAGAAGCTGCCTCTGCTGAAGTAGCTCTGGGTTACTGATAATTGCTCATGGTTGTGGGGTGCATCCACCATCTGGAAATATCAAGAACTGAGGATTCTAGAAACTGGATTTTAACCCCGTTCTCTGCTCTTCAAACATTAATCATGTTGGGCTGCGGAACCCACATAATGAGGACGTTACTGCAGACGTAGTTCCCTGGGATATGTCACATTGGAGGTGATTTTCTTGTGTCAAGATTATTTTACTACATATTTATTTTTGGTTTGTGACTTTCCCCCTTACTGAAGTAAAACAGTTTCCTTTCTCCAAAGAGTTGGGAATGTAGCAGCTTGGCTAAGCATACAAACAAATAGCAAGTTACAATTTAAAGCCATCTGGAAAGGTTACCAATGAGTTTTGTCACATGTATAGATAGTGCATAAATCATCATCAGAAGGGAATCTGGTGATATGTAGCAGAAGCCACCAGGGCCTGCTCCACCAGGGAGAACGCGGAGCAGCAGAGTCAGCGGAAGGAGTGCCAGTGCGTACACCTCCTCTCTGTTTACAAAGCAAAGCTGCTTGTAAGAAGTGCGCTTGAGGAAAGAGTGCATTTTACATTTCATCACTTCATCACTCTGTTTATTAAAATCTTTGTTGACTTGATATATACATTCAGAAAAGTGCATGTATCAAAAGCTCACTGATTTTTTTATACACTGGAAACACTTGTGTGAAATACCACTGAAGGATTCACTTTAAAATGGTTGTGTATTAATGCAAATTTCACCTCAACAAACAAAAAAAGCCCCAGAACTCAAGCAGCCCCGCAGAGCCCCCTTGAGCTGCATTTTGTTGGAAGTGTCGGGGTGGAATCACCAGGGTCAACGGTTTCCCATTTCCACTCCCGCTGGCACGTCCGCAGACCCCTGCCGGTCCCACACGCACCCCAACGCTTGCTGTCTTCTCATTTCTGCTGGGTGGGTGGTAGTATGATATTGTGGCTTTACTTTGCATTTCCTTGATGTTTAATGAACCTGAGCACCTTTTCATATGCTTCTCAGGCATTTGAAGTTTTATAATAGTTTTAAATAGGGGTCTTTTTTCCTTACATGAAACTTTGATGAGAGTGATCATTTCTTTTTTATTCCCCAACCATGATCCAGTTCAGAAAACATCAAGGACCTTGCTGCCTCTCCAGGAAGTGTAGCAAAAGGCACCTGCCTGCTGTGCTGGGGAAGAGCAGTGGGCCAGGTTAGCCCCCTGTCCCTGGTGTGCTACACTTACAGGTGGGCATTGGGCTGAAGGACTCTCTGGCCCTTGCTGTTGGGTCGGGGATGCAGTCAGAAAGGAGCATGAAGGGCATCTGTCCCGGCAGGGCCATGTGGCCAGACCAGGAAGGGCTGCTCAAAGAAGAACAAAGGCTTCTCTGCCCTGATGGAGATGCTGACACCTTCAGAAAGACGTGTTTGTGGCATCGGCGTCATTTCTTTCTGTGGCTACCAAGGCCGAGAACTTCTCTGTGCTCCACCTCATGGCCAGGGTTCTTACAGCCGCAGGCCTTCTGTGTGCATTAGCTAGCTAACTTGTTTCTTCTTTCATTCATCCAATAAGTATGACTAAACTCCTGCAGTATCTTCAGCATCGGCAATTCCACACTAAATAAGTAAAACCCTTGCCTTCACAGAGATCGAAAACAAACAGGAAAACTGTAATGTCATGTTGGGTGTCTGGAGCTGTGGAGAGAAATGAAGGGGGCCCTGGAGAGCCATGGCTGTGCCAAGGCCAGGGTGGCGTCCTGGAGAACCTGCCTTGGAGTGGAGTGCTGGATCTGGGGAGGGGGGAGTGCTGCTGGGCATTTCATGGACACATAGGCAGGAGGTGGGCAGGAGCACTGAGAGCAAGGGGGAGATGGGAGAGGGCAGGGGCCTGGTCAGGGTCTCAGGGCCCTGGGCGAGGAATTTGAATTGCAGTCCAGGTGAGAGGGATGGGAAGGACAAGGCTTTCAGTGAGCTGCCTGGGCTCTTAGAGAGTGACCCTGGCTCCCTCATGGAAAAGCAGCCATCTGGCCCTTGAGTTCAGCACCTCTCCAAGCTCCTTCCTGTCCCTAGACTGGCAGGGACTTCCAGGGACAGCCTTGGCCCCCTTTCCGCTCTGCCTTGCCATCTCCCATCGCTTGTCATCGCTTCTGTGTTGGGTTTGCCCTCTGGTCCTGTTCCCTAGAGCCATGCTCTGGTCATGAGTGTTACAGGGCCAGGGCAGGGCCTGTCAGGGGAACAGAGTGCAGACCCCCTCTGTGGGCCCCTCTGGGCCCTCGCATCCCACTGCCTTGGAGAGGAGAGAGCAAGATAGAAACAGGTCCTGAGATGAGGTGGCGGCATACAAGCTATCTCACACTTCTGCACCCTTCCAGGTGCGTTTCTGAAATGCATCAATGCTGTGAGATCTACACTGACTTCAGGGATGTGGCAAACCCCCTATTTCTTGTAACCAGCCAGCGACAGTCATTGTGGAGCCCTGCCTGTGCCCCAGGCAGCCCTGTGCACTAAGAAAGCCAGGCCTGGGAGACACTGACTTGTCGTTTGCCTCCAGGCGTTTTTAGTTGTAACAGACTAGTTCTTGTTTCCCATCACCTAGAATCTGTTGATCTGTCTGGATCTTAGTTCCTGAGCCTCCTGCTCTGCAAGACGCACCCTGCACATGCACGCTCACGTGGGGCACACACACCCAGGTGCCCATCATGCCAGCAGGTGCACAGTTGGAGAAATCGACTCCCCAGACCAGACTCCCCAGAGCGCGGGGAGCGGCCAAGTGTCCTCGCACAAACTGGGGTGGAATTGATACAGGGGCCAGGGAGGTCCCTAAACACTAGTGGGACCCTGACCCTAGCCAGCATCCAGGCTCTTGACACTGTTGTGAGAAGGATTTCAAGGATGAGTCAGAAAACAGTGAAAGTACAAAGATTTATTGCAGAGTGAAGAGTACACTCTTGCAAAAAGAAAGTGTGGGGGCAGACTCAAGAGAGCCACAGAATGGGGTTTGGGGCTGCTATCTTTATGGGTTTCTTTAACCGAGGGGTGGAATATTCATGAAAATTCCTGGAAAAAGGTGGAGATTTATTGGAATTGTGGTGCTACCCATTCTTTCTTTCTTTTTTTTTTTTTTGAGTTGGAGTTTCACTCTTGTTGCCCAGGCTGGAGTGCAATGGTTCGATCTTGGCTCACCACAAACTCTGCCTCCCAGGTTCAAGCAATTCTCCTGCCTCAGCCTCCCAAGTAGCTGGGATTATAGGCACACACCACCACACCTGGCTGATTTTGTATTTTAGTAGAGACAGTGTTTCTCCATGTTGGTCAGGCTGGTCTCGAACTCCTGACCTCAGGTGATCCTCCCACCTCGGCCTCCCAAAGTGCTGGGATAACAGGCATGAGCCACCGTGCCTGGCCCAGTGTCACCCATTCTTACACCAAATAAGGGTGTCCTGGAACTGTCATGGTGTTGGTGGTGTGTGATTGAGTGCGTCAGTGAGCAGATAATGAGGTCCGAGGTGAGACCTAGCTCAAATCCAGCTCTGCACTGGGTCCGGTCAGTCTTAGCCAGCTTGGTCCACACCCTGTTTTTCAGGGTCAGGGCCTAGTCACCCTATAGCCTCCAGTTATATGAAACTGTTGCCTGGAATGTGTATTCTTCTGTGACCACCTGTATTATTCCTGTCACAGAATCGTGACACAGCAGCAGCCCTTTCCCAGTGTGTGGGGCACAGTTACATTCCTAGGTGTGGAAGGAAGACCTTTGCTGCATTAAATTATCCCCAGCATCTGTTTGCTGCTTTTAACACGAGTGACTTAAAGGGACATGGGTTAGAAGAAGGAGGGAGGAGATTTGTGCCAGGGATGAAAGAAAATGGCTAAAAGATGAATGAAAGTTGCATATATCTCTTTTTCTTCTGTAAATAACTCATGATAAAAGGGAATAAAATTTAGGTTTTCCCCACTTGGAAGAGACATGGCCAAACGGAGTGTGTGCTTTTCCTAAACCACCGTGAAGGTAGCATGAAAACCAGGCTTGCTCTTCAGAGACTAGGAGGCTCCTGTTTTGGGCACTCCATCTGCCCTGCTGCCGTGAAAGCTCTCGGACCCAAATGGCTTCCTGTGATCCACTGTGGTCTGCTTATTATATTCCCTTCAGCTATGTTTATAACTCTGTCAACAGCCACAGCGTGAGTACCCCAATCGGATAACAATAACCTAAAATTTTAAATGCTCAAAAGTCAGAAACATTTTAAGTGACAATATGATGCTCAAAGGAAATGTCCATTGGAGCATTTTAGATTCAGATTTTTGGATTAGGAAGGTGGATGTATAATAGAATAACTGGTAAGTATAATGCAAGTTTTCAAGATCCAAAAAAGTTCAAAATTCGAAACACTTCTGACTCCAGGCATTTTGGATAAGGGATACCCAACCTATATTATGAAGTGGTAGCAAGAAAATTACATTGAAATGGAACATTTTTTCAGTTTATGTATCCTTTTGTGAGGTTTTTATTTCAAAATATCACAGTCCAAGCCAAAAAATATACGTGGGTGTTTCAGTTTATGAAAACTGTAAGTTATGTTTACTTTTCTATATGTATATATTTTTTTACCTCAATAAAATGATAGCCCCAAACTCTCTTCAACCTTACCTCATCTGTGGTTTATAGACGTTTCCAGGGGAAGTTTTTTAAAATGATGTGTTCCAGAAAGGAGTAAATGGAATATTAAAAGCATGCAGCATGGCCCATTCTGGAGGAGGGCCAGGCTTGTCAGGGAGATGGCAGGATGTGCATTTTTGCACATCCTTGGCTCATTGGCATGGCAGGGAGAGTCCAGCTAAAGCTTCTGCACCCCCTGTCCCCTTTAGATCTGGGCCTCTGTCTCTGGACGATATTCTGTATCTCCAGCCTGAACCTCTCAGATGTTGGAAATTAACCTCAGAGTGAATCACTGGGCTGCCATAGGGATTTAGTTGGACACAGTGGGTGGCCAAGTCGTCTCTGCTCCTCTTCATGGTAGTGGGGGCTGCTCTCTACCATCTAGACCCACCCTCATGGGAAAGGCCGCAGACCCTTACTCAGCCTGTGGGACACCAGGCAGAGTCCCTTGCAGCTGATGGTGAGCTGAGGTGCACTGTATTTCTGCCACAGGGATTTGTTAATGATTTACTTTAAATGTCCACCTGCAGGGTAGCTGGGACGATGAAAGCATCCCAAGACCTCCCTTTTCCATCTGTGGCTGATCACCTCTGGAACCCACAGCTAGCCGGCTGCTCCTCCACTATCAGATGGCGGCTGTCAGTCATGGGCTTGTCACCGAGTGCATCCGTCATGCTCGGGCCATGGGCCGGCACCTGTGTGTGTGTGTCCAGCTTAACGACAGAGATTTTTGGAAAGACGCCCTAAGATAGACATACTTGAAACTGAGTGAGAATAAGTTTGACTTATTTCTTTTTGAGATACTTTATATGTTTGAAATAATTAATAGCTGGCGCCAGTGAATCTAGTTTCTGTCTGTTTCCTTTAAAGATTATATGTAGTGTTGGTGATTGGGATTTAGTAAGCTATATTGAAGATGCTAACGTTTGATTTTATAGCAAAAAAAGAAGCATTTGTGTGGAGCAAGGACGTTTGTATATGAGCAGTCATAAAGTTAATGTCAAGTGGCCCGGCAGGGACTTTTACACCCATTTTACAAAGAACAAGACCCAGAACTAGAGGCCAGGAAAACAGATCTTCTGTTTCTCACCCTGGTACTTTTCCCATCAGGTGACAGTGTTTGGGTCTGCACCACGTCAGGCCAAAGCTTTGCACGTTGGTGCTGTCTGATAATGAAATTTGCAGAACACCACCGGGAGGCTTGCATGAATTGGTGCGAGGAAAAGTAGAGGCGCTTCCATCATTCAATTGATGGATGACTATGAGGCTGACTTTATTGTTCCTAGCACTGAAATCCTGTTTTTCTTGGGTATAATGAATACAGTAGCATGGTTTATGCTACCTTCATAGAGTTTTTGCCCCCCACTGAAAATGCAACTTGTCATTCTCTAAGATCCATGCCACCAAGACCCAAGACACCAAGACAAGACCGATTCGGGCAAGTCTAGCTAGAAACAGGCCACGCTCTTGTCCCCAGAATGGCCAGGACACCATCAGGCCTGAGGGGCACAGAGGAAGGATGCGAGTGGCCTGCCACAGGACTCATCCACCCCAGTGCACGGAAAGGTGAATCCTGGATTTCTCCCCTATTCCCGGGCTGTTGATGGGATCTCATCTTTGTAAAGTTTCTTCTGGTTCCGAGTTGCCTCTGCCGGAAGGGACGTCCTTTCACAGCCCAGCATTGCTGTAATCCGGTGGAGTGGCTGCAGTATTAACAGATGGAGTTGGTCCTCCCTTCCCCCCCGGGTCTGAATCTGCCTGCTCCTGTGCGTTCACTCTTCCTGCAGTCCAGCTGGGGAGTAGCAGCTCCTTGGCAAACACCTTCTTCTCCAGCCCCGTAGAACGCCTGGCCTCATCAAAAAGGCCACAGGATGGCCAATGGGCATTGTCAGACCCTACTCAGGAGTGGGATCTCCACTGACTGGGGCGGCCCTCCAGCAGGTGTCCCAGGGCCTTAGATCCCTCCAGAGAAATGGTAGCTGCTCAGAAGATGGAGCTCTCCTGGAAACTCCTGAGTCACCTGGGCAGTGGGGTGCCCTGGGAGCACCAGGTCATGCCATACCCCCCTTCCTCATTTTCTCCATCCCCACAGCTCCACTCTTCCTGCCTTTCCCTTGAAAATGAGTGTGGCAAATAGAGGAGAACGGGCTGGGTGCAGTGGCTCACACCTGTAATCCTAGCACTTTGGGAGGCTGAGGTGGGAGGATCGCTGTGCTACCAGCCTGGGCAGCATAGCAAGACCCTGTCTTCACAAAAATAAAAATAACAGTAGCTGGGCATGGTTGTGTGTGCCTGTAATCCCAGCAGTTTGGGAGGCTGAGGCAGGAGGATCACTTGAAACCAGGAGATTGAGGCTGCAGCGAGCTGTGATTGCACCACTGTACTGCAGCTTGGGTGAGAGAAAGATCTTGTCTTAAAAAAAAAGGAGAGGATCAAAACACAATCCTTTATCTTCTAAACACCTTGACATATTGCCTACAGCCAAGAAGTTACATTGTTTTCAAGCATTTAAATGCCATTTCCACAAGTCTGCTCATACTGGGAAAGTGTATGTCCTCACCCCAAGGCCAGGCTGACACCCTGGTTCTCCTTTTTAGTCGAGTGAGTCTGTCTTTCTTTTTCTATTTTTTTGCATGACAGTTCTATGTAAAACATGGTCATGAAGGGACTTGTTAAATCATGGAGTCAGCTTTTAGGGCTAGAAAAATTGAGAGAAAATTTACCTTCAAAAAAGTAGGTTGTGGAAGCAATGATCACTAGAAATATTTTATGGAAAAACAAATCATGTTTCCTCTTTTGCACTGTGCACCCCTGAGGCTTCCGGCTTTGGTGTTGCTAAGGTTCTGAGAAGAATGCTGTTCTTAGCTGGTCATCGCTTTATATGCTTTGGAAATATTTTCCAATATTTGAATGGCATCGTTTCATTAAGGCATAGGACACCGTGCCTGACTGGTCACATAAGAGCTTTTCTTCTTTAAGCAAGGAACCAAGAGGGGTGGAGATGAAATGATTTTTTTCCTCCCATCTGGGGCTCAGAGTTGGACATGGCCTCTTTACTTCATCCGTGGCTGGGAAGAGGGGCACAGAACAGCAGAGGGAGGCGGTCAAAGCCCAGCCGTGCCGTCCCTGCCTCCAGCCCCGTGGTCCTTGTCCAGGACCTCACTCAGCCCGTGGGCCCTCTGCTTCCTCCCATCTGTGTGCGGGGCCACCCAGGGGGTCCCCGCTTCTGAGAATCCCTGGCAGGGCCCAGCATGGAGGCGTGTGGTCCAGGCATGGTGACGCGGTGCCGCAATCCTGCCTTATGGTGTGGAGGCCGCCTTCCTGGCCATCCCACAGTGCCTCCTCCTTCCTGGGCTCGGAGCACAGCTGACAGCCAACATGACCTCGACATGAGTTTGGGGAGAAGGAGCAGGGCGGTGGTGATGGCTCTGCTGAGAGGAGGCATCATGGTTGACAGGTGGAAAAGGAAGGTGCAATTAAATATTGACATTCACTGTATCCCAACCTGCTGTCTAGCTTGTCTGACACAAAAGCATATATTCACCGAGAGAGGAAATAAAATCTTCATTCAACTTCTGCTTCAAGGGACATCAGTTAAGCAAAAAATAAAACAGCTTCAGGAAACATATTCATTTCCAGCAGTCTCAGGTGGAGAACTGAGGAACTGGAGTCTAGAGGCTTTTTCCTGATGAGTTCACACTGCAATGTGCCACCGAAACTCTAAAGCCCTTGTCTCAAGCCTACCTCTGAGTTTCATAAAACAAGTCAGATATATCTGCCCTCATAAGACATCTTCGCATTTGCCTGTTTTATAGAAAATATACATTGAGGCTGGGCATGGTGGTGCACACCTGTAATTGCTGCAGTTTGGAAAGCTGAGGTGGGAGGATCCCTTGAGCCCCAGGAGACTAAGGCTGCAGTGAGAAATGATTGCACCACTGCACTCCAGCCTGGAGACAGACATATTTAATAATATAATATATTATTAAAAATATGTATATTCAGTGTATATATACACATACACATTGAATAAATGACACAGTGGGAATTAAGGAAGTTTGGGTGCCCCTAGCGCCTCCCAGGATGAAGGCTTTATCAATGAATTACTAAATGATTGTTCACGAAGTCTTCAACAATGGTCATTTGTAATTCACCCTCTCTTCCTATATGTGTGGTCCTTCAAGGCCGCTTTTTCCTGTTGTTACACTAGTGAGAGGGAACCGAACGGGCTCATATTCAGCTTAAGGCACAAGCGAACCCCGTTTGCCTTCAACCCTGAGACCCGCCTCCCAGCTTGGCAGTTAGGGTGGCCCTTAAGGTCTCATTTGGCATCAAGGAGAGATTTCCAGTCTGCCAAGTTTTCACAGTGAGTGAATCATTGTCTGAGAAAATGACCTCTGAATATACATATATGGGACTATTCAGAAGGGCTATGCAGCAGGATTCAGAGGAAAGACTATTAAAATTCCAGTGTACACCAGTAAATCTACAGTTTCATCATAAATTACAATCAGGAATCATTTTGTCTCATGGCCTCGCTCCCTGCGTGGGGAGGTGGTTTCAGTTCCAGGGCCAGCGAGGCGAATACGGTGCGGGGAGGGCTCTGAGAAAGGAACAGAACCCAAATCACTTTCCTTCTTTAGTTGACGAATCTCAGGGCTTAAAATGCTACAAACAATTGAGATTGTAAATGTATCTCGTCTGTTTCTCTGAGCCTGCCTTCAGTCAACAAATGTTTTCTATTCACCAGCCTAAGAAGCAGCTTTGGTGCTGTCCCTTGCGGGATCCCACTTAGTTATCTTTTAGAGGAAATACCAAGGCATATTTCCCCCATTCCTGAAGTATAAGATGGTGTCACTAATACTGTGGCTTAGTAAAATGGGAAGAAATACACTGAGGATTCTGAAATCTTCCCTCAGCTGCCTTGAAGAATTGGGTCAATAACCTTTAGAGTGGTGAAGATGGCTCAGGAATAGATTAATAGACTCACAAATTCTAGAACAAGAGAAGACTTCAAAGGTCGTAGGGCCCAGCCCTGTCTTTTGGAAGTCGAGTTACTAATTTTGTACTGAGATGGCGACTGAAACTCGGAGGATTGTTTCTCTGCCTGGATCATACGGCAACGTCACCAGCACTGCCACTGCGCAGTGTTCAGAGAGCGCGAAGACCTCCATCACCTTCTAGCTCAGTCGGGTCGCCTCGGCCTCCAGCTGCCGGGCCCTTGTGGAGTTTCTTCCCACGGATTTTTCATCCTCCCCAGCTCCCCAGGCCCCTTCTAAACCCTGTAATACACTGCAGGTTCTTCTGGCGCTCCCACCACCCGCCTGGCCTCCCTTCTCTGCCTCGAGGAGATTTGGCTGCGTATAGAGGAACAGGGAAGGTGAGTATGCAGGGGACAGGTACCAGCTGTTTGCCATGGGTACCAGTGAGGGCACAGGAGGAAGTGAGTGCTGTGGTGGCTTTGGAGATTAGGTTAATCATAAGGAAATAAATCCTGAGTCGTGGAGACTGTCAGGAAATCGTGTGCGTTGTTCAGGAAGATGGTGGAGTCTGTTCCTCTGGAAACACAAAACATCCACCTTAAAAATGTGGCGGCCTTACTTGCCCAGAACAATTTTAGTGGGGTCTGGCCTGAAGTCAGGGGGTGGATTAGATGACCCCAGTCTCTTCTTGATTCTATTAAAAGATTTTCAGGGGATGAGGTTTCTACAGGCAATAGCACAGTCTAATGCTTAACAAATCTTTTGTTGAAGATTTTTAATACCATCTTTTCATCTGACCTAAATCTTTCGTGTGGAAGTTGAGCCATGTCCCCTGTGGAGAGGAAGAACGGAGGAGATCGAAATTCAGCCTTTAAAGTACCCAGTTAAATTTAGTGTTTCGAATTAGGGAGACTCAAGCATCAGCACCGAACTGGGTCACGTCATTTGATGTTTTCCGAGAGGAGGACACCACAGAAATCTGACTCTTGGTTCTGGTATCAGAGTCAAAGTCCCCCATACTCGAGGTTAATAAAGGGATTGGGAGGTGGGAGGGAAAGGGTGTGATTTCAAGGTTTGTGGCAGTTACCACAAAACCACTGCATTAATGCAAACCAGAATTAAAACCACATAGTATAAAATGTCATGCCCACACGTCTATTTGTCCAGCAAATCTCAAGGCAGCCAGCCCGAACCTGGGCACCCCAGTGGACTTGAAGACAGGTGAAGCCAAGCAACCTCAGAATGAGAACTTCCCCATTAATAACCTTTAAACATGACCTTTCATTAGCTTAACAAAACCTAAGAAATGCGCATGTATTCAAGAAAAGCAGTAAGTAAGATGAATTACTGTGTTTTAAGCCATAATGTTCAATTAATTAGTAATTTCCATCCAGCCTGCTGCCTGACTCATAATGAGCATTCTCTAGTCTAAATAAAGTGGAGACTGCTTAGTTACAGAGCATTTTATTTAGCTTCCTTTTATTTCAACTTAAAGAAGGGTTCTTTTTATTTTTTAGAGATGGGGTCTCACTCTCTCACCCAGGCTGGAGTGCAGTGATCACAGCTCCCTGCAGTCTTGACTTCCTGGGCTCAAGCAATCCTCCTGCCTCAGCCTCCGGAATAGCTGGGACTACCGGGACATGCCACCATGCCTAGCTAATTTGTTTGTTTTTTTTGTAGAGACAAGGTCTCACTATGTTGCCCAGGCTGGTCATGAACTCCTGGCCTCAAGTGATCCTCCTGCCTCGGCCTCCCAAAGTGCTGGGATTATAGGCCTGAGCCACTGGGCCTGGCAAAAGGGTGGCTCTTGTAGTGTTTTTTTTTTTTCCTTCTTTTTTCACATGCCTGCTGTGTCAGTCTTGTAATGTTTTTAAAAGGCTGACTACTGTGTATTTTTAACCCTTTTTAATTATTACCATTTTTCAGAAGTAGTTCACTAAGACTTTGTAAGAAGGTGCAAGTGGCTTTCATGCCATAATACCAGGTCAAAACACATATGGGGGAGCCTTAATTTTCTTTTATGTGAGGAAAGCCCTCCCTTTGGGGAGGAAAGAAGGCTGACTTCTGAAAGCCAAAGCTACAATGGGAAGAAACACTTTGTTAGCTGGGAGTGAGGAGCCAGCGAAAACGACACCAGAGAATCCTTCTTCCCACACACGTCCCGCCGTGGACACTGGAGAATCCCTCTTGCCACACGTGTCCCACTGTGGACACTGGAGAATCCTTCTGCCCACACACGTCCCGCCATGGACACTGGAGAATCCTTCTCGCCATACACGTCCTGCTGTGGACACTGGAGAATCCTTCTGCCCACACAAGTCCTGCCGTGGACACTGGAGAATCCTTCTCCACACACGTCCCGCCATGGACACTGGAGAATCCTTCTCGCCATACACGTCCTGCTGTGGACACTGGAGAATCCTTCTGCCCACACAAGTCCTGCCATGGACACTGGAGAATCCTTCTCGCCACACACGTCCCTCTGTGGACACTGGAGAATCCTTCTCCACACACACGTCCTGCCGTGGACACTGGAGAATCCTTCTCCACACACACGTCCTGCCGTGGACACTGGAGAATCCTTTTCCACACACACGTCCCACTGTGGACACTGGAGAATCCTTCTGCCCACACACGTCCTGCCGTGGACACTGGAGAATCCTTCTCCCCACACACATCCCGCCGTGGACACTGGAGAATCCTCCCCACATACGTCCCCAGCCATAGACACTGGAGAATCCTTCTCGCCACACACATCCCGCCGTGGACACTGGAGAATCCTTTTCCACACACACGTCCCGCCGTGGACACTGGAGAATCCTTCTTGACACACGTGTCCCACTGTGGACACTGGAGAATCCTTCTCGCCACACACGTCCCACTGTGGACACTGGAGAATCCTTCTCCCCACACACGTCCTGCTGTGGACACTGGAGAATCCTTCTTGCCACACGTGTCCCACTGTGGACACTGGAGAATCCTTTTCCCCACACACGTCCTGCTGTGGACACTGGAGAATCCTTCTTGCCACACGTGTCCCACTGTGGACACTGGAGAATCCTTCTGCCCACACACATCCCGCCGTGGACACTGGAGAATCCTTCTCCCCACACACGTCCCGCCGTGGACACTGGAGAATCCTCCCCACACATGTCCCCAGCCGTAGACACTGGAGAATCCTTCTCGCCACACACGTCCCGCCGTGGACACTGGAGAATCCTTCTCGCCACACACGTCCCACCGTGGACACCGGAGAATCCTTCTCGCCATACATGTCCTGCTGTGGACACTGGAGAATCCATCTCCACACACGTCCCGCCGTGGACACTGGAGAATCCTTCTTGCCACACACGTCCTGCCGTGGACACCGGAGAATCCTTCTCGCCATACACATCCCGCCGTGGACACTGGAGAATCCTTCTCACCACACACGTCCCGCCGTGGACTCTGGAGAATCCTTCTACTCACACACACGTCGCGCCGTGGACACTGGAGAATCCTTCTACTCACACACATCCCGCTGTGGATACTGGAGAATCCTTCTCGCCACACACTTCCCACCGTGGACACTGGAGAATCCTTCTCGCCACACACGTCCTTTCGTGGACACTGGAGAATCCTTCTACTCACACACGTCCCGCCATGGATACTGGAGAATCCTTGCCACACACGTCCTGCCGTGGACACTGGAGAATCCTTCTCGCCACACACTTCCCACCATGGACACTGGAGAATCCTTCTCGCCACACACGTCCTGCCGTGGACACTGGAGAATCCTTCTACTCACACACGTCCCGCCGTGGATACTGGAGAATCCTTCTTGCCACACACGTCCCGCCGTGGACACTGGAGAATCCTTCTCGCCACACACTTCCCACCGTGGACACTGGAGAATCCTTCTCGCCACACACATCCTGCCGTGGACACTGGAGAATCCTTCTACTCACACACGTCCCGCTGTGGATACTGGAGAATCCTTCTCGCCGCACACGTCCTGCCATGGACACCGGAGAATCCATCTCCACACATGTCCCGCCGTGGACACTGGAGAATCCTTTTTGCCACACACGTCCAGCCGTGGACACTGGAGAATCCATCTCCACACACGTATCCTGCTGTGGACACTGGAGAATCCTTCTGCCCACACACGTCCTGCTGTGAAAACCTCCACGCTCCCTTTCCGTTTTTGCTCTCAGCTGTCCTTCCAGTATGCTGCTTGGGTCAAGCAGCCGCATCTCCACTGTCCTAATGACAAAAGACACCAGCACTGTCTCACTTCCTTTCCTCCTCCTCTCCAGAGTGTTACCTTCCTGATTGACAGGGACTTTCGGTTTTCTATTTAGAAGCACATGTTTGGTGCAGACATGTTGTCCAAGACTTGACATTGGGAAATGTTGGGAATAATCTGAAACTCCTTACAATGTGATGTTTTGGTGATTAAAAAAAAATGTTTAGGAAAGGTTGCTAGGCTTTAAAAATATATATATTTTGCTAACCTCATGGAGTCACTGTGCAGACCCTCTCAGCAGCTAGCCAGGCTGGCCTGGCCCTGACGGCCCGGGAATAGCAGCTGTCTTGTGACTTCCCACAGCAGGCACATTGCGTCGTCTCTCAAAGTCCCTCCTCTGGAGCGCCTCCTCTGCCCGTGGGGCTGTGCGGGACAGTGGCCGCGTCTCTGTCTCATTGCAGGACAGCACTGGGTCTTAGGTGCTTTTTCATGTTGTCCACACCTAACGCTGCTGCTCCCCGGGGCCCAGTTTTGAAACTGCCCTTTGGCATCATGCTTTCCCGCCCCTCCTGGGAGCAGCGCCTGTGGGAGGGCAGCGTTATTCCCAGCTCCTCAGAGAGGAGACCACATCCATGGCAGTGTGTGACTGTCCCTTTCGGCGGTCCTTTGTGAAGCCCGCGGGAAGTTCTGCATTCAGTTCCTGACTCCCAGAAAAACGTCCTGTCTTTTGAACTGAAAGGAGGCTGATGTCAGAGCCTCGTTGAGTAACAATGGAGAAAATCTACATCAGAGGAAAGAAGCCCTGAGCTGCTTTAAATGCTTCTGTAAGATGATATGCCACAACACGAATGTGGATTGTTGACAGTAACCACAGAGACGAGATCATCGAGGGAACCAGCTGGGAGTTTGTGAGGCCATAAAACACATCATCAAAAATATGGTGAAGCAAATTCAGAATTGGTTTTTAGAAAGGAGAAGGAACCATTGGCAATCTGACCCATAAATTATTCTACATTTTCAAATATTATAACTAGGAAGGTCGCTTCAAGGAGCCTTCAAGCCCCTCATGCCCACCCGCCCCAAACCCATTGTCACTGCTAGGTCCCAGATTTACAGCCACCTGGAGAGGAAGTTGCAGGGGGTCTCTGTGCAGCTGAGGATGATGGAAGGGATTGCAGAAGGCTGGTGCTGTAACTGTTGTTAGCGGGAGATTGAGGCCGGGGGGTGGAGTAGGGGCTACTTTCTTCCCCCTGCACCTGCTATCATGATTTCAGCAAAACCTTGCCTTTCTCCTCTTCAATCTTAAATAGGTACAGTGGCTGAGTATTAATATTAATGAGCATAATAACAATAATAAAACTGGCAGTAGCATCAAATGAATGTGGTCTCCTGCAGTAGAAATATTTACCCGATGTGTCCTGCCAGTGAGAGAGATTTTGGCATTAAACCTAGACATTACCTCATCCTCCTGGGCAGACAGCCGATTGCCATGCTAAGCAAGTCTGCGCCGAGAAGAGCTGAGTACCTGCCGACGGCTGCATGGCCCAGACCCCAGGGAACACAGTTTCCTTGAGCCTGTCTGTCTGTCTGTCTGTCTGGGTCTCACCCTTAATTCCTTTCTTTCTCTTTCCCTCCTCCGGAGGTTGGCATTGTGTATTTTCAAATTGTGTTGCTTTTTTTTTTTGCAGAATCTTGTAGGGTGTGTTGTGAAAAGTCTGCCAGCCAGGTGGGTGGGTATTATTAATAATCCATAGAAACCCAAGGGGTCCGGAGTGAGAGGAGAAACATGACGTGCCTGTGTGTGCACAGGACGCCTGACACTCGCTCACACACGCATGTCCCTCTCTCTGAGAGCCAGGGAATGGGGTGGGGGTTGGTTTGGTTTAATGCATGATAAAAACAGGGGCATTCTGTAATAACAGAGCTTTCATTTCAAGATTCTTAACAACTAAAATAATATTTTGAAACATTTGGAATTGTACTAGAAATGTGTGTTTGATATGTTCAACCTAAGAAAACATCACACTTAAAATGCTTTTACTCCACTGGCTTCAGACCTCTTTGAAATTGGTGCCTACACAGCTGAGAAGTCCGGGTAGGTGCCGTAGGCAAATTGAGGGGAGAAAGTGACATCTTGTGTAACGCTGCAAATTCGCGGAAGGCTTTGAACCGTCACCAGAGTAGCAAATACTCATTGTGAAAGTTTTTGCAATGAGGTACGGAAAACCATTTCAGCTGCTCTGATTGTCAGCTCTCCTGTGTTTTCTTTAGCTCCTGACTTAAAGTTACGTGTCCTGTCAGTTTTGATACTCTTACTACTTAGTGCTTTAGGTTTTATCAGCTGGTGCCACATCTTTTAAAATTCTGTCCCACTAGCCTCTGTGCTGGTCCTGACCGATTCACCAGCTCTTGGGACTGTGTCCAGATGCCTTTTGTGATGCCTCTTTTCTAAAATGCTTTTATTTGGGTTTAAGATGTACTAATTCTTTCACACACCCATAGCTGAATACCAAATATTGGTATGCATACTACCAAACTTTTGTGTATGAAGTTCGTACAAGGCACTAAGTCATTTAAAACATTTTAATTGTGTGCTGAGCTCGTAAGTGTACAATATGACTGTCTAGTAAATTCTTAATTATTTGTCGACTCTTTATCGAAGAAAAAAGTAAGTAGGGGAAAAGATAAAGGAGCATCCAGCCGGTGGCAAAGGAACAAGCCGTGTAGCTCTGCTTCTCACCCACTCTCAGCTAGCTTGGGCCACGGCTGCCTGAAGTGACACCAAACAGGAACCCCACTGGGAGGACTGTACGGGCCACACCCATGGACGTGATCTGTCTATGAAACAGGTCTTCTCAGTGCTTCGGGGTGAATTTTGACTTCTCCTGAGCCATCCTCAGAGCACAGCTGGTGGGGAACTTCACCCGTCTGGTCACTCCTGAAGCAGTCTGGCTGGCAGCCACAGGCTGGGATCCCAGTTGTTGGAGGTCAGTGCACACAGCGGCTATCTGCTGTAGCAGAAAGAATTTAGGGGAGGAAAGGCTTGAGAAGGAAGGGCAAGAGAGAGCAGACTTTGTGGCATCAGTCAGGTATATGTGCTTGTATTAACATGAACCTGAGAGGCTGATGGTATTACATGGAATTCCAAGTTTCGACTGCATGAATTCTGTCTCTTGTGGTTTATCTATGGCCACCATCAACCGATGTTGTGTGATAAAACGTTTAAAGTATGTACAACTGAAAGTGGAGATGGATACTAGGGGCATTTAACGTTTTAAGCTTTCCTCCAGGGTTTTTTCCTCAGTTACATGGAGGATGGCCCTAGGTACTAACTGTTGGAAATGGCAGCATTGAAAAGTGCAGCACTTTCTGCTTCAGCAGCATCTCAATTCTGCGCAGCCTTTGAAAATCCTTTTCTACAGATAGCAGGCAACCTGCCATTGTTCCCAGCCGGCAGCGTGGTCCCTGCCACCAGGTGCTTGAACAAACGGCCATGTGTATGAGGGTCCCTTCTCCTAAGTAAAATTACCCTAAAGACTCTAAACGAGAATGGAGACTTTGAAAAAAATCTTCTGTATTTTTCTATTTTAATTATCAAGTAGGGGAAACAGATCTGAAGGGGAAAGAGGAGAGAGGACCAGAAGGGGGCTTCCTTGCTGTGCAGGAGACCTGTGGATCCAGTGGAAAGCAGCCCCATGTGAGATGAAATTATCACAGGGGCGGGATGTGCCAGAGGGGAAGCAGGCAGCCCAGGCATGTGTGCGTGGATGTGGAGCCCCTTTCTGAAGTGAGTTTGGTTTTATTTTGGGCAGGCCTCATAGGCTGTACATCTGGCAGGAGATGAGAAAGGAAAGACTGGCTCTTGTTTTAAAAAAAAAAACTAAGTAAAAAATAATTATTTAAAAATGACTCAAAAGAAATAATTATGAGACTAGTTATGATAGAGTAAAATGATTTGTTCATTTTCCAGATTTTAGGTAACATGGATATACTATATTTAAAGATTTATTTTTTTAATAACATTACTAATGATAGGCAAGGCTCATATAGTACATAATACATGCCAGGCGCTTTGTAGAAATGAACTCATGTAGTCCTCCTCACAGCTCTATAAAGTTAGCATAATTACCGTCTCCACCCTAGAGCTGAGGGAGAGAGGCTCACGCAGGTCACATATCTCGCCTTGAATCACACAAGTGGTAAGCAGTGGAGCCAAGAACTGAGCTGGGCAATCTGGCCCCAGAGTCCGTTCGCTGACCCCCATGCTACACCCCCTCTCAAAAACAGAGACTTGGACACCAGATCCAAATTCAAACAAGACAGTTCCCTGCTTTTATCAACCTAAAGCATTACTAATGGGTTGCTCCGGTTCACAGGTGTGGCATTCACAGTGGCATTCTCCAGATGAAGACCATGGCTTTTAAGACAAGTGTCCACGGTCTGCAGATGAACAGTTGCAAACTCAGAGAGAACTAAGCCATCTAGAATATTGCATTCATTCTATATTTTTATTTTTATTTTATTTTGTGTTTTTGAGACAGAGTCTCACTCTGTCACCCAGGCTGGAGTGCAGTGGCACGATCTCAGCTCACTGCAACCTCTGCGTCGGGGGTTCAAGCGATTCTCCTGCCTCAGCCTCCCGAGTAGCTGGGATTACAGGCATGCGCTATCACGCCTGGCTAATTTTTGTACTTTTAGTAGAGATGGGGTTTCACTATGTTGGCCAGGCTGGACCCAAACTCCTCACCTCAGGTGATCTGCCTGCTTCGGCTACCCAAAGTGCTGGGATTACAGGCATGAAAGAACCACCCCACTTGGCCATTCTGTATTTTTAGAATACACACTTTCTCTTCCGAGAGAGGCATGGGTGTGGCTTATACTGCCAGCTGTTGGTTGATAACCCTGTGCCGCCATTCCCACAGACATGCCCCACTATTGTCCTTGCTGTTTGTGATGGATTCTGATTTGGGAATATCCACCCTTAGTAAGAAGCTTCACCTTCCCACTAGAGGACACATGCACCGACGAGGGGTGGATGGAGAGGGTGGCTTGAGTCTGGAGACCTGGAATCCAGCACTGCCATGAGGATGGGGACGGGGATGGGGATCTCAGGGGTTGCCATCCATTGTCCCCACACCAGACGATGTGCCAGCATTGTCCCTGGCATGCTGTGGGGGCTCTAAGAGATGGTGATTCCTTCTGAATAAGGAAATATAAAAATGTCTCTTAATTCCCCTAGGCAGTAGGAGCTGGTTACCCACAAGCGAAGCCTCAGTTAGATTCTCCCAGCAGAGAAAAGGAGATCTTCAGGCTAGTCCCAATAGGAACAGAACTAAGCAGAAGAACTTTGTACTTGGATGCTGGAGATGATACTGCGTATCTAATGCTCACGACTCTCACTTTGCACAGTAATGTGGGACCATAAAAATGGCCCTGTGAATTGAAACCATGCAAAGTGATGTTAATAGCAGGAAAAATTATAATTGCTGCCCTGACCTTTAAGCATATTTTTGGTCACAGCATTAAAAACTTTTCTACCATCAATTGTAAATGCATAGGGAAATGGCAAGTGATAGTAGAACTGGTATTTACTTAGCATACTAATAATTTAAAACACTAGTGACCTTGCCAGGCACGGTGGCTCACGCCTGTAATCCCAGCACTTTGGGAGGCCGAGGCGGGCGGATCACAAGGTCAGGAGATTGAGACCATCCTGGCTAGCACGGTGAAACTCATCTCTACTAAAAATACAAAATATTACCCGGGCGTGGTGGTGGGCACCTGTAGTCGCAGCTACTCGGGAGGCTGAGGGAGGAGAATGGCATGAACCTGGGAGGCGGAGCTTGCAGTGAGCCGAGATCGCACCACTGCATTCCAGTCTGGGCGACAGAGCAAGACTCTGTCTCAAAAAAACAAAAACAAAAACAAAAACAAAACACTAGCAACCTTGAGAATGGAAGCATGCTGTTTCTTGGTGAGACTGATCCCTAGTGGTCTGAGCGGTGCCACCTCCTCTCATCCTGTCACCCGCAGTGTGGGGTGAGCAGAGCAGCCTTCCTGCACTGCACGAGCTGTCACACTCCCTCCTCAGTGTGGATCCACTTCCCACTTGTTCTCCTGTGTGCTCTCAGCGTTGTAAAGTATCTCCAAGAGTTTCTTTAATGTGAACTTGTTTCCTGGCATTGCTTCCTCCAGGCCGTCTTTGTCCCGTTCCTTATAGCCACTTTCCTCCTAAGCTCACCTTCCCCTGGGCGTGACAGGAGTCTCACTGCAGCCTGGCCACCAACCTGCGAGCAGCTGTTTCCTCTTTTTTTTTTTTATTATTATACTTTAAGTTCTAGGGTACATGTGCATAACGTGCAGTTTTGTTACATATGTGTACATGTGCCATGTTGGTGTGCCGCACCCATTAACTCGTCATTTACATTAGGTATATCTCCTAATGCCATCCCTCCCCCTCCCCCCACCCCAGCTGTTTCTTTTATAACTCCGTTTACGGTAGGCTTGAATTTCACTTCCAGCAGGACTTTTTATTTCTTTGCTGCACTTTTAACTTTGTTGGTGGTTTTCCTCTTTTGATGACCCGTTTTTATAAACATCACATACATTTACCCCTGGGTGACAGGGACCAACACAGCTACATACTTTGCATTCTGTACATGAAAAACAGCAGGTTATCCAGAAGCTCTAGCTAAGATCACTGATGAAGGTGGCTGCACTAAACAACAGATTTTCACTGTAGATGGAATAGCCCTCTATTGGAAGAAGATGCCATGTAGGATTTTCATAGCTGGAGAGGTCAATGCCTGGCCTCACAGCTTCAAAGGACAGGCTAAATTTCTCATTAGGGGCTAATGCAGCTGGTGACTTTAAATTGGCATGGTAACCAGTTGCCAACAGACTTTGAGAGAAGTGACCTGCTTGGTCACTGACCATGGCACTCATCTGTCATTTGCATGGTGATCTGCATGGCAGAAGTGCTAGCTGTGAAGTCTGCAGTTTCGGCGCTGACAGTGACTCTATACAGGAGTACCTCGCTTTACTGTGCTTCACAGATACCGTGTTTTTTACAAGTTGAAAGTGTATGGCAACCTCACATGGAGCAAGTCTCTCAGTGCCATCTTCTCAGTAGCATGGGTGCATTTCATGTATCTGTGCCACATTTTGGCAATTCTTGTGATATTTTCAACTTCTTATTATATGTTATGGTGATCTGTGACAGTGATCTTTTTTAAAATTCTTTTTAATTTTAATTTTTAAAATGTTTATTTCAATAGGTTTTTTGGGGAACAGGTGGTTTTGGTTACATGGATAAGTTCTTTAGTGGTGATTTCTGAAATTTGGGTGCACCCATCACCCGAGCAGTGTATGCTGTACCCGATATTTAGTCTTTTATCTCTTACCCTCCTCCCAACTTCCCCGCGAAGTCCCCATAGTCCATTATATCATTCTTATGCCTTTGCATCTTCATAGCTTAGCTCCCACTTATAAGTGAGAACATATGATACTTAGTTTTTCATTCCTGAGATACTCCACTTGGAACAATAGCCTCCATCCAAGTTGCTGCAAAAGACATTATTTCATTCCTTTGTATGATTGAGTAGTATTCCATGGTGTGTATATCTACCACATTTTCTTTATCCCCTCATTGGTCAGTGAGCACTTAGGTTGGCTCCATATCTTTGCAATTGTGAATTGTGCTGCTATAAACATGCATGCATATGTGATACAGTGATCTTTGATGTTACTATTGTAGTTGTTTTGGGGCACCACAAACCATACCCATATAAGACAGTGAACTTAGTGTTGTGTGTGTTCTGACTGCTCCACTAGCTGTTCCGTCACTTCTCTTCCTTTCCTTGGGCCCCTCTAATTCTCCAAGACACAAGAATATTGAAATTAGGACAAATAATAACCCTACCGTGGCCTCTATGTGTTCAAGTGGAAGGAAGAGTTGCACATCTCTCACTTTAAGTCAAAAGTTCAAGATGATTAAACTTAGTGAGGAAGGCAGGTTGAAAGCCTGGTAGTCTGAAAGCTAGGCCTCTCATGCCAAACAGTTAGCCAAGTTATGAATGCAAAGGAAAAGTTCTTGAAGGAAATTAAAAGTGCTACTCCAGTGAACACACAAATGATAAGAAAGCAAAACAGCCTCATTGTTGACATGAAGAAAGTTTAAGTGGTCTGGATAGAAGGTCAAACCAGCCACAACATTCCCTTAAGACAAAGCCTAATCCAGAGCAAGATCCTAACTCACTTCAATTCTATGAAGGCTGAGAGAGGTGAGGAAGCTGCAGGAGAAAAGTTGGAAGCTAGCAGAGGTAGGTTCATGAGGTTCAATGAAAGAAAACATCTACATACCATCAAAGTGCAGGGTAAAGCAGCAAGTGCTGGGGTAGAAGCTGCAGCAGGTTATCCAGAAGCTCTAGCTAAGATCACTGATGAAGGTGGCTGCACTAAATAACAGATTTTCAGTGTAGGTGGAATAACCCTCTATTGGAAGGAGATGCCATGTAGGGTTTTCATAGCTGGAGAGGTCAATGCCTGGCCTCAAAGCTTCAAAGGACAGGCTAAATTTCTCACTAGGGGCTAATGCAGCTGGAGACTTTAAATTGCAGCCAATGCTCATTTCCCATTCCAAAAATCCTAGGGTCCTAAAGAATCATGCTAAATCTATGCTGCCTGTGCTCTAGAAATAGAACAACAAAACTGGATGACAGCAGATCTAAAATAGATCCATAGATGTATTTTTAGCCCACTGTTGAGACCTACTGCTCAGGAAAAAAAAAGATTCCTTTCAAAGTATTACTGCTCATTAATAATGCACCTGGTCACCAAGAGCTCTGATAGAGACCTACAGAGAGGTTAATGTTATTTTCATGCCTGCTAACACAACATCCACTCTGTAGCCCATGGATTGAGGAGCAATTTTTACTTTTAAGTCTTATTCTTTAAGAAATAAATTTCCTAAGGGTATAGCTGCTATAAATAGTGATCCTTCTGATGGATCTGGGCAAAGTAAATTGAAAACCTTCTGAAAAGGATTCCTCATTCTAGATGCCATTAAGAACATTCATGACTCATGAGAAAAGGTCAAAATATCAGCATCGGCCAGGCACAGTGGCTCATGCCTGTAATTCCAGCACTTTAGGAAGCTGAGGCTGGAGGATCACCTGAGCCCAGGAGTTCAAGACTAGCCTTTGGCAACACAGGGAGACATCATCTGTACACAAAATTTAAAACAAAAACAAAAACAGCCAGGCATCATGGTGTGCACCTATGGTGCCAGCTGCTCAGGAGGCTGAAGTGGGAAGATCAATTATGCCTAGGAGGTCGAGACTGGAGTCAGCCATGATCATGCCACTGCACTCCAGCCTTGACAACAAAGCAAAACCCTGTCTCAAAGACAGCAACAAAAACACAACAGGTATTTGGAAGAATTGGGTTCCACCCCTCCTGGATGACTCTGAGGGATTTAAGACTTCAGTGAGGAACTAACTGCAAATAAGGTAGAAATAGCAAGAGAACTAAAATTAGAAGTGGAGCCTGAAGATGTGACTGAATTGCTGCAACCTCATGATCAAACTTGAGTGGATAAGGAGTTGCTTCTTATGGATAAGCAAAGTAAGTGGTTTCCTGAGATAAAATCTACTCCTGGTGAAAATGCTGTGAATATTGTTGAAATGACAACAAAGGATTAGAATATTTCATAAACTTAGTTGTTAAAGCATTGGTAGAGCTTGAGAGGATTGACTTCAATTTTGAAAGAAGTTCTGCTGTGGATCAAATGCTATCAAATAGCATTGCATGTACAGAGAAATCTTTTGTCAAAGGAAGAGTCAATCAATGAGGCACTCTTCATTGTTTTCTTATTTTAAGAAATTGCCACAGCTACCCCAGCCTTCAGCAACCACCACTGTGATCATTCAGCAGCCGTCAACATTGAGGCAAGACCCTCCACCAGCAAAAAGATTACAACACAATGAAGGCTCAGGTGATCATTAGCACTTTTTAGCAATGAAGTGTCTTTGATTTAAGGTATGTACCTTTTTTAGACGTAATGCTGTCACACGCTAGAGAGACTACAGTATGGTGGAAACCTAACTTTTATATGCACTGGGAAGCCGAAATATCTGTGTGACTCACTTTGTTGCAATATTCACTTTATTTTGGCGGCCTGGAACTGAATCTGCAGCATCTCCGAGTATGTCTGTGTTGTAGTAACTGAAATGTGAACCGTATTGTTCAGAGGCAGGTGTTATTTAACTAAATCATGGGAACTGAGATGTTTTTGTATCTGAACTGCGTAAAGTGGGGATAGCCTCTCCGTGGTTAGATCTAGAATGGAAGAGGTAATATGTTTTTGTGGGAATGGGGACCTATGATTTTAGCTAAATCCCAGGAGTCAGCTTGGAGACTTTCTGCATGTCATGCAGCCTCCTGGGGCCTCAGTTTCTCTTCTGTACAAGGCTGAATAACCTTCACAAAGTCTCTTCTAGCTCTAAAACTATTTGGTTCTATGATGCAGGAGTCCTTTAGAGAGAGTTCCAAAGAGAGGCATAAATAATTATTAGAAATCATCTTTGATATAATGGACTTTGGAGAGTTGGGGGGAATGTTGGGAGGGGGCGAGGGGTAAAAGACTACATATTGGGTACAGTGTACACTGCTTGTGTGATGGGTGCACTAAAATCCAGAATTCATGACTATAGAACCCACCCAAGTGATTAAAACCACTTATACCCCAAAAGTATTGAAATAAAAAAATCATCTTTAAAAATATGAGGAAAGGCAAAGTCAGTTGGGTTGGCCTTTCTGGTGCAGAATGACAGTGTCAACACCTGTTAAGTTTCCCAGCCAGGGCTGGTGATGGACTGTCTGTCTCCACGGCAGAGTATGGAAGCAGAGAGGCACTACCTGGGGCAGAGGGAGATACGGCTGAAAGCATGGAGAGGATTAATGTGGCTGGGGTGAGGAGTGAGAGGGAAACTTCAACACAAAACAAAACAGGAAGATAGTGGAGATGGTGCTCCAGTGATCTTTTTATCTGCTTGGAAAAAAATGGAATTAAATTCAGATCTTCCAAAGAAAAGCTAATACATGTAAGTTAGGAAAACGGCAGTGATTTCTGGGAGCAACATTCTTCAAGCCTGGATTAGTTCACCCATAGAAGTCATGGAACTCATGTCCTCACACACAGGATCTGTGAGGAGCGGCCCAAGTGCAGCCTGCAGAAGGAAGAGGAGAAAACTGGACCTGCTCAGAAGGCCTCTGTCCACTGAGCTTTAGATCCTGTTTCTGAAAAGGGAAGGCAAAATGTGCTCAAAAAGAAATCACACAGGGCCGGGCACAGTGGCTCACTCCTGTAATCCCAGCACTTTGGGAGGCTGAGGCGGGCGGATCATGAGGTCAGGCGTTCAAGACCAGCCATCTCTACTAAAAATACAAAAATTAGCCGGGCATGGTCTCGCACACCTGTAATCCCAGCTACTGAGGAGGCTGAGGCAGGAGAATTGCTCAAAGCCGGGAGGAGGAGGTTGTAGTGAGCCGAGATCGTGCCACTGCACTCCAGCCTGGGTGACAGAGTGAGACTCCGTCTCAAAATAAATAAATAGTCACACAGGTTATCAGTGTACTATTAATAGAAAATGGGCATATTCTTTGAAAATTATGGGTAAAGAAAGGAAATATATGACATGAATTCTGTAATCGTTTTCTGATAGGTAGAAATTTCCCTCAAGGACTGACTTGAATGGACGGGGATGAGAAAGACAGTGATTGTTTCTGGCCCCTCAGTAGGAAAGGCGGGGACATGGGTACAGGTGCCGGAACAGCCCCAGCATTGGTTCTCCCTCGGGCGTGCTGGGCCAAGAAACGTTGGCTCTCAGGAATAAAAATCCCCAGACCTAAAACAAAGAGAAGACCTTGGCCTCCTCTCTGTTTGCTCAGCTTAATGCCCCCAAATCAGACTGTATGAGGAAACACACAAGAAATGTATTTTTAGCGTCACTGGCATGGGGCATGTTCTGGGGACCAGAAAGATGTACAACATCTGGGATGTATGTACCATGACAGCTGATGTATGTAGTCGACATTTCTTTATGCATAGAAATTAAGTTTCTAACAAGGAGCGCTTGCGTTGCTCCGTTTATCTAAATCAGGTTGGAAGGCAAAATATCGTGTTTTGTTTTTAAATGTAATTTCCTTCCTGTTCCTTTTCATGGTTGTGTCTCATGCTGGGCCTACAGGGTAGATATAGGCTGAGTAAGAAAATGTGGCCATATTTTAGCTATGCCATTATTTTAACCCCTCAGCCACACATCTGCTGTGGCATGAAGTACCTGACTGAAATAAACCTCCACCAGAGTCATGATACAGGAATGATCTTCCTAAAACCCTACATAACTATAGCCACTCAGTCATCTGTGGCCTCCTTTCCTTTGGGGACAACTTTGTAAGAAAATAATCTCAAAACAGGAACATCCCTTGTGGTTTTGTGAGGTGCTCGCCATGAGCTTCTGGAGTGGAAAAGGTTGTGTGCTTACAATGTGGGTGTTGAGTTCTTTTCAAACCTTAATGCTTTTGGACATATATTATGTTCCTAATAGTTTTGCTGCTCTTGATGTTCACATTCTGGATTCTTACTTCCTTAGATTCATTGAGTAATTTTATGTAGTTCACAGTTCCTAGGTTAAATGGACTTGATCAATTCTTCCTTGAGCTTTAGAGAACTAATGACTACTGCATTTAATTTGAGAAAATTAGAGATTGATTTTTCCAGGTATTCTGCCTCCTCCCTCCTCTAACTCTAACTGCATTTATGTTTAACTTTAAAATTTACACCCATATTTTTGGGATAACTAGGTTCCGATACTGTCCTGGGTATTACTGGTCAAATTCCAGTTGGCTGTAATATGTTGGGATTTCACATTTTGCTTGAAAATAAATTTGGCAGTGGAGATCACTTGCACTGAAAAGTAAATTTTTTTGGCTTATTTTATACGTTACCCTATCCTGTCTTCTCTCACTGCCTTTTGGACTTCGGAGATTGTCTCTGAATTATCAAATGATAGTGCAGTGGATGAAGTTTGGCCACAGATGCTAGTTGCTCAGCAGCAGTTCCTTTAAACGAATAAGGGTCTAAACTGCCCAGAGGGCCAGCACCAGAACAGGGTCTTGCACATTACATAAGCTCCATAAGTGTGCACAGTCTGATGATCATGTCATCCAGCCTGCCCTACATTGCAGTTTGCTTTGTTCTGGGTGGCACTTGCCCCGGGGTCACAGAGCTGCCCTGACAGGTGACAGAGCCTGGCCAGCCCTCACTGTAATACACTCTGCACCCTTCCTGTCTCCAGGCTTACAGACAGCCTAGTAACGGTTTCTGTAATCTGAGCTGTCTGCTGCTTCAGAACACATTTAGAGATCAGTAAGCAAGTCACATTTTCCGTGTTAACCACTGTGGGCTAAACACAAGATGTTTTTGTGGGTGGGCAACTTTGTGTCTCCATGGACATTTTTTGGCCATACTTATATAGTTAAGAAGTTATTAAATTACATGTGTTTTTCCCTTCTTTTGTTAGGGAAAATGCAAACTTCAGGAGCTTCAGATCTTCTTCTTGGGGATCCCGTGGGGAGCTGGATCCTCAGATATTTAGGAGCGGACAGGTCCTCACAGGCTTCCACCTTCATCGTCTTCATCAGTCTCCGTTTATTGTGAGCTTTCAGAGCTTATGCTGAATTTTCTTGCTATGTTCAAATCACCAGGGCCCCAAGCCTTGGACCTATGTTGGGCTTTGATTTCATGAGAGCGTGTTAGAGGTTACTCATGGAACACCTGTCAGGCCAAGGTAAAAGTGTATAAGGTGGGTCCTACCCTGGCACACTTAGCCTGTCTTTTTAAGCTTGAAACATTTAAAAGTATTTAGAGATCTTGTTGATGAAGACTCTGATTCAAAGTCAGAACTTGGAGAAATTCAGATAGACATCCTGAGAATTTTCAGCAGAAAGTAATATAGGCTTTTTCAGCTAGAAGGGCCATAGCTCACCATTGTGGATCAATTCAGGGAACTGGGGTGCTGGAGAAAGCATGATCCATACAGTCCCAACAGACTTTTGCCTCTTGCCAGGAAGTTGGAGAGATTGGAGATTATTGTTGTTGTATTTCATGTGTACTTTGTCGTATATGTTAACTCTTGTACTAACTTCTAGTAAACTGTATATAGGTCTCATTCCATAATAGGGGCCCACCCATTTTCAAAGAATCCATAATAACTCGTGGAGGGCTGAAGTCCTGGGTTGTATCCTGACTCTCTCTGTGAACTGTGACCTTGGAAGAGTAAACCGTTTCTTTAAACCTCAGTTTCCTCCTCTCTACAATGAGATAATAAACCAATTTCACATAATTACTGTGGGAATTAGATGAATACAAATAAATCACCTAGCACAGTGTCTAGCATATAATAAATATACAACAGATATCGATTCCATTTATAAAGCTTCCTTCCTCCATTTATAAAGCTAAGAGTTAAATAACCCATTCTCGTATAATTGACCATGGATATCCGAGTCAGGTGGGCCTCGCTGACAGGTGAGCCAGGATTCTAGGGCCAAATAGAGACAGACGAGGTAATGGGAAAGGCTGACATCATAGGCCGTGGTAGCCCTCTCTGGGGACTACTTGTTAACACTGTCTTAAGACTATTTAAATTCCATATTTGTGTCTATGTGTATATTTATTTAAAGAAGCCGTGGGTTCGCTTGGTCTTGTAACTTCCACCTTGGACAGCTGTGTCTCTGAGCTAATCCCAGGATCACAGGCTTAATGCAATGCAGCTTGATGAGCTAAGCTCATGCAGAAGCCCTGGTGAAACCCAGGCTGGTGTTGCTGCCCAGCCTCTGCAAACATCCTGGTGCACAGGTGAGAGTTGTAGGTTCAACGTCTCTGCTCAAACCCACCCTACACTATTTGTAGGTGAGCAAGCCATTGACAGAGGCTCTTTCAAGCCCTGGACTGTAACATCTCTCCATGCTTTCACTGAAAGGCATGTTTGCCCACCCCCACCCCCACATTACCACTGTGGGCAAAGCATGGAAGGTATTTAGGTGGGTGGGCAACTTTTTTTCTTTGTGGACATTTTGCTATATTTAAATGGTTGTGAAGTAACTGAATTACATAACTGTTAAAGGGTCAGCCTTTAGAGAAGACAAATGTAAGCGGTGGAGCATATGGTCTCGATAGGCTTGGGTTCTGTTCGTCTCCCGAATAGGCCTTCCTTGTGCACAACACTGGCGTGCATTCTTTCTTCTGCCTGCCTCTGTTATTACATTGGTTTTAAAGAAACCAAAATCCTTGGTGAGCTGCCTGTAGGCATGAGGGAAGGAAGGATGAGTATTTCTGACTTTGCTTTTTGAAAAGCTTCCAAATGTGGAGCAAAGAACAGGAGACAAACAAGGAGTGGTGGTGGTTCTTGCATGTCACTTTGAATGTAACTTTGAAGCCAGGTTGTCCTAGATGGCTTATGGTTATAGGACAGTTGTCTTAAAAAACAAAAACTAAAACTACAGCACATAGACACCAACACAGATGAGCAAATGCTAAATTGTCATGTAATGCAAGTGACTGATCAGATGTATAGCACTGGTGAAAGGTTCCTGCTGTTTTGCCAGCCTCTTGAAGGAATCTCAGTAGACTTACAAATTCACGTTTATGTTTCATCATTTAACAATGGTTCTTTATTTTACCTTTTTAAGGACCTAATAAATAAGTCAGACAATGACACAAGATTTGGAGAGCTGAAACATTTCTAAATTATATTACGATCACTACTGCTTGAGGTATTTATTTGCATTTTATGGGGAATTTCTTAAGCAACCTGAAATTTTTTGTTTTGTTTCGTTTCATTTTGTTTTGAGTCAGTGTCTTTCTTTGTCGCCCAGGCTGGAGTGCAACCTGGAGTGCCACAATTATAGCTGACTGCAGCTTTGAATTCCTGGGCTCAAGGGATCCTCCCACCTCAGCTTCCCAAGTAGCTGCGACTACAGGCACATGCCACCATGCTTGGCTAATTAAAAATTTTTTTTTGTAGAGACGGGACCTTACCATGTTGCTCAGACTGGTCTTGAACTCCTGGCCTCAAGTGATCCACCCACCTTGGCCTCCCAAAGCACTGGGATTACAGGCCTGAGCCATTGCACTCGGCCTAAGCTGAAATGTTTTGGTTCCTAAAAGTGTCCATGTGTAAGAAAAAAGAACTGTAGGTCTTTGGACCATATCAAGGTTTTATTTACATATCCCCCTCTTCCCTACACCCAAAATTGAATGTAGAAAAAGTGAGGGTGTTGCAAATACAAGTGACAGTAACAAACTTCGAATGAGGTTGAACCTTTACAGCAGCAGTGAAGCCATGAACGATCTCTTCCGGGTGTCCTAGAGGAGCCCTCGTGCCTTACAGGAAGTTCTAGCCCTGTGCAGCCAACACACACCTGTATTTGTTCAGATGTCACCTTGGTGGCACAGTACAGATCCAGGGGACACCTGTGCCTCTGAGGCCGTCGGGGAGGGTGTGCTGTGGAGAGACCTGAGGACTCTGGTAGCGCCCTCCTTCACAAATGTGTGTACATCGTGTGGCTCTTTATTGCTAGGGTGGCATTTGAAATTTCGTTTATTTCTAAAAACCAACAGAGCGGCACTTCAAGTGGACACTATTTTTGATTCAGGGATCAGTGTCTGAGAGCATCAGTGTATTTCAATCCTAAAAAGTTTTATAAATTCTGTATAAGGTCATATAAAGGTGTTTAGGTTTGTTACCCTGGATAATGGCGATTCATTTGGAGAAGAAGCCTTTCACGATGCTTCCTGACGGCACCTTCTTTGAAGGAGAGTGGCCTTATATCAGCCTGTGTTCCTTAGGCAGCTGGCATCCCTTCATTTCATTTTGTTCCTTTATTTATTTTGAGACAGGGTCTTGCTCTGTTCCCCAGGCTGGAGTGCAGTGGCACAATCCTAGATCACTGCAGCCTCGAACTCCTAACCTCAAGTGATCTTTCCGCCTCAGCTTCTCGAATATCTGGGACTACAGGCACATGCTGCCACACCCGGCTAATTGTTTGATTTTTCTGCAGAGACAGAGTCTGGCTGTGTTGCCTAGGTTGGCCTTGAACTCCTGGACTCAAGCGATCCTCCCGCCTTGGCCTCCCAAAGTGCCAGGATTACAGATGTGAGCCACTGCACCTGGCCTGGCATCTCTTTTAAAAATGGCTTATTAAATATTGAGTTGATATAAGCAAATATGTATAACCTATGTGTGAGGTATTAAGAATCATCAATTCCAGTGGATGCTTATGTCCCCACTACCCAGTTCCAGCAGAAGAATGTTCCTGTCATCTTCCACTTCCCTTACACAGACACATCTTCTTTCTCTAACTGGATGACTCCCCATGTGGGACAACTGCCTGCACGATACACATGAGTAATGATGTGGTTTTCCCTCCACAAGGTCCCGAGGAACCAGAGGTAGCTCCGTTTTGGAAAGAGCTTCCTGGTTGCCCATGGGTTATGAAGTCTGCTGGTGAGGCTTCCTTAGATGTCTGAATGTCTCTGGTGGCCATCTGTAAGATGCAGTCAGTCACTGTGTTCAGGGAGGGCGGCCCGTGGATGCCTGGCTTCCACACAAGCAGTGTGGTCCTGGAGGCACACGTGGGGTTCCTGGAAGGAGTGCAGTTTGCAGTTGTTGAAGCCCCACAGGTGGGAGAATATTTCGCTCTAGCTACCTCTAGGTCTTTATATGACATACTGTTCTTATAATATGTCTGGACATGACTTTCTTTTTTTTTGTTTGTTTTTGAGATGGAGTCTCGCTCTGTCGCCCAGGCTGGAGTGCAGTGGTGCGATCTCAGCTCACTGCAAGCTCTGCCTCCCGGGCTCATGCCATTCTCCTGCCTCAGCCTCCCTAGTAGCTGGGACTACAGGCGCCCGCCACCACGCCTGGCTAATTTTTTATATTTTTGGTAGAGATGGGGTTTCGCTGTGTTAGGATGGTCTCGATCTCCTGACCTTGTGATCTGCCCGCCTCGGCCTCCCAAAGTGCTGGGATTATAGGCGTGAGCCACCGCGCCCGGCCATGACTTTCTTTTCTTTTCTTTTTGTCCTGTTTGTTATTTTGTGAGATTCCTAGTCTGTGGATTGGTGTCTTTCAGCAGTTCTGGAAAACTCGCAGATTTTCAAGATCTCCTCAAACATTGCCTCCGTCTTGGTCTCATTATCCTCCTCTTGTGATGAGTTGTGGGTTAGAGCTTCCCACTCTGTCCTCTGCACTCCTTCTCTCTCTTCTGTATTTCCCATCTTTCTGCTTTTACATCCTGGGTAACTTCCTACAGTCATTAGTTCACTCCTCAGCTGTGTCTCGTGTTACTAGACCCATCCAGTAGGTTTGTGTTTCTTGTATTATATTCTTCATTCCAGAAGCTGTATCTGTTCTTTTCAAATGGGATTGTCATTTTAAAAAGTCGTCTTTCTCCTTATACAAAGTTCCCAATGTCTTCTTTTCTTTTTAAGCTATTAAACATACTTAATTTTACCCACTCTATCTGGTATTTCCCACATCTGAAGTCTTTGCAAGTCTCATTAAACTTCCCGTGTTTATGCTGGATCTCACTCATGGTGCTTTGTTTCTTGTTTGTTTTGTGATTTTCGTTTTTTAAAAGTGAGCTTATAATTCTTAGAAGTACATCTATGGAAACTCTTGGCCTAGGTTGAAGGTGGGTTTCTCCAGGGGGTCCATGAATTTATACCCACCAGATGTCTTGGAAACATCCCCAGCTTTGACTATTTTCTATTACTGGCTTCGGTGTTTTTGACTCACCCAGAGAGTATGATTTTAGTTTATAAACCTCCTTATGGGCAGACTTATGGTTACACATTCTCATGGGTGGAGATAGTTGTTCCCATCCTTTCAAGACTAGTCATTTTCCTTGCAGGCCGCTAGGGTAGGAAGGGTCTCGGGGATGAATTTATTCCTAGTTCACCATTCTACGGAGGATATAATTTTGTGAAGACTCAGCTTTCTTCAGCAGCAGTGTTCGTTGTGGGAGCCCCGCAGTGGAAATGCCCTAGGCTTTGTCTCCCGTCTGCTAGCTGCAAGAGTGCATTAAAATGGAAGCTCAAATTCATTGCTTTGGCAAATACTTTCGAAGTGGAAACCTTGAGTGCTGAATGAACTCTCTAAGTTCCTGCTTTCCTTAGCTCATGGGCTCCAAGTATTGCTTACTTTTTCTTACTGTCATTTTAAAGATTACTTTATCCAGCACTTTAGTTGTTTCCAGCAGACGGTTCCTCTGGGGATCTCACTCACTGTTGCCAGACATGAAACTCACTCACCATCCTTCTAGTTCCAGAAACATGTGGCATCAACCTACGTGGCTCTCCCTGGTGTTCCGGAGGGAGCCGGGGAGCTGGGGTCAGCTCTTTCCCTGTCTGCCTTGGGTTTCCCTTCTTTCATTGATTTCCTCAAGGGGATGCTTACCTTTTCTAAAAAGACTTGACAACTTCCAAAGGTTAGCAGAAATGGGCCAGGCGCAGTGACTCATGCCTGTAATCCTAGCATTTTGGAAGGCCGAGGCGGGCAGATTGCCTAAGCTCAGGAGTTCGAGACCAGCCTGGGCAACATGGTGAAACCCCGGCCCTATTAAAAAAATGCAAAAAAATTATCAGGGTGTGGTGGCATGCACCTGTAGTCTCAGCTACTCGGGAGGCCAAGGCAGGAGAATTGCTTAAACCCAGGAGGTGGAGGTTGCAGTGAGCCGAAGTCACACCACTGCACTTCCAGCCTGGGTGACAGAAGGAGACTGTGTCTCTAAAAAACAAAAAAGTGGAAATGAAATTTTCCACCATACCTCATGTTATCTCAGGTAAATACCCAAAAAGTGCTGGTTTACCAGCTCATATTGATTTTTCATTTTCATGAGCTTCAAATTTTCTGAGGATATTTTATAACTAAGTCCTGTTGCCTCAAGTCTATGCTGTTAAGTACAAAAGCTTAAAGTTTAAAACATACTTGGAATTTGCTACGTAAAATATGCACTAGCTACAGGTGCATTTAGGTAATGAATACACATGAAAAAGAGGGTAGACCTGTGTGTGCCCTTGAGAACAAGGAATTTTCTCAACCATAAGAATCCTCTATAGACCCTATAATTTGCCAGTTCTTTTTTATCACACACTTGTTAGGGGATTGGGCAATGAAATGTTGCTGGTAATTCTTCAGAAGAATTCATGGGGATGAGTCGAATTTTCACCGTTTAGTTGGAGGCAGCTTCCCAAGTCTGCTAAAGCCTGTCTTCAGCTTCCCCTGAAAGTTGGCCCTGTTGGCATCCTCTGATCGAGAGGAGGGAGAACCTTGAATAGTAGCAGTGGGGTATAGAATAACCATCACCCTAGACTCTAGGGTGATTCTTCCTAAATTGTACTTTACATATCTTTAGTGCTCTGTTTGCTGAGATATTAATAGATGTCTCTTGACAAAGGAAGTGACATATTCAGACAGAGCGGGAGGACATCGTGTACACGGCCCAGCTGCCTGGAATGTCCACATAGGAAGTGCTCGGGGCAGCTGTTCTTTAGGATGGGAGACTCAGAGGGAACAACTTAAAAATACCCGCAGGCTGGGAACAGTGTCTCACACCTATCATTCCAGCACTTTGGGAGGCCAAGATGGGAGGGTCTCTTGAGCCCAGGAGTTCAAGACAAGCCTGGGCAACATAGGGAGACCTCGTCTCTACTAAAAATTAAAAAATTAGCTGGGCATGGTGGCAGGTGTCTGTGGTCCTACCTACTCAGGAGGCTGAGGCAGGAGGATCACCTGAGCCTGAGAGTTAGGGGCTGCAGTGAGCCCTGATTGTGCCACTGCACTTCAGCCTGGGCATCAGAGCGAGACTGTCTGAAAAAAAAAAAGCCCTCACATTCACTTGAGATTAAGAAGACAGGACAGGAAAGTCTTTGTCAGAGAATGCAAGGGATGTTGCTGTTGGAGAATACATCCCCACCCTCGGCACCTCTTGGACAGGCCACTGGAATTCGTCTTCCTGAAGACTCGCCATTGGAGGTAGCCTAGTGAATGCCTTGCAGAGTCAGAAAGCCCGTTAGACTTTGCTTAATGAGTCAGTCTCCCTACTGTTGTAGCCTTGGAGTCCTTTTTGTTTTTAGAAAAAGACCCATTAGCAGCTTGCAGAACACATATGTCCCATGAAGGGCAGTTTGGGAGAGGCTGACCCAACCGACTCTTGATCGCTGGCACTCGTGCAGCCTGGCTTTGCAAGCTATGAGGACCTGAACACTTGGGAATTGTTCTGTGTCTTAACCATGAATATTTGTTTGCAAAATTTGGTTGAGAAGATTAATTACCTTCTTGTTAAGCATATTTACATGATTAGACTATTTTGTGATTTGCTACAGGTGTAAAAATCAGCCTGTTGTGGAAGATCTGGAGTCATTAGGAGCTTTTGCACTTGCTCTCATTAGAGATGGGATAGAGCAAAACAAACCAGGAGAGTTGAAAGTATGACAGATTGCCTTATTAATGTCCTCTCTGAGTACCTGTGCTGGATGGATTGCCAGTGGAATAACTTGGGAGGTGGTACAAACCCACAAGATGACAGTCATCCTCTGTCATTGCTCTCTTTTGTGATATGAGTGGCGTGAGGAGGAAGAAGGGAGCAGTTGCTGCATTTGATTTGGAAACTGAAGTTGTCACGGGGTCTGTTCCATGAGCACGTGACGAGGAGTCATCTGAGCTTTCTCTCAGCCATGTTGGTGACCTGCTCTGTTTTGGCATACAAAAATTATCTTAAATATGGGCACTCTTGTAAGATGAGAATGAGATATATGGAAAAATAAGGAAATTATACAAAGAGTAATAGACATTACTGGCACTGTAATTTGAAATCTAGTAGCCGTCTCTGTTTTCTCTAAGGCTGGTGAGTAATCAGCTCCAAGACTTGGTTTTGTCTCCATGGCAAGTGGCTGAACATGCAGTGCCCTGGTCTCCTGTCTGCAGGTGGGCTAAGGACACTAGTGCTTACTTTGCAGGGTTATGGTGAAGTAATTCACGTGAAGCTCTTAGTTAACAAATGCTACTTGTTGAACATGTTTGTTTTTATCATTTTTTTCCCCTAAAGCAGTATTTTGAAAACTGGAAAATATTTCCCATCTGTTTCTTTTGTTTAAGGTGATAAATGCTGTGGCATTCCATTGCCTTGCTTTTTAGCAGTGGCTGGCCAGGCTGACTTCTTGCTCTCTGGACAAGCTGCATAATTCTCTATTAGCCTGTAGCCTTGCTGTTTTCTAGAACCAAAGGACCTCTCCTCCTGCTATCCAGGCAGACCCTTGAAAGTGGAACATTATACATGATTCTAGAAAATCTCCTACAACAGACCTTTTTTTGTTTTTTGTTTTTTTAATATTTGTGTAGCATTGCACTGTACCCTCATCGTATAATGTTGCTTAAGAGCATGCCTTTTACATATCTTTCCCCTGCAGGTCCTTGGAAGGGCTAGTCTGCATATCTCGTATCTGCACTGAGTGGTCCTAAGGGGTTGTTTGTTTGTTTAAACTGCAAATGTGATCTGTTTTCAGAGATGTGACTGACTTGCTGGGCTTCATGTCCTGGAACATGGCACCTGCTTGAAATCCTCAACAGTCTTTGTCCTGTGTCATCCAGGTAGAAGCTTACATGCTACAAAAAAAGGACTAGAATGATATGGCATCAGACACAAAAGCCATATCTGGAATGTTTAGCTCTGTCTTTTTTATCTAAGCCGAATGTGTTTTCTACTCTTTTAAATGAACCTAACACTTAAAAACCCAGCAGTAAATCCTAGGGTGTTTTGGGGCTTGGGGGGGGATTTTAGTCAGAAATTCATTGTCAGCTTTTTGCAAATATTTGATAGTGTTATCTTAAATGTATGTACGAAGTTTGTAAAGGTGCGTTTGATGCATTTACGAGGTGCTGAGAGTGGATGCTCCCACCTGTCATTCCAGCCTCACATCCCCACCTTCCCGGCTCTGTCCTTTAGCCCAGATCCAGCTGCCCAGGAGCAGGAACGCTGTGCCCCCGGCAACATTCTAGATAGCCTGTGCCCGTGGAGGTCCCAGTGTCCACAGCAGTCTCCTCTTGGTGCCCCCACTGTGTGCGAGGCAGACTCTGAGACCATCCCCAAGACCCCCACCCCAAGATGTGCACACCCTGGGTGGTCTCCTTTCCTGGGTGGGGTCAGATGGGTATCCTCACATTAGGGCAAATTCAGTGACCTAGGTGAAGGGATTTGGTAGATGTAATTGACATCCCCGATCAATTCATGAGAATGGAGATTGTCCTGGGTGGGCCTGGTCTAATCAGGTGAGTCTTTAGGGGGGACATGCAGCAGTCTCAGACACCCTCCTGCTGGCCATGAAGAAATGAGCCACACTGTTGGGAGGGGAGTGGGCCACATGGCAAGGAAACAGTGACCCCAGCCCTGCAATAGCAAGGGACTGAATTCTGCTGACGGTACAGGCGAATGCTGAAGAGGACCCCAGGCCTGGGATGAGAGTGCAGCCCGCCTTGATCCCAGCCTCAGGAGAGCCTGACCCAGGCTGACGGCTCAGTATTGTTCTGAGCTTCTGGATTGTTGAAGTCTGCTGGGCTGTGGTGGAACGTAGTCTCCTGGGCTCTTCAGAGCCACTGGCCAGAGCGTCTCCCCATTTCCTTGCTGTGTACCATGCAGTTGCCTCCCTGGCCACTCCCCCTGGTATCTGGATGATGTCTGCCACAGACCTTTTCTATGGGGACCCCTTTGCCTTTCCAGGTGGGCCATTTGGGAAGGATTTGGACCGACCCCAGTGGGCTCTCCCTGGTGACACGAACCTTTTGCTGTGGCTGACTCTAAGGTTAAGGTGGTCCCAGCCCCACCCTTTGCAGCAGGAGACAGCCCATCTCTCTGGGTCTCTAGCATTCCTGGGTGAGGATCAGGCCACAGTCCATGAGCCTCCCTGCCTTGTTAGGAGCTTCTTGGCTGGTGAACCTCTCTCTGCCTTGGCCTGGACACAGGAGGGGGACCATTCACTCTGTCCCTGGAGAGGGGTCCTAGCGTGATCCTCGGCACAGATGCCTCAGAAGAGCTTCTCTTCACAAAGGCATCTTTAGCTGTCAGCACCTCGGTCTTCCAGGTCGGGACCCCCGACTTCCCTTGTAACTGAGAGGAGCCTCAGAGCACCAGGGAAGCCCCTTCTGAATCAGGACCGGGCCCTGCTGCATGATAGAGAAGAACCAAAGGGTCTTGGGTTGGTTTTTATTTTACACTTTACTTTGAAAAAACACACGTGATCAGCACCCTCACTTTGATGTGTTATATTGACTGTATCTTGATGCTTCCTTTGAAACTTAAAATTACACATTCTGTTACACCTGTTTAATTTTTTCTAAAGAAAAATGCAGGTTTTTTATGCTTAATAAAATGAAGTTAGTTGAGTAGATCAAATATCTTCACCTGGGGCTTTGAAAAAAAATTTAAGCAGAGTGGTTAGTCTGTTATCTGGGAACAGAGTTTGAAGGAAGGCCCTAAGTTACCTGGTCACCTTATTACTAAGAAGGAAAGTTACTGTCTGTATCAGGTAGTGCCTCAGTAACGCCGTGTAACAAACCACTTCCAAGCTCAGTGGCTTCAAACAATAACCATTTATTATGAATAGCTCACTAAACATCACTTTCACCTATCTTTGCTCCAAAACCTGCTCATTCCAGCAAAAGCCGAGACAACCAGATCATATGGAATGAACTGTGCGTATTTCAGCTCCCTGCAAAGGAGATGTGGCTTCATGCAGGGTCCCCAGAATGGAAGCCTTGCGTTTTTCTCCACATCAGAACTAAGCCTACGATTTTATCCTGAGCTTCTGAAGCTTTAAGAGTGACTTGATCTTCTTGATCTTAAAAAGAATTAAAATGCCAACTAAGTTGGCGTGTGTCACTCTCCATCTCGCCCCAGTTCTAAATTAAGGCTGCCCTAGTTAAAGCTGCTTATATCTTCACTGTGCCTGAGTGTTAGAAGAGCTTAATTACAATCCCTGCAATTGGTTTGGGAGTGTGCGTGCGCCTTTGCATGGATGTGTGCGTGCTTGCGGGCAGGCACAGACACACGCGTACTCAGGTCTAGGTGCAAGGACTAAATTCATCTGGATACGGTGCTTTGTGATGAAGTGGGAGTGGCGTGGGAGCTGGCAGACCTGTGTGTTGAGCCCTGACTGTCCCACATCTGATTATTTTGACCTTCAGCAAATGACTTAATGTCCAAGAGCTTGGGTGTCCCTATTTGTAAAATAGAGACACTGACCTTAAGCTCTCTGTTTTTCTGGGAGAACGAAGAGCATAGACCAGCACCTGGCACACAGTGAGCATCATCCCCACGCCCTGAGTCCATTCTGCAAATCTCACATTTAAACACGCTAAAGTCAACCTCTGCCTTTCAGACCACAGAGCTGCTTCCAGATCCTGGCCATCCTGGACACCTGGAGAACTACCAGTCGGGATCTGCAGGAAAACGTGGGCATTCCCATAAACGTCATTCGTTTTGCAGAAATCTGACCAATGTCACTGGAAGTTGATGGGCGTGCTTCAGGGGGCTGAAATCCTGTTTCAAATCTGTGTTGTGTCTGGGAAGGTCTTGGCATCTGCCGGGGTGACCCACAAAAGGCCCAGCCTCACTGGGCTTGAGGAGGCCCTGGAAGCAGAACATGAGCAGGAGAGCAGAGCTGGGTGGGAACCAGAACTCCCGCTTGCCTGCGCCTGGGTCCCAGGGAGAGTGGCACCTGTAAGTGGAAAACTAAAGCCCTTACTTAGCAGACTATGAGACGTGCTGTGCCCACTCTAGGGGGCGGAATGACCAGGAGGAACGGTTCTTCTCCCACCTGTACTCTGGGCCATGTACCCCAGCGGGGCCTCACCACCCCCTTTATCACTCTTCTCCAAAGGATATCTTGCGCCCTCCTGTGTGTCTATGTGAGGTTTCTCTCTGCATGCAGATTTAGAGCAGCTTTTTCTATTTCAGAATACTTTTTAGGTATTAATCATGCTTGAAATCTCATGGACTCAGTCGCGATTTGGGAATTTTATTATATTTTATTTTGGGGGGAAGGGAGCTAATTTCCTGTGGGAATTTTATGGCACTGTTATAAGCAAACACTCCCATAGGATGGATATGGGATATATCCTCTGTGCATTTTCATTTCCCATCGCAAGTTAGGTGGACAGCATCTCCCAAGCCTTCAGGATTTCCGCAGGAGCCTACTAGGCCCTCCTCTTGTCAATGAGCCTGGAGTGACTCCTTGCACTGCATGTGGTGGGAAAAATATCCCCGGATAAGCTGGGGCATGTCATAAAGTGTGTGGAAGGGATTTTTATAATATTGGAAAACATATAATGCACTCTGAACAGCTTTAAATGTGTGAGAAGAGAAAAAGAGATGTGTCTGTAAGAGGGGAAATGAAGTTAGCTCCAAAAACAAAGCCAGAAGTATAAAAAAGCAATTAAAAAGTCTCTCACATTTTTGCATTTTCTGTATCATGAGATCACTTGTGATTGAGCCATACTTTTTAAATAATGGGCAACATTTTCTCCATTGTCTTGCTTGAGCATTAACTACCATTTCTGTGTTACTCTTGTGAGGTTATTTTTGGTGTGATTTGATCCTAGTCAGAGCAAAAATAAAATGTCAGTTCTACAATGATGTACTCTATAATGTAGAAAGCACTTGCCATGTGTCATCGTTTCATCTTTATCGCATCCTCGAAGGTGTTTTTCCATTTATATGTGGGTGAGCTGGGCCTCAAAGAGGACAGGAGATTTGCTTAGGGATGTAAGGCTGAGAAACAGCAGACACGGTGTGAACTAAGGCTTCTGAGTGCTGGTCCAAAGTCCTCCCCTCCTCTCCTCCTCTCTTCCCCTTCTCTTCCTCCCTTCCTCCTTCCCTCACTTCCTTCCCTGAGTGGTGTCCTGGCCCCTTTTCTGGTTACTGTCTGTCTCATGAATATAGATGATCTGGATGGGTGTATAGAATGCATGGGACTGTTATGTTTGTGCTGCAGGATGAAAAGCACCCCTGTCATTTGCAGCTGCCCTTGGCAGAGAACGTTGGGCAGTGATGCTGACTGGGCTGGAACCTCATGTCCTGGTGCAGGTTCCCTGTAAGACACCATTAAGTTTCGTGCTTTTACTCAGCTCATTGGAGAAGGCTGTGAGGCAGAGAAGCCAAATAAGTGAATTTAATGGTGCTCAGAAAATACCAGTTCTACAGACACTTCATGACAACCGTCACAGATCAGCCTTAGAGAGTCGTGCATGGGAAGATGTCTTAATATTGCTGACAGGGTTGTCGCTTGGCATATGCCCTTGTCCTTGAATGAAGCATGAACTGTGCCTTGTATAGGAGGCGGGCCTCCAGGCTGACACTTGGGTTTGCTGGCCTTCTGGAGACCGGGCCCTTATGGTGCTGGCCTGGGCCGAGGGAGCCTGTTGCACACACAGCTTTTCCAGAAGACCTTGTTCTTCCCACCTCTTCTCAATCCTCGCCAAAGACCTAGCTCCAGGCTGACCCAATGTGAGCCTCTCCCCAGCCTGCAGTCCCTCACCCGCGGGCTTTCTGGCTTCTCACCTTGTTCTGCTCACCGGCCCCTCTAGGAAATTTGTTAGGACTCGGCCACATGCATGGCTACTTGGAAGAGGCAGAAGAGAGAGCTCCGCTGGAGGGAGAAACGAGGCAGAGTGTGAGAGCAAAGGAGGGGAAGTAGAATGGCCCAAGCAGTCCTACATGGTCTAAATTGGTGGGTGAAAGGAATGAGAAGGACCTGGGGACCTGCCTGAGTCCCAGGAGGCCACCATGGCCTTCACAGAGGCAGCCCATCAGGTCTGGGGCTGGAGACCCCGGGCTGCCACTCCTGCAGCACCCCCTGCTTCCCTCGCCATGGACACCCATTCTCAAAGCTTGCCTCCTGCTTTAGCCTGGCTTGACGTCCTGGGCCAGCTGCCTCCATTTCTCTGTCGGCTCCTGCCCTCCATGTAGGAGGCTGGGACACTCCCTCCTGGCTTCCTAGTGACTGTCGTCTGCCTTTCTACCCAAAGTTGTGGCTTCTGCACCTGGCCTCACACTTCACTGCCTGATATGCTGCCCTGGACAACCTACCTGGGCTTTCCTACAGCAGCCTGGTAGCAGATCCCTGAGAGTGGGGGCTCTTCCCCACCTGAGTCTAAAAGTATATGGGGGAAAACACAGTGACTCCTAGCCCACATCTGCCAGTAGTCTTCCTCTGCCAGCACTGAGCTGGAGACGCCTTACCTGCGTTACCCTGTTAGTCCTCACAGCAGAATTGAGCACCATTATTACTATTATTATTTTGAGATGGAGTCTTGCTCTGTCGCCCAGGCTGTAGTGCAGTGGTGCCATCTTGGCTCACTGCAACCTCCGCTTCACAGGTTCAAGCAATTCTTCTGCCTCAGCCTCCTGAGTAGCTGGGATTACAGATGTGCACCACCACGCCTGGCTAATTTTCGTATCTGTAATAGAGATGGGGTTTTGCCATGTTAGCCGGGCTGGTCTCAAACTCCTGACCTCGGGTGATCCACCCACCTTCACCTTCCAAAGTGCTGAGATTACAGGCATGAGCCACCACGCCCAGCCCAGAGTTGAGCGCTGTTATTATCATCTGTTTTCAACCTCTCAACAAGGTTAGTATAATTTACGTAAGTTTGCAAATTTATGCCACTTTCAAAAAGAATAGTTTGCTCTTCTACAACTAGCTTGTTGCAGAGTTAGATTCTGCAGTAACACCCGTGGTTCCCATTGCACACCCCACTGGCTCCTGCATAGCAGCGTTCCCCCAACTGTAGGATACATGACTCCCAGGGGGTTCCAGGAAGATGCAGATTCTGATTCTGATGTTGGGAGTGAGGCCTGGGCATCTGCCTCTCTCACAAGCTCCCAGTGATGCCCCTGCTGTTGGTCTGTGGCCCACGCTTTGGGTAGCGAGAGCTTAGATCCTCGGCCGTGGTTCTAGCTTCCCAATGCTTTGGATCACAGGAGGCCAGAGACACTGGCCCAACTGATGTCAGAATGATGGGAAGTCGAAATAGCAGCATCTACTTGAAACCCTTGCTTAGAAAGTACAGAGATTAAAGATGTGTAGGGAGAACCTGGTTAAGGAGCTCACTGTCTGATTCTGGCTCTGAGCAAACCAGAGCTTGCCCCCAGCCACCCCCTCATTTGGCAGTCCTGGGCCCCCAGTTGCCCGGCACTGGCCAAAGGCCCATGTACCATAGTGGTGACCTTTCAGAACTAGCTACTTGGGAGATTCAGGTTCTCTCTTTGATGTATTCCTCCCACATTCCAAAGGGAAAGGTATTCTCCGAAGATGGCCTTTGATGATACAAATGGTGGTGATGACTGTAAGCTACCTGGAACACTGATGCCTGTTAAAAGGAGGTCATCCACAAGTAGAAAATGAAAAAATGCATATGGAGACCTTGGCAACCTCAAAGGCAGGCTGTCGCGGTGCAAGACTTTTAGAAAGCCCTGTAGGAAGCTGGAATGCCACAGAGCTCACAGAACTAGACCCAAGTAAATAATACATGCCTTTAGGATGGGATCTATCAAGTGACTTTGTGAAGTGTGGTTTTCATAGTCATGTGGACATGGCAAGAAACAAAGGTTGAGCTGCTAACCCCTCCAGTGTGAAAAACACTGAAAAGAAAATATAACTTTTGGATCAATAGCGATCCTATCCTTTCTCTGAATGTTGGCAGGACATTTAAATAATGTGTGCACAGAAGACAGCGTTCTGATGTCCTTAAACTTGTGTTTCATCCACATAGGCTGTCCACAGAGTGTGTCCTCTTGTTACGCTGTTACTGCTTTAGAGACTTCCATGGCACCATCCCACCGAGGTGGAAGAGGTTCCGTTTTGAAGCACTGTCATCCTCAGATAATGTTTGCTTTCATGAAAAATGATGTGTTTATCTCTGTAGTCGGAAGCTTTCTCTTTTGAAATATCTCAGATAATTTGAGGTGACTAGGTGGTATTTCAGGGTGAGTTTCATCCTCAAATATGTGTCCTTAGAGGCCAAGTTAAAGGAAAAAAAACACTGCCCGATCATAAAATTCACATTTGAGTCAAAAGAATTAAATTTGCCCCCTACCTGTGCTTCCAGCCATGTGTCTCCAGACTCCTTGATGGATGATTTGTGGAGTCACCGACCTGCTGCTGTAAAAACCATAAACCTCAATAAAGTGATGTGGAAATGTAGTGTACAGCTGCAGACTTTTAAAAGTAAGAAGAGGAAGGAACACATGTTCGTCTTCCTCCCCCAGAAGAAAAACAACATTGGATTCTAAAAGATGGCCTCCTCCTTTTTGCTCCCACTGAATGCCACAGCTGTTAATGGACAGTCTTAGAGGAGATGATGGGGTCATCAGTCTGTTTCTGGAGCATTCCGAGGCTTTAGATAGGGAGCAGCATGATTCTAGCAGTGCTGCGTGTTCTTGGGCAGCGTGTCCTTCTAGTAGGAGTCCAAAAACATCCTGGCCAAAATGAAATGATTTCCAGCAATATCTGCAGTGAAAGCAAATTGACCCAAGGATAATCTGTCTCCCAGCAGAGAGAGGCGGCAGGGTGGGGTCCGCTGGCTCAGCGAGGCACCCTGGACTCTCTGCCCACTGAGTGAGTGCTCTCGTGCCCTGGCACGATAAAACATGGGTTCTTTGTTACAGCTTGGTGACGTGTGTGACATGCAGGGACCCTGCCAGGGCCCAGGGTGGACCCCCAGAGTGAGAGCTGTGGCTCCTGCTGCCTGGAAGCCTGCCCTCGAGCCAGGAGGAAGGGGATGGGGGCATGAGAACCATAGCATTTGGTGAGCAGCCCCCGCAGATGTCCCAGGGTCATGGTGGTGTGGGCTGGGGGTGGGGTGGGGGGTGGTCCTGGGCAGCGAAACTTCATTTGGAAGGACTATATTCTAAACACTTCCAAACCAAAAGTCTGGATTTAGAGTAAAGTTAAGCTGCCTCTTAACACAGTGGTTCTCCTTCGTTTCATCTGCTGACCACACTGTGCCACCTGCAGGCTGGTCCGCTTGCTGGCTGTTCCTGCACTCTACAAAACTAGAAGTTGCTATTCCTTAACCCTGGGGCCTGCCTTGGGCTCAGGACCAGCCCAGTCCTGGAGGCAGCCAAGGGTCCACAAAGGTCACATGGGCACTGGGTGGCACCAGTTCCAACTCAAGATTAAGTCACATGCTTGATGTTCCTTTAATACAAAGTCTGTTAAGTACGGAGACAGATGTGTGACTGTCCTACTTGTGGAATCAGTCTTACGGCTTAATAATCACACTTTGGCCGTGCGCACTGTGTGATTATAGAATCACATCTATAATCTCAGCACTTTGGGAGGCAAATGCAGGAGGACTGCTTGACCCCAGGAGTTTGAGACCAGCCTGGGCAACATAGTGAGACCCCATATCTAAAAAAAAAAAAAAAAATAGGTAGCCTCCCAGCTACTCAGGAGGCCAAGGCAAGAGGATCACTTTAGGCCAGGAGTTCAAGGCTCCAGTGAGATATGACCGCACCACTGCACGCTAGCTTAGGTGACAGAGCAAGACTCCATCTTTTTTTTTTTTTTTTTTTTAAAGAAATCACACTTTGTGATAACAATGTCATGGGGAGAGGTTGTCTGGCTCTGGTCTGAGGTAGGAGGAAGGCACAATTCCTGGTGCTCAGAGATCTGCTCTTTGGGCTGGAACCCTGATGGGCCTCCTTTAGTAGGAAATGGAGATGGAGAGAAAGCGCTGCATCTTTCTCCTTAGAGAACTCTGGGGTTGTGCTGGCCTCAGAGACAGTGGAGGGGGTGAGGGTCCTCTGAGGGCGGGAGCGGCCATATGCAGGAGGCTGCGCTGAGGATGCAGGGTGGCTGGTGGCCCTGCTGGGGGGCGGCCTGGCCCTCTGGAGACAGAGCTTCCCATGCCAGTGGCTGTTTGTGCTGTGTGGAGTGTGATTTTCACACTGACCCCCCACCACCCCCAATGTAGGCAGAGTGTGGTCCCCTGCCTGGTGGTCATGTTACTTTGGAGGATAAAGAGTAGGAACCCTGGTCCATGCAGGGTGATGGGCAGTGAGAGATGGGAGCAGGGCTGGGGACAGCCGATGCAGCCTCAGAGCTGCAGAGGCAGCTGCCGGGCTGTTAAAGTCACCCGGAGGGATGCACCCCGCCGTGCATGCGGTGGACGGCTCCTGCAATTGCCTTCAGAGGGTAAGAGCGATTGGGAGGGGCAGCGAAGCAGCCGACTTCTGGAGTATGTATTATTCCTCCCTCTGAGAAATACGTGACTATACATTCAAGATTGCGGCTGAAACTTCGGTGGTAGTATTCGGCCTGGATGACCTGTGGCATTAAACTGATGCTTATAAAGTAGATGTGCTAGTTACTAGGATTTGGTGATCTGAGTTTATTTCCAAACAGGTCAGGCCCAGATACAAGCGACCGCGTAGTTGGGAGAAGAGCAATGCTGGAACAGTGGGTCCCTGTCTTCCACATTTTCCTAAAGTGGGAGGGAGGCGGAGGAGTGGGATAGCTTTTGATTGAGGGCATTGACATTTGTCTAAGGAATTAAACAACTGGGCAGCTAGATGACCTCAGTAACCAGTCTCGTCTCAGCCCCAGCCTTTTGATGCTCATCATCTTGTCTGGTTTTATAAACAGGGAGATGAATCCACCTTCATCGGACTTGGCAGGACAGAGGCATGTTCATCTGTGTAATCAGGTTTAATAGCAGTGGCGCTTGTGAAATAGTTTGCAGTCCTGGTGCCCAGGGTGGAAGCCTTCTTTGCTCCTTTGTGTTCCTGGGGTGTGATGGCATGCCTGGCCCTGCGCCTTCCGTCCTCCAGGCTCCCAAGCTGAGGGTCAGGGGCCCTGTCCTGGGCAGGGGCCGTGGAAGGAGCCCTTGGTCAGGAGCTTGGAGTAGCAATGTCGGGTTTTCTGAATGAGAAGCAAAACAACACTCGGGAAATGAGCCTCGTTTGGCTGGAAATAGTGTGCCAGTGTTTTCTTGCTTCGGGTTAGATACCAGTTAATTTACCCATTGTTTTTCATTAACTAATACATCAAATTTCTGAGCACCTACTGTGTGTCAGGGCTAAGGGATAAGCCAGCGACCAATAGACAAGGTCCCTGCCCCTCACAGCAACCATCTAGTGATGGGCTCAAGTCACAGGGCTTCTGTCTGAATAAACTTGTGTATCTCCACAAAGAGATGTTTTTGTTGCTGCAATGGATTTTTCATCTTGAAACCCCAGTCACTTTGATGTATTTCTGGTCCCCAACTACTGTCAAACATTTACTTTTTAACTCCTCATGACCACTTTGAAGAACCAGAAAGGGAAGATAAAGAAAATAACATTGCAATGAGCAGATCTTTGGACTAGAGCATTTTAAGGAGAAAGGGCTTAATTTTGAAGAAAGTCAAAATAGAATTAAGCATTTACACTTAGCTTATGATCCCAATTTTTTTCATATTCTTTGCATTAACCGTAACATTTTTCAGTGTGCCTGGCAAGAATTTGGTTTAAACATGTGGATTTGATTTAAATATAAATTGTACTTACAAACGGTACTCCAGTTGCCCATTACCATGGATGTTTTGGAAGTGATTATGTACTGAATCTTACCATGAAGCAGTAGTCCATGTATCTGAATTACATTTAGGCCTTTTAAAACATATCACATTATGTATATAGTTAGAAGGAGGGATGAGATGGGTATTTTTGAATTGAGTTTAATGGCTTACTTCAATAGGTGAATAAGGTTCTGCTCTGGGAATTAAAGGGACTTTTAAGTTTCTCTCTTGACTCTGATGTGCCTTTCACTGAACAGTAAAGGACCGGGGAGACTTGCCCAGCTCTCCTACTTGACAAAAGGTGAAATAGAATGATGCCATGAAATGCATCAATGTAAAATGCAGTTTTAAGATTGCATTTTAACTTGAGAGGGTCGTGAAGCTCTTGCCTTCCCATTAAGCCCCCAGGAATAATCTCCAGGTGTGTCTTCTGGCACTCCACGCTGCCTGCCTTCTGATGCTTCCTATGAATTGTTGGAACCAGCCATATCCTTCTCACTTCTGCCACAAAAACTCCTGGTGGTTTTGTACTTTGCCACCTTGTTTAGGTTTCATAGGCGATTGGTTCAAGGCAGTGCCTATCTGCACTTCCCTGTAACTCTCACTTTTTTTCTTTAATGTGGCCTGCATATGAATATATCAACACTTTTTAAATTAAAGGCTAATGAGCTCACTGCACAGCCTGAGTACGTTTGGTATTTGGCCTTCTTGGAGATGCTCTGCATGTGTCAAATGTTATTTTCAGAAAACTGGCTAAACTTTTAATGGGACCTGTTGTTAAATCACCCTGTGTTTCCCCCATAAACACGAATGTTAATTTACATTTTTAACCTAACTGAATGAGTTGTTTTTCTTAAATTCCTTTGCAGTTTGAAGGAACATACCTTGCAACAGGAAAGCTTTAAGAAAGAGGACGAAAAGGCTTTATAATCTTTCTTGAAGAGACCCTGTTGCTAAAAAGAAAAAAAAAAAGAAAGTCAAAATAAACACATAGAAGAGAGAGAGGCTGCATTTGTCTGGTGTGCCCTGTACTTTCTTATACTCATGTTTGATATTTGCTATCTATTGTGGGACATCTTTTTGTATGCTTTGCTGAGGTAGAATTCACATACTGTGAAAGTTACTCACTTTTGGTGAAGAGTTCGATGAATTTTGGTAACGACATACAGTTGCATAATCTACACCACAGTCACAGAACAGTCTTATCTCCCTGAAAAGTTGGCTCATGTTCCTTGATACCCAGTCCCCAGTCCCGACCCCAGGCTCCAGGCCACCTCGGACCTGCTGTCACTCTACTTTTTTCTCTTCTGGAATATAGTACAGTAGAAACATGCATTATGTCATCCTTGCAGTTTTGCTTCTTTCATTTAGGGTTATGTTTTTGAGACTCATCCATATAATGGTGTGTTTCCATGGTTCATTCTGTTGTACTGCTGAGTAGTGTTCTATGGTGTGGATGTACCCTACTCTGTTCATCCACTCATCCATTGACGGAACTGTTCATTGTTTCCAGTTTGGGGCTATTAGAAATAATATTTCTGTGAATATTCACATAGAAGTCTTTGTGTGGGCATATATTTTCATTTTTCTTTGTTAAATACCTGAGAGTTGACTGGCCGGGTTATATGTGTTTAATTTAATGGGTAACGCTATACTGGTTTTCAAAGTGGCTTTAACATTTTGTATTCCAGCCAGCAATGAATGGGGGTTCTGATTGAGCCACATTCTCATCAACACTTGATATTATCAGTCCTTTTACCTTTAGTCATTCTGGTGGTTGTGTAGTGCATCTTACTGTTGTTTGAATATGCATTTCCCTCATGACTAGTGATGTTGAGCATCTCTTTATGTCCCTCTTGCTTATCTGTGTCTTTACTTTTGTGATATGTTGTTTTAAATCTTTTGCACATTTTTTATTGGGTTGTCTATTGATTTGTAAGAAAACTATATATGTTTTGAATACAAACTTTTTGTTAGATATATATTTTCCGCAAATATTTTCTCCTAGTCTGTGGTTTGTTTTTTGTTTTTCTTAGCTGTTTTCAAAGATGAAGAGCTTTTTATTTGTATGAGGTCCATTTCATAATTTTTCTTATATAAATTGTGGATTTCATGTCCTGTTTAAGAAATCTTTGCCCAACCTAATGTCACAAAGATTTTCTCCCATGTTTTCTTCTATAAGTTTAACAGTTTCAGCTTTTATGTTTAGTTCTATGATCCTATCAAGTTAATTTGTGGATATGGTATGAGTTAAGAGTCAAGTTCACTTTTTGAAATAAAGATACAATTGTTTCAGCTCCATTTGGTGAAAAGGCCATCTTTTCCCCCATTGAATTACCCTAGTACCTTCATTAAACAATAAAGGACCGTATAACATTGAGTGTCTTTTTGGAGTCTCTATTCTGTTCCATTGATCTGTAGGTCTATCTGTATACCAATATCATTGTCTCTTGATTACTGTAGATTAATAGGAACTCTTGAATCAGGTTAAGTTCTCCAACCTTATCCCTTTTCAAGACTATTTTGGCTTTAGGTCTTTTCCTTTACATAGAAATTTTCAATTTAGTTTGTCACCTATTCGAAGAAGTATGCTAGGATTTTAATTGCAGCTGCACTGAATTGAAAGATTAATTTAGGAAGAATTTCCATCTTAATAATAGTGAATCTCGCAATTCATTAACATGGTATATCTCTCCATACACTAAGGTCTTTGATTTTCCTTTTATAATTTTCAGTGTACAGGCCATACACACCTTTCATTAAATTTATTCCTAAGAATTGTTTATGCTCTTGTAAATGAAAGTATTTTAAAATTTTCATTTTAAGTCACTGCTGGTTTAAAGAAATACAGTTGATTTGTGTACATAAACCCTGTATTCTGTGACTTTGCTAAACTCCTTTATTTGTTCTAGTAGCTCGTTTGTGTATTCTCTAGACTTTTCTTGGCATAAAGTCATATCTTTTGAACAGAGACGCTGTTTTACATCTTTTTTTCCCAGCCTGTATGCCTTTAATGTCTTTTTTTTTTTACTTTACTGCACTGTTCAGAACCTTCAGTACAAACTTGAATAAAAGCATTTAAAAAAATAGGACATGCTTACTCTGTTCCTCATGTAAGATAAAAAGCAAGAGCTTTTTATGACTGAGTAGTAATATGAGCTGTATGTTTTTTGTAGGTACTTTTAATCAGATTGAGGAAGTCTCCTTCTGTTCCTACTTTGCTGGTAGTTTTTACAATAAGTAAATGTTGAAATTTGTCAAATACTTTTTCTGCATCTATTGAAATGATTATATGTTTTTTTCAAATATTCTGTAATTATAATAAATTGTATTGATTAAGTTTTCAGATATTAAACCAACCTTACATGTTTGGGATAAATCCCATTTGGCCATGATGTATTATTCCTTTTATATATTGTTAGATTCTGTTTGCTAAAATTTTGCTAAGGACTTTTGCATCTGGCTTCATTAGAGATATTGGTCTGTTGTCTTCTCTTTCTTATGATATGTTTATCTGGTTTGGTATCAGAGTAGTATTGGTTCATAAAATGAATAGAGAAATTGTCCTGTTTCCTCTATTTTCTGAAATAATTTGCATAAGGTGGTATTATTTCCTTTTTAAATACAGTCATGCATTGCTTACAGAAGGGGGTAGGTGTACTTACATAAACCTAGATGGTATAGCTGACTGCACACCTAGGGTATATGGCAGCAGTCCCCAACCTTTTTGACACCAGGGACCGGTTTCATGGAAGACAAGTTTTTCCATGGACTGAGGGTGTGCAGGAGGATAGTTTCAGGATGAAACTGTTCTACCTCAGATAATCGTCATCAGGCATTAGTTAGATTCTCATAAGGAGCATGCAACCTAGATCCCTCACCTGCACAGTTCATAATGGGGCTCACACACCTGTGAGAATCTAATGCTGCTGCTGATCTGACAGGAGGCAGAGCTCAGGAGATAATGCTCCCTCACCCACCGCTCACCTCCTGCTGTGCGGCCCAGTTCCTAACAGTCCATGAACCGGTACTCGTCTGCAGCCCAGAGGTTGGGGACCCCTGCCGTACAGTATAGCCTGCTGCTCCAACCACCATTATAAATGTGGTCCATCATTGACCAATACATTGTTATGAGGCACATAACTGTATTTAATAGGATTCATCAGAGAAACCACCTGGGCCTGGAATTTGTGTGTGTGTGTATGTGTGTGTGTGAGAAAGAAAGAGAAAAAGGGAGATATTTAATTATTATTTAGATTATTTAACTGATACGGGGCTCTTCAGTTTTTCTGTTCTTTCTTATATTCATTATCATAATTTATATCTTTCAAGAAATTTGTCCATTTTCATCTAACTTGTTAAATCTATTGGCACAAAATTATTTATAATATTGTTTATTAGCCTTTTAATATTTGTAGGATCTGTAGTGGTATTTCCTCTTTTGTTCTTGATCTTGGTAATTTATGTCTTCCCTGTTTTCTTCTTGCCAGTCTAGCTAGAGAACTTATCAGATTTGTTGATCTTGTCAAATACCCAGCTTTTCTCTTCATTCATTTTTCTCTATTACTTTTCTACTTTTTATTGAATTGTGTTCTTATCTTTATTATCTCTTTCCATTTACTTACTTTGGAGTTTGTTTTTCTTTTTCTGATTTCTTAAGGTGAGAATTTAGAGAATTGATTTTATGTCTTCTTTTATAACACAAGCACTTGAAGGTGTAGACATTCCTGTAAGCACCAATTTAGCTGTATCTCACAAATTTTTAATTGTTTTATTTTTACTGTGATTCAATTCAAAATATTTTCCAGGTTACCCCATATTTTTTTCACCCATTTTAAAGAATGGGATAGTAGAGTATAAATGAGAGAAAAAAATGCAGCTTTCCATTCACATATTTCTTGGATGTGAAGAGTCTCATTTAAAATTTTGATGTCTATGATTTTTTTTTTTTTTGAGACAAGGTCTCAGTCTTGCCCAGGCTGGAGTGCAGTGGCACAATCTCAGCTCACTGCAACTTCCGCCTCCTGGGTTCAAGCGATTCTCCCACCTCAGCCTCCCCATTAGCTGGGACTACAGGTGTATGCCAGTATTCCAAGATAATTTTTGTATTCTGGAGTACAGACAGGGTTTCACCACGTTGACTGAGTTGGTCTCGAACTCCTGACCTCAAGTGATCTGCCCACCTTGGCCTCCCAAAGTGCTGGGATGACAGGCATGAGCCACTGTGCCTGGCCTTATGACTCTTACTGGGAATAAGCCTTCCTCAGGGAAGTCAGGCTCTGGTTAGGGCTTATGGCTCTAGAGTTTATCTGCTTAATGATGTCTTTGAAGAAATGATGAGTAATCTTTCTCTTATTTGTCCCTAGGAGGGAAATTAGGGTTAGTGTTTTTGTACCTCCTTGGCTCTTAATGAGAAATTCAGTTTCCTTTGGTGTAACTTTTGATTTTGGCTTTAATTCCCCTCCCCTCGTTACAAAGAAAAAACAGAGAAGTAGTTTCTGCCAAGTACTCTTTTTCTCAGAGTAGAGTGATTGCTTTTATAGGCTTGTTTGAGTGATAAAAGCTTGTTAGGAAATCATCTTTATGCCTTCCCTGCAATGCTTTATTTCGAGACCTCTGGGGAGACATGGGGTCCAGGAAATGGGTGGGGAGCATGTGACTGTGTGAGCGCAAGGACCCACGTCAGGGAGCAACTGTGTGCTTGTTTGAACACCAGCTAGCTGAAGGAAGAGGTTATTCAGGTAATTGCTCAGTCCCTAAACGTAGCTCAATTTCCTTTTGTTATATTTGCATAGAAAAAGAGCTGTTCAAGGGAGGAACCAGAGCACGAAAAAGCTAGTATTTCTCTTTTGCCAATAGGAAAAACAGATGCAAGCTCTTCTTGACTTAGTATCCTTCACTACAGAAAGCCCTTTTATGTTTTTGTGGATAAACATAGATTATTTTCCACCCCCTTTCCTCCTCTTTCAAGGTGGCTATCTGACTCCATGCACCTATTTAGTATTTATCACTGTTGTGATATTTGTGCTTTCTTATTTGCCCAAATGGGAGAAGCAAATGAAGTAGGTATCATGATCACTGTGTCTTGGTGGGAGGAAAGACATGACATCTGAAATTAATGGGACTAATGTAAGGATTGATATTTTCATATTTGCTCAATTGCATCCTGGGTTAAGCACATTCAACAGGTAAAGAATTCACTGTCTAATTATAATTCTTCTTTCAAAAAAGAAACCCATAGTGCATAAAAAAGAAGTGTAACCAATGTCAACACTGGAAGGGAGAAACAGGTGCTGGCAGACAAATGTCCTGACATGGGGCCACATTGCTATGCCTTGGGCTGGCTATGGCCACCTGGGTCCTTGAAGACCACTGTCAGCCCACAGGCAAAGTCCTGTAGGCCCTGACACCCCCAGGGTTGGGGCCGATGGAGCCAGGGTCACCCGCATGCCAAAGCTCCTTCTGGCCCAAGAACAGGGAAATGAGGAAAGTCCACAGTCAGAAGTTACGCAGCCAGATGCCAGGGAGGTTGAGTAAAACAGAATATTTTGTTTGGTTTGTTTTCATGCCAAATCTTCCCAATTTATCTGTGTTTGTCTTTTTTAAAAAATACAAGTTTTAAAAAAACTAGCAAAAGATATGGGCCAAGAAATTGAGATCCCCGTAATTCTTTGTTTAGTCTGTAAGGCAGAGTACATTTGCATCTGAAATTAAATGGCCATTGAATAAACACAGGGACTCAATATTTGTAAGGGCACTAATGTTTGCAGATGTCTGCAGTTGTTAAGGGCAAGCCAAGGAAACAGGAAATGCTGGGACTCATATTTTTTTTCTGGAAGAAATGGGCATTCCAAATGCATCCTATATAACCTTTTTTTCTTCTTCTTCTTCAGGTACATCCATAATAGTTTCTGAAAGGTATTCAATCCTGGTGGAGAGCTGGAGATGTGTTTATGCTGGGGGTTGTTAAATATATTTACAGCCTTTTCAGAGAGTTCCGTGGGGGTTCGTCAGTGGTTATTTATTAGTCTGCTTCAACATCTGCTGGCTGGAAAATAATCTGTCCAAGGCAATTCACAGGAACATTATAAATTGCTTCCGATTATAATGAGCAGTAGGAAAGGTAATTTGAGGGAAATTCCACGCATGTTAGTTACAGCGTGTCAGAAGCAAGATCTGGTGTGAAATGCCCAGAGAATCAGTGTCTGCTGATAACAGTTATAAGATGGAAGGTTCTGGGTGTCTCGACCGTGTTTTTCTTCCTGTCTCACTTCTGGGCTTGCTGGGCAACTTGCCTGCTTGCTGGGGTTCTTTGGAGCCTGTGGGCACCTTCATGTGGGCACTGAGCAGAGCCAGCCCTGCCCCTTCCTGCAGGCACTGCCAGCGGTCCCTGAGTGGAGGTGGAGGTGGAAACCTTGAGTGTTGAGGCCCCTGGGGGCTGCTGCATTCTAGTTTCCAAGACAGAGTCTGCAGAGCTGTGGCAACCCTCAGAGGCCCACACACACCTCCAAAGCCAGCCCGACCCCGCAAGGCACTCTCACCGGGGTATAAATTGGTGCTGCCATTTTGGAAGACATTGGAGGAAAACGCAACAAAATGTAAAATGTGCAGACCAATCTCCTCAGCAGTTTAGACCAATGACAACAATAACTATTCAAGGACACTCATTGCAGCAGTGAAATGCGTGGTCCACTTTAAGTTGCTTATTATAATACTGAAAACTTGGACTGACATTAACCAGTGCCAACAATAGGGACTTGGTTAAAGAAATTACAGAAGGAAATTCACTCTATACTGTTCAGTGGAAAACAATCAGTGAGAAGCATTTGCTCATATATGCAAAAGGGTGTGCACACTTGGGTGTGTGTACCGAGATTACTGGAAGAACAGTGTGAAGAGTGGTCTCCTCAGGTGGTGGGAGTCCCAGCTTCCTTTGTGAGACATGAGCATGTGGAGACTAGAACTGGTCTTTCTCATAGAAAGACTGTTGGTTCTGGTGTTCTGCACTCTGCACGTTTCTACTAATAATTAAAATACTTACTGCCTCTGAGATGCCTCCGGACACCCTTCTGAATCACAGTGTTCAGAAATGCTCTCTAAATCAGGAAGGTGTGGATGACCTTTGGACCTTCCCTGGTGTGAGGAGTTTAGCACACTGAGAGTAATATATGAAAAAGACCGCCAGGCGTGGTGGCTCACACTTGTGATCCCAGCACTTTGGGAGACCAAGCCAGGAGGATAGCTTAAAGCCAGGAGGATAGCTTAAGGCCAGAAGTTCGAGACCAGCCTGGACAACATAGTGAGATGTTGTCTCTACAAATATAGCCCAAAAAAATTAGTGGGGTGTGGTGGTACATGTCTATGGTCCCAGCTACTGGGGAGGCTGGGGTGGGAGGATCCCTTGAGCCCAGGAGTTGAAGGTTGCAGTGAGCTGTGATCATGCCACCGCACTCCAGCCCTGGCAACAGAGTAAGACCCTGATTCTAAAAAAGGAAAAAGGTCACTCTCTACTCAAGTTCTACTTATATAACAGCAATGCAGCTCTCTTCATAAAGCTGGCTGTTGTGTAGTTTATGTTGGGGAATCAGTTCATGGTTTAAAAAGTTCTGTCAATGCAGAGAACAAGCCGGTGTGTTTTATGGAGAGGCTGTTTAATCTCCACTGTGAGACAGTAAATATTTGGCTGTTGCATCATCGTGAAGCTTATGATCACAGTCTGGCGCCATCTCCCTCCTTGCCTGGAGTCTGATCTGTCCCGGCCCAGTGTCCTCCAGGACCCTGGCCCCTCATGCCTCCGTGCTTGCGCGTGTGCCATTTCCTCTCTCCAGAGGACCTTTCCTGCCTAGGACTCATGATTGTCCCCTCCCTGGTAAGCCATCCCCGACCTTCCAGGCAGAACCTGCTGGCTTCTCCTCAGCACTTTGCATGGATTTCTGTCACAGTCCTGGGTGCACTGTGTCGCCCTCTCTATGTGTCAGCCTCCCGTCCCCTACCGTGGGCTCCTCCAGGGAGGTGTGGACATTCATCCTCTTCCAGGCAGCCCTCAGGAATCCAGGGAGAAGATAAGGAGGCGGGGCGGGCGGAGGTGGGTGCTCCACACACTCAGAACACTTTCCTCTGCACTTACTTCATTCTGGTTTTTCTTTTGGGTCCTTGGTGTTTTTAAATAAACCCTTTCCTGTAGTTTGCTCCCCTTCCATGGAGGGCTGTTTCGAGCACAGATCTGCTGGGTGTCTGTATTTACAAAGAGAAGGGGCCACTCGTGTGTGAGCAGCACCGAGGGACAGAGGTACCTTGCCTGCTTGTGTCCCCTCCAAGTCCTTCTGATATTTTCCTTTCCAGCTGTTGCCTAGTTTCCTGGTATTAAGGAGAATCAACTCTCTGGATAAACGTGGTAAATATGGCCCATAGTCCCATCTTTTTACAGGCATTTTTTACACCTGGAGCAGCCAGAGGACGCATGCATGGCTCTTCGGAAGGTAATTTAGGGATCACCCATGTAAGTTTCCTAAGGATTTCTTTAACATGGTTCTTCTGATTCAGTCCGGCCAATTAAATCTAAATCCACCCCTGAAAGCCATCTGGTGTGGATAACAAGCCCACAAATGAGCAGTCAGCTTTTTGTGCCCTTTAGGGCCTGGGACAACCACGGGATCTAAAAGGGGCTGGAACTAGAGGTCTTGAGCTCCTGTTCCTAAAATCATCTTCATCCTATATCTGCAGCCTTCTCCTGCCACGGCATGCACCCACACATGCGAGCCTCCCGGGTACTGTCATCCTGAATTCTGAGACCATCCAGCACTTCCTTTAGTTTTGCCCTGGTGCTGTTGACTTTTGTTTACTGAAGAGTGTGCTGGAGGCAGGACAAGGGACATGGAAGGCTGCAATTTAAGAGTCTAAAAGGTTTTAGAATCCTGAAGGAGGTTTAACAAGCTGAATTGAAGAATAATACCTTTCTCAACTGGAGAGAATTTACATGATTGCATTATTGTTAAAATTAACATCTCATCTATTAAAAGCATTTGTAGATTATCTTTGTACCTTCACTTTCTTTGTCTGCCTTACATTAGGTCTCAGAGGTAGATTGGTGGAGTCACCTGGAGTTTGTTGGTGACTTGGGGTTTGGCTGGCCTGTGGAGTCAGCCAGACTCTAGCTCTGATCCAGATTCTGCCCTTTATCTCCTCTGTGCCCTTGGGAAAGTCAGTGAAACTTTCTGAGCCACAGTTTCTCCAATAAGGAAAAACGACCGCCAACGGGGCTACCTGTTGAGCCCTACCTCCAACAGGGCTGCTGGGAGGATTAGCCAAAGAGATGTCTGTGAGGGAAACCAGCACAGACTCTGGCATGGAGTATGTACCCGGGGATACCAGGACGAGGCCTGCCCCGAACGTGCAGGCCCACATACGTGCATACGTGTGGACGTGCACATGCATGCACACAGTGTGCACACAGGGTGAGGCACCGTGAAGCTGAGGCCGCACTTCTGGGCTTTCAGCCTTGGCATTGTGGTTTCCATCGCTGGGCCTGCTATGAAGCCACGCTGCTTTTCAGAAATACCTTCAGAAATGAGATTGGGAAACTTTAGTGAAAAACGTGTTGATTGCCTGAGGCACTGCTCTGCCTCCGGGCTGTTTTCCTGGAGTGTGATTTCCCCGTCAGAGTGCTGCAGTGGGCCAGGGACTTGTCTAGGGTGCCATGGAGGCACAACTGTTGATTATGTTAATAGGATAAACAAACCTTCTTTGACACCATAAATAGCAGACGCTGTGCTTTCCTCCCCACCTCCTGGGCAGGGAAAATATTTGAAGCTGGAAGGAATTGAGCCCTGAGCTTAATACAGTTACAGACCCAGAAAGAAAACAAAGATGGGTACAAAGATGTGTTTTCAGGAGACAGAAAATTGTGAAATCAACCCATCAGTCGGCCCAGGACTGGCTCACCTTGAGTGGCTCCTGGTACAGTGACTGCTGTGGATGGCAGCCTGCATGGTGGATGGGAAAGCGGAGTTCGTGTGGGAGACAGAGCTCTCGCGAAGCTGTGCTGTTTTCTCTTAAGTAGGCTAGAATGGAGGACAACTTACAGGTAGACCTAACTGCAACCTGTTGACAGTGAAGCTAAAGTCCGAACACACCCGTCACCTTTCAGAGGACAGACAGAAGCCATCTTTATAATAGTGATTTTGCACAGACCAAGGAGAGGCTAGGTCCAACCGTTTCAGCTGCCGCCAGGAAAAAGGGTCCAACTCCCTGGAGCACATCAGAAGGTTAGACGTCATGGCAGGTGATGGTTTGTCTTTTTTTTTTTTTTTTTTTTTTAATGTGCTCCTTTTATTTTCCAAATTTTCTAAAATGAACAAGTATTACTTTTATAATTGAAAGTATTATTAGAGAAAACATACATTAAACTTTCTTAGAATGTAAACATCCACTGTGTGAAGTCAGTCCCAAAGTTTTAACGGCCACGCAATCTAGCCTTATCCAGTGGTGCTCCCCAGAAGGTCCTCAGCTGAGAGAGTGGGGTGGTGTTAGTGGCCTCCTCTTGATGGCCCAGCTGATTGCAGGGGATCTCTGGGATGCTGCTGATGGAGTACCTGGGAAGATGGCTCCAGGACTCTGAAGGGCTGCGTGTTTTTGATCTTGCTCCCCGAGCCCCAGCCTCTTTGACCACATCATTGAGCTGCGCACGTTCAGGGCAGACGCCTGGAACTGGAGAACTCTAGGGAAGCAAAGGGGACTCCTCGGGGACTCTGATCTTTATGTCCAAGTTATATATCAACGAATCCTTTTGGCAACACCAAAATGTATGGTGAGCCCTTAGTTAAAGTGTGGGAAAACATGAAAATGATCAAATATGAAGTTTGCAGATTAAGACCAATTCAATGGCCCTCCATTGACCAGCGAGAGAATCATCCTGTGTCATCTTGTCTTGTCCTGCTGGGATCCACTAATGGCTTTCTCCTTTATGGAGTCCTGTGCTGAGGCCAGCAGTAGCTCTGGTTACTCTTCCACACACACACCTTCTTCTAGCAGCCGGCCATGAGCAGTGCGGTTTCTTAGCTGCAAACAAGCTGCGGGAACTGAGGAGGGTGGGAAACTGGCGGGGCAGGAAAGAGACAGGAGATGTTATGGAGCCAAGCAAGCTAATTTATGACACCAAGCATACTCAGTGCCTGCTGTGCACAGGTCACAGTGGGGTGGAGCCTTCCAGGGGTGGAACATGTAACCACAGCTCAAAAGTCAGGGAAAGCCAATGGGGCAGGATGGAGGCTGGGAAGGACCCAACAGGTGAGAGTCAGTGGGCTTCATTTGGGAAGTCATAGTCACAGAGCTGTCCTCAATCCTAAGCCAAGAGGGAGTTTCTTAGCAGCAGCAGTGAAGGATAGGGTCGGGATGCAGTGTTCATAACTGTGGGATCACAGGCCCATTACCTTCCCCCTCTGGACCTAAGTTCCCTACCTGTGAAGTGAGAGCCTGAGGCTGTTCGGGATTAGGGCAGATGGTTTAGCCCCTGCTTGGTGGGGAGTGGGTGGTAAAAGTCAACAACAGTTGAGGCAGGGGACTGGGTTTATGTTCACAGATGGAGAGATGGGTGCATTCAGCCTGGACCCAATGGCTGTCACTCATCAAGTGGAAGGTCAAGGGGTAAGGGAGGGGAGTTCAGTGAAGCAGCTCTGCCGGGGAACCAGCAGGCCAACTCCACCACTAACTGCTGCTCGGGAGTAATTTGTCTAACTGAAGTGGCTCAACAATAAAAGATTGAAGATGGCCTCCCCTCCCCCCTCCCCTCTTGCTTGCCTGACAGAGTCTTGCCCTGTTGCCCAGGCTGGAGTGCAGTGGTGCAATCATAGCTCATAGCAGCCTCAAATTCCCAGGCTCAAGCGATTCTCCTGCCTCAGCCTCCTGAGTACCTGGGACTACAGGTGTGCACCACCATGCCTGGCTAATTTTTGCATTTTTTGTAGAGACAGGGTCTTGCTATGTTACCCAGCCTGGGTGGTTTTTTTTTTAAATACCACACACTACTGCCATGTGATGTCACTGAATAACACTGGTGGAATTACTCAGTACCCTGGCACAAAAGTAGTCCGTGTGTGCAGGGAACTTCATGCAAGCTCATTAGGCCTGATGCTGTCGGGCACGTGGTTCCCCCATCCGCCATCCCCACTTTCTCAGCTTAGAGAAAGCGGTGATCTCTGAGGATTCTGTCGCTGACATCAGTGAGGGGCTTGCCAGATGATGAAGCGGCACAGAAAGGCAGTGTCTCTGTTAGGTTATGAAATAGCCACACAGAAAGCCAGTTGGCTTGGAGAGGGGGTTTCACTGATCTCCCTTGACAGAGGAGTCCCCTTCTTTTTCATTTACAACACTTGAGATGAGAACATTTGACATTTTGGCTGGTGAGGTGACACTGCGCAGCTGTTGTAATTTTTGCCATCTTGAAATTTATTGATGCTAGATAAGATTGCAGTGGGCCCCGATGTTGACAAGTAGAGCTCTTGTGCCAGTGAGAATTGTGCATCTGTCTTCCTTTGTTAACCTGCTTTCTGTTACTGACTTTATTTCCATTAAGTCATCCTTTGAGGTAGGAAGGAAGAAAATGTACCACTTCGTCATTTACTCGAGTAGCATCCATTAGGGTCCAGTGATTTTAAAGTTACAGTCACAGATTCTGGGCTTCTTTGAAAGCTAAAACTATTTGAAAAATTAACTTTCTGCACAAGCTACTTGAGAGTAAAAACAATGTCTTAAACTTGTTAGATGATCCACCAGTGTCTAACTTTGTGCGTCTGCTGTATCAGTGTCACAGGATCCTTAGGGTGTTGCTTCACCCGCTGGAAACCTTGTAGCCGGTGGCACCTTTGACTGAGTTTTGCTCAGGCCCACTGGGCTCGTTCTGCCCACTCGACCTGGCAGGCTGCACTTGGCTTTCAGTCCTGGCCCAGATCCCACACCTGTCAAGGGCGAGCCAGGTGCAGAGTGGCGAGGGGTGCATGAGTGAGTGAGCGTGGAGTGTGGCCACTGTACATGGCCAGGCATGCTGTCTGCAATGGGGTGGGCAGCTCCTTGCTGTGGCTGGACCAGGCATACCACAAGCGGCTTCCACTGTGGACACCGGGGAAGATGGTGGTGCCCAGAAGTTTGGAAATGCTAGGAAGTGCAGAGCCCCAAAGAGGGTGTCACAGCCCTGGCTCAGGGAGCTCCTCCTATGTCTGGGCTCCCCAAAGGGCTGCAGCTTTTCTCTCATTCTCTCTTCTCTCCTTCTTGTCACCCACAACATGGCAAGCAGGAGGGTGTGTTTCAGGCCTGTTTGTGTTACAGCTCTTTCAGTCCCACCATTCAGTAGGTCCTGAGTTCTTGTCCTGCATCCAGAAGAACGAGGTACCCAGACAACTGGAGGGTGAGCAAGTCAAAGAGGTGCTTTATTGAGTGACAGTATAGTTCTCATGAGTCCCGAGGTGGGTAGCTCCTATCCACAGGCAGGTCATTCTGACAAATGCAGCTCTCAGCAGAGAGGAGACCCAGAGTGGGTGGCTCCTCTCTGCAGGCAGGTCATCTTGTCATCTGCCTGAGTCTGGCTGAGTCTGGGGGGTTTTATGGGCTTCAGAAGGGAGGAAGTAGATGCTGATTGGTCCATAGGCAGCCATTGGCAGGCCTGGAAAAAGCACCGTAAGTTCTCACTCTGGCCAGAAGGTGGGGTTAGTCACCAGGGACCTGCCCCTTTCCACCCAGGAGCCTGTCTGCCTCCTGCTGCTGTTCATGGCATTCATGGCGCCCAGGCTGTTGGTGCCAAGGGGTGCCTGCAAGCCCAGGCTGAGCCACTTTCAGCACCCCCTTGGCCTCCTTCCCCTGCTTGTTGGCACCCAAAGTCCAGAAGGGGCCAAGGGCAAGGGGCTGGGATGTCAGTGCCACTCCAAGTATGTGCACACCTGGTCAGGTCGTAATAGTGCCTGGGCTCAGCCACAAGTTTGCTTCAAAATTGGAGTGGGTGCTGGGAGTGGGGAGAGGCCAGGCAGTGGGAGCAGGCACTTCCAAGCCTGCTGGGGCACGGGGTGGTTTCTGGGCCTCCAAGAGTCCAGGGGTGCAGGGATGCCCATGTCCACAGCTGTGGCTGGGGGGCTGCAGCTATGCCTGGGAGAGTGGGGCTCCTGCCCCACCAACTTGGAAAGGGTTAGGGCTCCCACCTGTTCCTGGCTCCTGCCTGCTCCAGGGAGCACACGGCCCCACCCATGCCTCCCCTGCTGCAGCCAGCATCATGGCAGCGGCCATTCTAGACAGGCCATTGCTGCCATCATTTGTACCTAATAAATATGAGATGGGATAATGCAAGGAATACTTTTTTCATTTTACCATCTCAAGATGGGGAATCTATTAATTATTTCATGAGTCCTAAAGCAACTTCTTGAATATTCAGCTCCCCAAAAGCAAACAGCTACTTAGCCTAGCTGATTCTACAGGGAGTTGCATTTCGCTTTTGTCACAAATGGATGCTGGTGTGTGCCTCACAAAGTCATAGTTGCATGTGGTGTGGGGGTGGGCTGGTTGAGATGGCATTATGATGTTTCAGAAAAGCTGTGTAAAGATGAGAAATATTTGCATCCAGACACAGAGGGAGGCACCATGCCAGCATGTAATTTGCCAAGCTCCCTGCTGGCAGTTTAAATGCCCTGTTGATTTTATTAAACATTCTTAATAAGAAGTTGGAGTTTTGTTTAGGCTAAAACCATAATGAAAACAGCTGTCTTCATTTCTCAGAAACAGTGAGATTGTGCAAGGATGAGGAATCACGCTGGATAGTGGAGCTGCCATGGTCCCCAGCTGGGGTGCTGCCCATGGAAGGTACTGGGGATGTCCATCAGGTGCTTCTGGGAAAGGGCCCAGGAAGACCAGACGGTTCTGTTCAGTTTATTTTATTCACGGAGGCATTTTAATGGGAGAACAGATCTATAATTGTGTTTTAACATTGTCTGAAAAAGGGAACTGAATCTGAGTGTCTGAGCTGTGAGCGTGAAACATAGAAAGGCCGTGGCTACCAAGAGCAGAGGACAGTGGGTTCTGCTGGAAGAGGGAGGAAACTTAGAGAACAGACAAAGAGTTAAAATTAGCCCTGGCTGGACCATGTGTGCCGTAGACCAGCAGCACCCTATGCAGCTGGGGCAGCCTTATTTTAGTCTGTCCAATTTTAAAGCTTCTGGCATTTGGTTGTCTTGCTTCCTTGTTTTTTCTGGGGAAGCCAGCAGCAGACAGGTCAAGAAGGCAATTTTGCCATCAAACAGAACTAGGTTCAAATTCAGGCACCACCGCTTTAGAAGCCAGGGAAACTTGGGCAAGAGTCTTCATTTCTCTGAGCTGCATTTCTTCTGTATAATGGAGATGATAATTCTGCCTCGTGGATTCTTCTGAACTGCTGCCATCATCCGACTAGCATATTTTAATCCAGCAACGTTTTTCTTTCTTGGAGCATTGGCCACGTGCCCACACAGGAAGAAAGCAGACACAGTTGCTGTCTACAAGGGGGCAATGGGCTTACTATCTACTTAACATAAGACTTGAAAACAGATTACCACAACATGACAATGTAAGTTCTATCATGGAAAAGGGTTCCACCAAAATGTTATAGTGGTCTTGGAGGGAGAATAAGGGGCAGCTTCATGAGGAATATAAAAACACAGAGCCCTGAGCTGACAGACACACACTTCACATGTAATAGGCAAATGGTTTCATTCACAGAATTGTTTCATTTCTGTGGAGGGAAAGCTAGCATAGGAAAAAAACCTTCAACTGGTTGGTGTTACGCAAATTATGATGGATGAAAACAAAATTCTTGAACCTGTCATGGGTCTGTGGAGAGACGTAATACTGGGAGCTGCAGAGGGCTCGGAATAAGTCAAAGCTCGAGGGGCTAGAGGGTGTCTGGACGGCTTACATCATAAACACATGCTGTGAGAATGAGAAGGCGTCCCTGAGGACGGCCAGGAGGAAGGCTCAAGGCATGAGTGCTGGCGATGTTGATGCCATCAAGACGATGAGTCCCGCCGAGCAGCCTTCCACAGTGGGTTTAGGAAATGGCAGCCTTGGGAGCTGGCCCCTGCCAAAACGTAAGCCGAGGAAGATGAGAGGGGCCTGGCTGACAGCCCTCCGGCCATCCAGATCTAGGGGCGGTGGAGAGAGCCTGGGAAGAGCGAGACTCCAAGTCCGAGTCCCGCTGTGAGTGGTGTCCAGAACCTGGCTCCAAGTCCCTTCCTCTGCGAGCAGGCAGGGCCGACTTCTGTTTGGGATGTCCCATTCTTTGCCTCCCTTGGGCCCCCTCCTATGAGTACAGATGCTGTCACCGTGGGCAGAGATGGCTGGCCACACCACCCTCCAGTCATGCCCCCTCTGTGCTCATTCTCATCACCCAGCCCAGGGGCTTGACCTCTGCCTCTGGGGGATAGCAGAGCACTGGGCCCTTCTTATCTTCCGTGTGCCTCCCCAGCAATTTTCTATGCATCTCTAAATTACACCCCTACGGCCAGTGCCACTTCCTAACTCGCCTCAGGACCCACTGTTTGACTTCACCTCCAACGGCCACGAGCAAAATAGTGTCATCGGGTGCCAACAGCAACCCTCTTTCTTCCCACCCTCAGCAATGTGGGGGCCTTTCCGACAGAGCAGCAGCGAGGGTCCCCCACAACCCTGGGACAGCTGTGCTGACCTTCCTATCAGGGCCACCTTGTAGAGACATCTTGATTAAGTGCTCCTGTTGTGTGTCCTACCGAGGATCTGTTTTGTTTTTAGTCTGTGCACAGGCTCATTTGGCCCATGCTTGTGGGCCAGAACTGCTTGTTGACACAGAGCAAAGAGTGAATCCTGCCAGGCTGCCGAGGCCTCGGCTGTCCCAGGGCACGTGTGATAAAGCTGAGAGCAAGGAGGTACTCTGAGAGCTCTGGTTTGCAGAAAGAGAGAAAAGACAGGATAGATGAAGAGTAGCCAAAACTCCGTAGAACTGGGGGGAGTTACTGAGCAGACAGGATGGCATCACAGAGTGTGCCATGGTGGGGTAGGAGGGCGGCCAACAGGGACAGAGGAGGGTCCTCTGCCAGGGAGAGAAACAGAGGGAATTTGGGGGAAACCAGTTGCAGACATGGGCTGAGAAGACCCTGACCTGCCATGAATATGGGCCTATCAAGTGAGCAGGTGTTCGTTCTTTTTGCACTGCTACAAAGGAATACCTGAGGTTGGGTAATTTATAAAGAAAAGAGGTTTATTGGGCTCATGGTTCTGCAGGCTGTACAAGAAGTATGGTGCCAGCATCTGTTTCTGGGGAGGCCTCAGGAAGCTTCCACTCATGGCATAAGGCAAAGGGGAGCCAGTGTGTCACATGGCAGGATGGGGAGCAAGAGGGTGACAGGGAGGTTCCAGTAGCTTTAATAACCAGATATCCTGTGAGCTCATTACTGCAGGGAGGGCACCAAGCCACGAGGGACCCACTGCATGACCCAGACACCCCCCACTAGGCCCCACTTCCAACACAGAGGATCTCATTTCACATGAGATTTGGAGGAGACAGACATCCAGACCATATCAGTAGTGTGAACAATGTGAGGCACAGTGGGGTGCAGTGACCACCTAGGCCTGCAGCTCCCAGCGGCCAGCCAGGTTGAGCATCTGCATCCTTTAAACTGTCCACCAGCCCTTTCCACGACACCGTGCTTCCTACTTGCTGGGGCAGTGCAGACAGATTGCTACTGATGTCATCGAATCCCAGGGCTGCTGGAAGGCATGCCTGCATGTCACTTCTTTCAAGGCACTTACGTTTTATGCCTCCCGATCTCCTCTGCCTTAGCTGGACCTGGAAGGACAGTGCACTATCTCTAGACCTGGGCTTATGCATCTTTGAAAATGCCTTTAAGGTTCCCTTAGCTCCTGAGGGTTCAGCTTCTGCCCAGCCAGTCACGATCCTTCCCCCTGGCCTCCTCTCTGGTTGCTGGTGCAGTTTGATTGTGCCTTTGATAGATGGCCAGGGCTCACCCTCCTCCCTCCACTTCCTAACGACGGGGAGAGGCTGACGGCTGAGGTAGTTCCTAGAGGACTGTGACTCTTCACTCTTTCTTCCGTGTTGTATCCCGACTTTAGATGATGCTGTTCTAGACAGTACAGGGAAAGTGATAGAACCTAGAATCTGTCCGTCTCCCTCTTCATGGGCCACCTGAGTAAGTGGGTGTGCACGGTTCTTTACCGAGCTTCAGTTTGGGATTGCCTAGGGATCTCCTTTGCCTGGCTTTATTTCTCTCTTGTTAAGAAAAAGTCAGAGTTTGCTGCCCAAAAAAGTTCCTAGAGTTATTATTGGTTAGGTTGAAATTAACCAATAATCATTGTATCTGGTTCATTTACTTCCTTTATGATGTTGCTCATTTAAGACTTTACTCATCCTCTGCGTATTTTTAAGGAAGGATCTGAAAAATGATAAGAGGTTAGTATTTTGTTATTTTATATTTTTAGTAAATGTGACATTCTAGTTGAGACTAAATATGTACAGACATGGAACAGAGTTAAAAGTGTTTATGAGTGGGAAATAGATGGAAATAAATAATAAAGACTTATAGCTTGTGATTTGTTCAGTATCACTTAGCAACATCAATATTTTTGTCTACAAATAAAGGTCTCCTGTTTGGTACATGTTGAAAATATTTGTATGCTTGCGTGTTTGTGACCTTGTGTACACATCATCTCCAGCAGAAGGATCATTTTGGTTGTGGCTGGGTTTACAGTACTTAATTTGGGTGTCTAGACACTGGTTATAGTGACAGAAAAACGTCTGAAGATGTGAGACGAGATTTTGAAGAATGGTGTTCTTAAAATATGTCTGTAAACCGCCTCTTAACACAGAAATAAATTAAATTACAGAGTTAGAAAAATCCTAAATTAAAAGGATGTGTTTCTTCTAAGATAATTATTTGCGTGATTTGAAATCACTTTTTCCTTATCAGAAGGTGAAACATGATGTTCCCTGAGCTGTGCCGAGAACAGGGAGTGATTCCCATTAATAGCTGTGGAACTTAATTAATCTTTAGTTTTCTGACACCTTTATTTTCTAGTTCTTTCCTGATGCGGGCTTCCTGGCTAACCTCCATTTCTACTGCTGATAACCGCGTCTGTCCTTCGCATGGAAACATTCGCCTTGCCCTGGCACCCTATGTTGTGCTGTGTGTTTTCTACATGTTCCCCCCTTTACTGTTCATACATGAAGCAATCTGGATTGGCCTTGCGAGCGTGTCTATGACCTAGGAGAGTAATGTCAACCAACTGCCCCTTTTGTCAGGTGGAACCGATTTCCCTGAAATTCTCATCTGTGCAGTTAATTAGTGAGTGACCTCCCCATCCAAGGCTCTCTGAGTGTCTCTGTGTAGCCCATTTTTAACTCTCAGTATGTTTTATTTCTTCTAATTATTCTAGTCACATAGCATTTAATCACATGATCCCACTTTTGTCTGCTTTGTGTTTGAATAGATAATGGAATGATCGTACTTTCTCTGCTTCCCTGGTTCCTGATACACAGTAGGCACTCTGCAAATAGTTATTGAGCCAACAGATCAAGGAATACTTCATAAGAAGTACAAGCATTAAAAATGTTTTTATATTCACCTTGTTTGCTAAAGTTCAGTTGTTTCAACTAAAAATATAATTTTCAATATAAAAATATTTTAAGTTATGGCCAAAGTCCAAAGTTAGCCCATAGCAATGTATGAAACTCAGAAGGTAACTGACTAGTTGTTTTTACGTGTTTTTCTAGGTGTCAAGGGAGTCAAATGAAACAAACTAGTTGTATATTTTGGTAGTGCTATTTTAAGCATTTACCTTAAAATGTAGCTTTAAATGGAGCCTTTTCTGTTAATATTTTTTTTCACCTTTATGTAGTCAGGTCTCATGTGTAAGGGTTGTGTGTTGCATGTGTAGACGGCATCAGCATCTACCCCTGGCTCTCCGTATGAATACCTACACACCTAAGACTCGGGGTCCAAAGACATTCTCAAACAGATCTTCACAATTTTTTGCTACAATAACCTATTGCCCTTTAATAATATTTTATTTAGGGAATACTAATATTCAGGAACATTATAGCAGAAATTATTTTAATACCTTTGACCATTAAAAATAAGATTTTAATGATATTTCCACTCTCACGTTTTCAAATGGTAATCTGTAATTTATGTAGACACTCTGCCCTCAAAGAGGGAGCCTAACCCTGGCTCCTGACATGCGGACTGTGCATTGTGATGCCCTTCCACATGTACAGCATGAAAGGAGGAAAGAGCAGCTGTATGGTAGAGAAACCTGACAAACACTCCAGGTGATCACGCCAACACTGACGTTGGCGTTACAGTGCTATAATGTGCCGGAAGTGACACTCTACCCTGTGGCCCTCCTCTCCCAAACCCTTAAAGTTAGTCTAATCATGAGCGAAAACAGCAGACAAATCCCAGTCAAGGAGAATTCTGCAAAATACCTGATTGTTATTCCTCAAACTTGTCAAGATCATCAAAAACAGAGTCAAAGACACTGTCACAGCCAAGAGGAGCCTAAGGAGACACAGTGACTAAAGGTGATGAGACATCCTGGGTGGGATCCTGGGACGGAAAAGGGACATTAGGTGAAAACGCAGAAAATAGAAATAAACTATAGACTTTAGTTAACTTTTTAAAAAGATAATCAGCAAGAGGAAAGAATGTCATTCAGTGGAACCATTTAACCTCAGCACTATCTTTCTGCAGTAGTTGGGGATACATTTTAAGTCTGATTGCAAATAACACAGAAGTAAAATGAGTCACAGCCTACCTTCTCCCTCCTTCCCCTCATCTCTTACTCTTCTTTTTCTCTTTGTAGAAATGATTCAGCTGGTTTACTTTTGATTAAAGAGCTTATGTTCTCTTACCTATGGAATTCAATATTAGATAAATTGTTGATTTTCAGATCACTGTTTTCATTGTAAAATGGGCTAGAAAATGCAAACTATAAGTGTCTATTATTTGTTATTTAGCCCTATAAGGCATATAGCAGTTGCTACCCTAGGGTGCAAAGCAATGTGATCAGTTGGTTTTTGAGTTGAAAAATTACATGGTCTATCTCATTAAGTAAAGCCAGGTGTGTCTCAGAGAAACTCACTGTAATTAGTCAAAGACACAGAACTGCAGATGGAAAGAAGTTTATAAAGTATATAATAATTAAGGTATAGATGAGGAATAATTGGGACTTCTTGGATTATTACTTAGAGCTTGTTTGGGAGTTGTATTATTTTCTAAGAAGGCGGGAAAGCAGTTTGTGTGAATTATTCTTACCTTATTTTTAATAGCTTCATTGGTGTCTTCCTTGCAGCTTATTATAGAGAGAATGTGAATCTGTGGTAAGCATTAGATTTATTCTCCATCTAGCATGACCCAGATGGTAGTTTTGGAATGCATTCCTGCCCAAACTACTCGGAGTCACTGAGATTTATGATTTGTGAACTCATAAATTGGATAAATAAAACTCATCTTCTACAGCTTCAGTGTATGTTATTTTCTAGAGTTCATCGTGTCTGGAAACTTGATTTCAGTTAAGCTATGTATTAAGTACTTGGAATTTCTGAGTCTATTGCATTGTTGTTTCTAGGAGAGTGGGGAACTTTTTTTGGTGAACAGAGCTTACCTTCTTGTGACTGGTCATTGTCATTTCTACATGTTATCAGGAGGCCCTAGGGCCTTGCTGGAACAAGTACTTCTGAGTTGACAGAAATTGGATTGCTATAAACTCTGCTTTCAAGAGCCTTACCATCCAGTGAAGACACATGATTACCTGCAGTATATCTAAGTCTCTTTAATTGTGTGAAATTCATGGGTGAGGTTTAAGGTGGGTGCACAGGGAGAGTGAGGCTTGGTGCTTGGCTATGCCCGAATCCAGAGAGGCTTTTATAAAGAAAAATCATGAGCCCAGATCAAATAACCACATAGACCAAGGAGAGAGAAATAACTTCTGCCTTAGAGAACAAGGAAAGCTTCACAGAACAGGGAGTACTTAAGCCTGGTCTTTTGAGGATGATGTATTTGAGGGAAAGGGAGTGTCCATGGGTAAACAAAGACTTGCTAATGGGATACACGGGAATATGTTTGGAAAAGGCCATGATGGGGAGTGGTTGTCACTGGTTGTCCTTGTCCTTGTGCATCATATCAAGGGTATGTAGTTTAAACGTGATTTATAACTGCTGATGGTGACCTTGATCACCTGACTGAGGTGTATTAGGTTTCCTCACTGTCAAGTTGCTCTTTTCCCCCGTCTAAAGAGAACCACCCTTTAAAGGGTGATTAATGCTTTATAAAGGGTGATTAATAGATATTAGCAATGCATGGTGATGAAAACCAAGCTTGGACGTTACAGCACTTTCATCTGGCTTAAGGAGATAATAAGCACGGCCAGGCTCAGTGGCACACACCTGTAATCCCAACACTTTGGGATGCCAAGGCAGGAGGATCACTTGAGCCCAGGAGTTTGAGACCAGCCTAGCCAACACCGCAAACCCTATCTTTACAAAATTAAAAAAAAAAAATTAGTCAGGCATCATGGCACATGCCCATAGTCCTAGCTGCCCAGGAGGCTGAGCCAGGAGGATCACTTGAGCCCAGGAGTTCAAGCTTACAGTGAGCTATGATCACAACACTGTGCTCCAGCCTGGGTGACAGAGTGAGATCCTGTCTCAAAAGAAAATAAGCAAAAAACTAGACTTTGTCTTCACTTTGAACATGATCCTAACCTAAACTTGACCTTCTCAAACACTAGTGCCTAAGGATGGTTTCTTTAGACAAAGCCTTTTTTTTTTGAGATTGAGTCTCGCTCTTTCGCCCAAGCTGGGGCGCAGTGATGCGGTCTTGGCTCACTGCAAGCTCCGCCTCCCAGGTTCACGCCATTCTCCTGCCTCAGCCTCCCAAGTAGCTGGGACTACAGGCATGCGCTACCACACCCGGCTAATTTTTTATATTTTTAGTAGAGATGGGGTTTCACCGTGTTAGCCAGAATGGTCTCGATCTCCTGACCTCATGATCTGCCTACCTTGGCCTCCCAAAGTACTGTGATTACAGGCGTGAGCCACCACAGCCGGCCTAGACAAAGCTTTTTATAGGGAGACGAGAAATTGTTAAGAAGTGAGCTAAGAATTGTAAAACACTTAGTATGTGGCATTGTAATATATGTGTTATTGTCTGTTGTTACCATCATGATCATCACCATCATCACGTGCATTGAGTAGCTGAAGAACCTCGATACCAGACACCAGTATGTCCAAATTCTTGATGCCCAATCTCATTATTTTCACTTTGAATTTGAATTAGAAGTAAGTTGTTAAACAGGAACAAAATCTAATCATTTTTTCAAGGTACAAAAAAATTCCACATATTGAAATATAATGAATGGTTTTGCAAACTTTGATTGGCACTTTAAAAGGTGTTGGAGTAGGGCGCTCTGGGAAACTGCCTATTGATTGCACTGTTGTCAGTTTCTAAGCAACCATTGCCAAATTTATCTTCATGTCACACAACTTGTGTGTTTATCCAAGCTGGTTGAAATTCTTACCCTTGTGCAAAAATAGACCAGGGTGAATATTGAGTGGGACTGTATCGGAGGAGTGGGCTGCATTCCTCCATAGTTCCCAGTAGGTGTCACTCTGGCAGAAGAAAACAAGACATGATGGGTTCTGAAGACACATCCCTGGGGATCCGCCCAGGCCACAGGGGCATGCAGAAGCACCACTTGCCTACCTCAGTTCCCCTATTCGTACCCGACTTCTCTGGCCAGCAGGGGCAGGTTGCCCAGGCCACGTGGTGAAGAGCATTCCTGGAAAACATTGTTCTAGACCCACCTGGCTACAGACATCCCAGCTTACTCATAAAGCATTAAAGCAGTAATAGAGGAAGAGCTATATCTATGTAGCTGTAACCCGAAGAATTGGCAGCACTTGCTGGGATATGGGTAGCAAATTTTTATTCCTAGTAGGATCGGCACATGTATGGCTCAGTCGTAAATGTTTATCAGCTAGCTGAACGAGTCCCACGAGGACTTCATGTGTTTCTGGGTAATCTTCCATAGGAGTTACTGTTTACTCAGAAATGCAAAATAATTTTGCTATTAGCCAGTGTAACTAAGAAAAATTTTAAAAAGTATGAAAAATATAAAACAGTAAGAAAAATATAAAATATGAACACCCAAAGAGAACCTCTGCCACCATTGCTTTCTGTTAATAGGTGATCAACAGTAAGCATTACATAACCTTGAATTCTCCCACCCAGCCCTCCCCCTGCCCCTCTACAAGAGCAAGTCATCGGGGGCCACCCTGTGCACTAGGGCAATCACAGAAGTGGGAAGCACACCAGCTCCCCAGCTAATGCGACTCGCAGGCACTGAAGTACTGTTACTGTCACTAGACGTGCCACCGGCAGCACCCCAGAATGTAGTACCCCACTGGCTGCAAGACCAGCATTAGATAAAAGTAAGCAGGGAGTCTCGATGGATCACCACTGATCTTTGGTATCTGTAAAGGTGTCACTGTCTCTTTAAGGAAAGAGGGAGTCCCTACTTTCATTTTTCCTCAATAAATAATTTTTGACTGATTAGTGACAAAGGGACACTTTAGTGGGTGATCAGCACAGCATCTGCATGGCTGCTTCCTTGTGGGGTTTCTGAAGCTGCTTCTGTGACTCAGCCCCTCACCAACAAACAAACAAATGAGATAAATCCCAGAGACCTGGAAGAGGGAACCTGCCTTGAAATGGCATTCATGGAAAAGGTCTGGACACTTCAGCCAAGTTATTTGTATAATTTGTTAGTTACATATAAGGCCCAATATGCTAAAAAAATGCAACAGGATTATTAGTCTCTATTTGTCTAGAATTGAAATTTCTAAGTAGGTGTGTGAATTTATATGGGTATGTATCATATATATGTGTATGTATGTACATATACACATGTACACATATATATGACAAATAGCTTACATGTATATATACATATAGAAATGCAAGTATATCTGTGTACATATGTATGTATGTACATTTTATATATGTATATATATACATGTAAGCTATTTGTTATTTCTTCTGTCTAGAGACCAACATCACACTCCCTGAGAGTCAGAAAACTGGGTTCAGACAGCAGCTCTGCAAATGACTTTTCCAGGACATTCGCTAAATCACTGCCCCTCTCCTGGACTCAGTTGCCCATGGAGGAGTTGGCGGGAGATCTCTGATGCCTCTTCCAGTTCAAAGACAGCACAGCTGGTACACAGCCTCTGCTTGTATCCAGACAGCACTTTGCTGCCCCTGACCAAGAAGTGCCTATCTTCAAACCAAGATGTTGGTCTGCCGTTGCATAATCAACAGGGTTGGGCGTTACTACCTAGCAACAAGGAGTCCCTAATCCAGGGCCTTTGCTCTGATAGCTTTTGAGTATTATATGGGTACTTTTTAGCTTTTGGATTAATTGGTAGCAGAAAAAGTGGAACTCTAGTTCCTGTCATGCTTTTATTTTTTTCTTTTTTTGATTTACATTGTTCAGAGCAAATATAGAAACCATGGAATTATTTTCAGGGAATTGAAGCCCTAGAGGGTGTCCCCCTGCTTTTGGGTCTGTTGGCCTGAGCCAACCCCATCCTCAAAACACCCCAGGTGAGACTGCTGAAGGACGAATGTGCACAGCCCATGTCACAAGGAGTCTGTCCGGCTGCTCACCTTTTCTCTGACTTCTGAGCAGGTGTTTGGAAGCTGTAGGTAATGGCCCAATCTCAGAGCCCAAGGGGATTCGGGTCTTTCCCCTGCAGACTGTGCTGCTGTCCTTGGTTGGTCCTTGAAGGGACCTGCATCGTACCTGAGGCTCTGTGCCAGTGGGGATGACGGGGGCTGATGTCTCTTCCCATGGGCTCCTATGGATTTGCCCTTCAGATGACCTGGTAGGGCTCTGAGTGACTGACTTAAAGACCTTCATAACGCCAAAGTGGCAAGATTTTGGAGACAGATTTGTGTCTCCTCATCCATGATTTTTGACTTTAATCTTTTCTGAGAAGACCAGAAATCAGAGAGTTTGTCTTCTCAGCCTCTCTGTGAAAGGATCTGCTGAGCTCAAGCTTCCCTTTTCAGCGTCAGCTTTTTAAGTTGAGAATAATAATTAAAGAAAACTCCAATCTCAATTCCAACATCAAGTGTCCATGAAGCTGTAGTTGTTGCTGTGGCTGAGAAGAAAGTAGAGAACAGAGTGCAGACCTGCGGTTGAAATGACTCTTGGAAGGGCTTGCAGGTGACCTGGGAGCTAGCAGGTGCCTAACACTGTGGCTCTCTTGGCACAAAACAACTTCAAGCCTGTGTGAAATAAAGGAAAACCAGGAGCCTCGTTCTGATTTTTATGGAGACACATCTGTGTGACCTTAGGAAGGTCTCCCAAGAGCTCTGGGTTTGTTTCTTCCCCTGTGAATTGGCTTATGATGTGTCACTTGGCCTTACAGGTATGTAAAGCTCCCCAGTTACCAGATCTTACTGTCTCAGGGAACATCCTGCAGATATTCAGGGCCCACACTGGAGCTATTCTTCAGGTTCCACGTTTGAAAGGTTGAAAGGCGTTAAGAGCGTGACATGAAATGAGTGGGTGAATTTATTTTTAGGAAACAATATATAGGTAATTAGTTTTGGAAATGGGCTTCCGTTAACTTATCACCCCTTACTCTTTTCTGGGGCATCATCCAGTTATTTTTCCTCAGTCATAGAATTTGGGGCTTTTGAAAATGTCTCTTCGAGAAATAGACACACACCTTGCAACTCCTTAAGATCTTGCCCTTGTAATTAAATTTTTGAGCACCATTTTTATATAGGAGTAAATGAGATAATTAAGAGATATTTCAAGAAAGAGAAGTATATGAGAAAATAAATGGTTTCTGCTGCGTGATTAAACACTGCAGCTGAGACCTTGATGAGCAGTCATTTGTTGGAAGTGTACTTCATCATCGGGAGTGGTGTCCTGATTATCGTTCAAGAAACATGTTGGGAGAAGGCAAAGACGGACGTGATGACACCTGTGCAAAGACGGACGTGATGACATGTATGCCGAAGCGTGTCTTGACTCAGTGTAGGATTGATACCAACATCTCTTGGATGTTGTGGGATATGGAGCATTAAAATATACAATAATTTATGCTAGTGGTGCAGTGTAATGAGGACTTGCTGTGAATCTCAAATCGATTTCGGAGAAGCTGAACCTAATGTTTTCCTGATTGTCAAACCCTCCAGTAATGATTATAAATAACCACTGTTTTCTTTATATTAGAGAAAACCTAAAAGAAAAACCAAACATGTTCAACAATGAGCAACAGTACAAAAGAAAAAGTACAAAGTCTAGCATATCCAATAACAATTATTAGCTAATTAATTTTACTTGACCACCTGGTGTTGGAGGCATCCCTCTCCTCTCTGGCATGGTAGAGTGAGAACTTCCTGGTCCTATAGATCCAGGCCCAAATCGTGGTCCTGACTCAGTGTTTTTAAGATAATGTGTCCTTGGACAAGTTGCTTGATGTCTCTGAGTTTCCATTTCCTCATCTGTGAAAGGTGATCATCACACCTGCTTTTATAGGTAGATGTGGCTTGCTGTGAGGGTAAATGACAGTGCAGCTGTGTTTGGTAGAGGGACTGTCATGGAATCACCATCCTTGATCCCGGTGACCCAGACTGGCCACCTTGAGGCTTTGAAACTCTCAGCCAGCTCTGCCAACCTACATCAGTGAGACCTCAGCCTGCCTCGTTTCTCCACTCCCTTAACTAGGTCCATTACTTTGAAATTTGTTATCAATGAATTTGTTTACATTTTTTAAATTTTAATATATTTAATTGACAAAGATTGTCTCTATCCTGTGTATACAATGTGATTATTTGATACATGTATATACATTGTGGACTGATGATGACAGTCAGGCTCACATGTTCACCACCCACGCGGTCCGTCAGAGCCTCAGAACTTGTTCATCTTATAACTGAAAGTTCGTACCCTTTGACTAACATCTCCCCATCGTCCCTAATGGCCCAGCCCCTGGAAACCCCCATTCTACCCTCTGCTTCCGTGAGTTCCACTTTTTTAGATGCAACATGTGAGATTTAAAAAAATATCCAGTGAAGGCTGTCGATGGGACATTGATGAACCTGGGGGCTATGTGAGCTCTGGGCTGGCGCCTACCCCTCCCACCCAAGGAATCTCTGCTTCCCGGGCTGTGCCCTCCTGTGTGATCTGAAGTAGGGAAGTGGTATACTAACTTTTGGAAACATTCAGCTGCCAAGTTTCCTCTGCTGCAGGCTTTAAATAGATCCAACTGAGAAAGGAAGGTAGAGCTTGAACCAACTGCCACCCTCTATATAGAGACGGTTGTCGCCTGGTCTAGTGTAACAAATAGAGTTCTTTGTTAGAAGAGGAAAGAAACTTAACCCCTCATTTCCCATTTCTGATGATTTAGGGACAGACCTGATGGTTTACCAAAGATACACCTGAAGCTTTACTATTTCTTGTCACTCTATATTTTTTAGTAAAACTTATTTTTATCTTTGGAGATGACAGGCATCTTTGTTTTAGGGATAACTAATTATGCCTGTAGAGAACATGAGCATGTTCACAACCCCCAATTAATCTTTAACCCAGAATCCATAGAGCGTTTTTTAGGCTGACAGTTAGACCCAGTTTAATTGTGGATGGATGGTAGGATTCCAGACACTTCAGATGAAAATCCATCCAGCCATGCCTGTGGATGCCCCTTGGAAGGAGGTTGGAGCTTGGGCCACTGAGAAGGTGGATATTGCATGTCCTGACTCCCCAGATCTGTTTACACAACAGCGATTTTCCGGATAGAGTAGCACAAGGAAGGAAGTGAAAGGGGGATAGTCTTCATTTGCGGAGGGTGAGTCTAGGGAGCAGAATGGACATGTTCTGCAGCTTTGCCATGTGACTCCTTTCAGCACAACAGAAAACATACAGGGCACAGAGCTTCCTTACTGAATGCCTCAATGGTCACGACATTAATGCGTCAGCAGGACTGGAGGATGGCAGCTAGGAGTGCTGATAAACGGGAGGCTCCGTCCTTCTCATACATCAATAAACACTTAAGTGCCTGGCAAATGCCTGGCCCCACGGGAGATGTAGAAGCCACAAGACCGACCCCTGTTCTCAAGGATCTTTAAACAGATGGCCTCTAAAGGCCCCTCAGTGATTCTTGAGCTATGGTTTAAACCCCCACAGCTAGGTTAGAGCTGGGCCATTTTCTTTTTAAAAAATTATTTTTATTTTGCTATTATTTACATTTTTTAAGAGAGTCTCTCTCTCTCTCTCTCACCTAAACTGGAGTGTGATGGTATAATTATAGCTCACTGCAGCCTCAACCTCCTGAGCTCAAGTGGTCCTCCCAACCCAGCCTCCCAAAGAGCTGGGACCACAGGTATGCACCACCACACCTGGATAATTGTGGTTTTTTTGTAAAGATGGGGGTCTCACTTTGTTGCCCAGGCTAGTCTTGAACTCCTGGCCTCCCAAATTGTTGGTATTATAGGCGTGAGTCGACAGGCTCCGGCATAGGCCATTTTCAAACTCCCAGATTCTCTCCCTTTTGATGCTTTTTGCTGATAATTATAGAAATTTTACTTTCCTTTTTCCCTCCTAAATGGAGCAGTATTCTGGTTTGGAGGATGGCTGCTATTCAAGTAGTCCTTGTCAGAAGCAAGCCTATGTTGTTGTATCTAAAGGTAAATTGCACATCTCTGGCAATTTTCCTTGCCAGCGCGTATACTGAAGCCATCCCCAGCGCTCGCCTTTGCCAGGTGGCCAGGCCTCAGGGTGGGGCTTGCTTGTCTTTCCCCTCTGCTAAGACCTGCATACTTAGTGCTCTGAGAACCTTTCCTCGCCTCACCTGCTCTCCTTGGTTTTTCTGTTTTTGAGAATGGAAAAAGTTCATTTTTGTGTTCCCATTTTCTAAAAAAAAAAAAAAAAAAAAAAAAAACTCACAAAAAAGCCCAAGCCTTTGTGGGGTCTGAGTCGTGGCGAGTGCGGCAGGTGAGGGTGCGCAGACCCACGACCCCGCCTCTGCGCTGCCGCCCCCCTTCCTCCTGGCGGGGCCGTGAGTCTGGAAACCATTTCCCTTCATTGCCTTGGCAGTGCTCCAGCCCTCCCGTGATGATTTCCCTGTGGCTGGTCGGGGGTCATTCAAGTCCAGGTGTGCCTTGCTCTTTAGGCATGATTTAGATTGGAATCTCCTGCCTTCTCTGAAGAACGAGTGCTTTCTGTCCATACCTCCTGCCTCCCCAAAGAAAAGAAAAAAACAGACATTAAAAGTGAGGCTCAGCCAGCAGGAATTTATAGTCAGAGTTGCCCCATGCATGTCAATTATGCTTACCTTACAATTTTAGAACACGGAGTATGTATTTCACCCTGTATGCCCTTGTCTGGAAAATAAAGGTAATTAAATCTCATGCCGTCATGATTTGAACCCAAAACAGCAATGTAAAACAAAGCCATACACCAAACAACTAGGTTTTCTAGGATTATATCTCCCCATAAAACATCAAGTATCCTCAGAGGGGTTTTGTAAAATCATAATACATTGGCTTTTAGGTCGACCAGTTGTCCACAGTAGAGGGTTGGCCAGGGGTGTCCAGGAGTGGGATGAAGGCCACAGCTGAAGAGACCATCTTCCCTGATCCCAGACAGCCCCTGTGACGGGCCTTTGTGCTGTGAGGGCCTGAACCACAGAAGCGAACAGCCGTTGCCAGCGCCAAGCTGGGCCAGGGCCCGGCCGTGCTGGCCTGCGAGCAGCCCGGGCAGACCTCCAGGCAGCAGGACAAAGGGGCGCTGCGGTCCTCAGCCACACAGCCAGGGTGGCGGGGATAACAGCCCCTTGTCATCGCAGGGTTGTGACATTGGCATGAGCCGCCCTCACAGCTGGACCGTCCTGGCGCTTGTCTTGGGCTGTGGAACGAGCCAGCCCAGCTGTACTGAAATGCCCATTCTTTTCTCCTTTCTCGTGCCCCTGTCAACAAGCAGACAGACAAAAGGGTTCTATTGTGGCTCATGCCGTGAGCATAACCTTTCTCTGCCATGGGAAGGAGATGGGTGTGCTCAATGGTGGCAGAGCTCTGTACCTGCACCTCACTTTGTGTGTGGAGGGGAATTGGGATTTGTGTTTTGTAGCCTCTAGGACAGAGCTCCTCCATGCTTGCGGGGTCGCACATTTTGGACGGGGCCTTAAGGAGTTTGTGTTGATATTCAAAGGAAGAATTCCATCAGCGTTGATCAAACGTGGCTCTGAAGACTGTGACGATGATGTCCCATGTGGCATTAAACACAAGCCGAGCTGCTGCTCCAAGGCACGCCATTCGTCCATTCGTTCAGTCCAACAAGCCTGGGCCATGAATTTTCTCTGGGACCCGCATCATCTCATAGTGGGGACACAGAAATGCTCCCTCCCAGCCCCTGCTCCTGGGGCTGTGGTGTCTGGTAGAGAGGGCAGGTGTCTAACATGGTTACAGTTACATCCGCTTGGTGGGACTTGATGACAAGACTAACGGGCAGCCAATGAGACCCCCGTCAGTGCTGGGGAGATAGTAGGGGAAAGGGCACTGAGCCAGGACAGTAAGCTATCCCTTGGCTCCTGTTCCTGTCTCTGGAAGGTCAGTCTGTCCTGGAGGAGAAGCCAACACCCATCTCTGTTCAGCACAACGGGCATGAGTTTTCTTATATTTTCAATAAAGAGCATGCCTTAGACTTTTTTTTTTTTTTGAGACAGAGTCTCGCTCTGTTGCCAGGCTGGAGTGCAGTGGCGCAATCTTAGCTCATTGCAACCTCCACCTCCTGGGTTCAAGTGATTCTCCTGCCTCAGCCTCTCGAGTAGCTGGGACTACAGGCGCCTGCCACCACGCCCGGCTGATCTTTGTATTTTTAGTAGAGACGGGGTTTCACCATGTTGGCCAAGATGGTCTCGATCTCTTGACCTCATGATCCACCCGCCTTGGCCTCCCAAAGCGGTGGGATTACAGGCACGAGACGCTGCGCCCAGCCAAGAGTATGCCTTATATTAAATGACAGCAGGTGTCTCTTGGCCCAGTGGAAATAATTGATGTGGTGCTATACTATGGCTTTATGTCTTTATCCTTGACACATGGGTTCTCCCCACAGTCCCCCAAAAAGAGAGGATTTAAATATGTATAGGTTTACTTACAAACATCTGCCCAAAGGGTATTAGAGTAGCATGGAAAGTGGAAAATCATTTAGACTTGTTGAACTTCTGCTTTGTGCTGAATACTGTGCTAGAAATTCAATGGACTCAGTGTCCCTGTGAGGAGAGGGTCCTGCTGAGCTGATGGGGAAGCGAAGCCCAGCCTGGTGCAGCCTGGCCTGGAGTCACACAGCGTGTGTGAAAGAGCCTAGAACCAAGCCGCGCCTGGCCCAGGGGGGAAGCAGCCCTGCCAGTGCACGCAGACTTGTTCCCGTGTCACTGACCTCATCCTCATCGTGGGTTGCTCTGGTTTGCCTTGGTCAATATTAATCATTTCCCCCTGCCTCCCAGCTTCACTAGTTTAACTATGACGTGCATGTGCTTTTGTGGGTACCCTAAGAGTCCAGGGGCGCTGCTAAGAAAGACAAATACACACACGTAGGGAAGAAACACAAGTACCTTGCGTCTTCCTAATCTAACAGTGTCTGGATTGCTTCAGATTCCTGGAGTAGCTGGACTGAAGGCAGAGATGAGGGGCTTGTTGACCTGGGAGCTCTTTATAGCTAATGCTGCTCGGCTTCAGTTCCTGAGGCCTGCTGCCGTAGGGCCTGCCTGCAAACGCACTGTCACCACCCCCCGCCGCTGCAGCCCCCCAGGAGTTACGCTTTTGCAGAAGACCCAGCTGCCTAAGTAAAATTAAACACCCTCAAGCTGTTTGAGGCTCTTAAAAACATTTTCTCAGCACTGAACTTCTCTGAAGATCTGAGACTATTAGCACAAAACCAAGAGTTCTCTCTAAACTGCTTTTCTCTTTCCCCTGAATGCAAATGAACTTCCCCTGCTGGTTTCCATTCATCTGACAGGTCATAATTGTGACGTTGGTAAAATAGAGAAAGTTCCCTTTTGAAAATTGAGCTATGAGAACTTTTTTTGTTAAAAAAAAAAAAATAGAATATTTGCTTATTTTAAAAATAGAGTGACACAGTGATAATGGTGTCATCATTTAAACTCTACCCTATAAACTCTAGTTTGGACATGTCTTGGCTTATTGGAAATAATGAAAGTATTAACGCTGTGGATTTTTTGTTATAGTGGGTGTCACTGTTAGGAATTGTGAGTCACAGACATCTGGTCATCGTGCCTTCAACCCACAAGCAGTTATTGCCTCACATTAGAAACAAGTTTGGCCGGGCACTGTGGCTCACACCTGTAATCCCAGCACTTTGGGAGGCCGAGGAGGTGGGGGGTGGGGGGATCACCTGAGGTCAGGAGTTCGAGACCAGCCTAGCCAACATGGCGAAACCTGTCTCTACTAAAAACACAAATATTAGACAGGTGTGGTGATGTGTGCCTGCAGTCCCAGCTACTCAGGAGGCTGAGGCAGGAGAATCACTTGAACCTGGGAGGTGGAGGTTGCAGTGAGCCAAGATCATGCCACTGCACTCCAGCCTGGGTGACAGAGTGAGACTCCGTTTACAAAAAAAAAAAAAAGAAAAAAACAAGTTTGCAGAAGGCAGCATGGGGCTGGTATAGGGGCCCCACTAAGTCCTCGAGGATCCAGGTTATCTCTTTCGGCCCCACTCTCCCAGCACTTAGTGTCCAGCTCTGAGGTTGTTTCATGGTCTAGAATGGCTGCTGGAACTCCAGCCAGGACACTCACACTGCAGTCTGGACCATGGAAGAAGAACTGAAGTCCAAAATGATACATGCCTCCTTCCTTTAAAGACCCTTCCCAGAAGTCCCACACACCGCTTCTGCCACTGTCTCCTGGCCAGAACCTCACCGTAAGGCCACACCAGCTGCAGGAGGAACTGGACAAGGTTCCAGTCTTGCTAAGGAAGAAAGGGAAGGCAGAATAAAAACGAGTGCACTTCACGCCCCACATCAGGACCTGTGGCCTTCGTTATAATTTAGGGTCTCTGTATCACAGTAGACAGACCCCGTGGTTAGAGGCCTGCTGAGTGTAGGTTTCAGGTCTTCCTGTCTCTTACCTTATCAAGTTATTTAAATTTATAACATAGCCAAGCGTGCGTCTATCCAGGAAGTGTGTTCACATCTAGTCAGCATGGTCATCTTGAAGGGCTCAGGGAAAGACCCTCATACCCCACCTTCACCAATCCCTTGGTCATGAAGGATGTTGGCTCCTCTCACCTGCACCCTCTACCCAATGTGATGTTTGTAGGCACCCCATGAATAAACATTTTATGAATGAGTTGATATTAGTGGATTACACGAGCAACTACATCATTTGAAAAAAAAAATGATTATAAGAAGCTAAGAGAAGTTGTGACACTAATCCAATACTGAGATGCTTGTTTTAGATGATGTCATACTTTCATAGCAGACACTAGAGAAGCGCCCTTTGCCCTCCTCCCCACTCCTGGGGCCTTCCCCACACGTGGCCTCAGAAACTTCTTTCCCACGCTTGGGCCTCCCAGGGCCGCCCCATCCTGCAGGCTCAGGGGCTCAGACTCTGAACTATTAGCTCCATACTAGCCCTGCGCTATCTGGGGAATAAAACACTCTCTGTACTCTTGTCTCTATAGAAAAACTTTTTTTCAGTTGCAGGATAAGCCAATTAGAAATGAATTTTGGGCACCAAACTGATTCATAAGTCGGATGTTGCTTATCTTCACTTTACTTTAAAATGAATTGCTTTTATGTGTCTTTCAAGGAAAAAAATATTCTCAAAAAATCTGTAGCACTAATGATTAGCCTTACTTTGGGCTAATTTCCCTTTTGATAGAAACGAATGATTGTACCAACAACTTAAATTTCCCTTGGGGCTGGGCACAGTGGCTCAAACCTGTAATCCCAGCACTTTGGGAGGCCAAGTTGGGCAGATCACTTGAGGTCAGGAGTTCGAGACCAGACTGACCAACATGGTGAAACCCCTGTCTCTACTAAAAACACAAAATTTAGCCAGGCTTGGTGGCAGGTGCCGGTAATCCCAGCTACTTGGGAGGCTGAGGCAGGAGAATCGCTTGAACCCGGAAGGCAGAGGTTGCAGTGAGCCAATATCGTGCCACCGCACTGCAGCCTGGGTGACAAAGTGAGACTCTGTCTCAAAAAATAAATACATGAAAAATAAAAAATAAATTGCGCTTGGAAGAATAAGAAGTTATTTATATTTAGTTTTTTGTTTTAAAAGTATGCATGGGGAAGCAAGACAGCTGATCCCCATCAAAATTAAGCTGCTGGGCTTAGAAAGTGTTTTGGGGGAAGGGGTTGTATTTTATTTTGCAGGTGGTTTTTCTTCTTTTTGACAAAATCATTAGGCCTTTGAAGGACATTTTTGATCTAAGCAAAGCAAAGATAAAAGGTAGTGATAGAAGGTGACGTTTTCACTTGCTCCCTAACACTTGTGAGTCAGGCAAGGAAGAAGGACAGACGTGACTCGTCTGGGACGGTCTGCACCGGAGCATGTGGGGGGCCTGGTCTGTGCGCAGGTCAGCCCTTCTGTGGGTAGTGGTTTTCTCAAGATGCCACTACCTGGCTCGGGTCTCCGTGACCTTGTCCTGCAGCTCGTTGCCTAGACAACCAGCAGGCGGGAGCCCAGACGCCGGTCCACACAGGCAGTTATCAGGGCCAGAGGAGTGGCAGAGACTCCAGCGAGCACTGGGGCATCCATGGCACCCGAGGCTTCCAGGCGCCTCCTGCCCATTCCACACAAAGCAGAAATCTGGCAGCTGGAAGCAGCATGGTCTCAGCCGGGGACCTCCTTAATGAGATACCTAATCAATGGGGAGATGCCGCTGATAGTCACGGCTCCCGCTGCATGGAAAGGGCATGCTCTTGATTTTGTACCTGGAGAGGGAAATGAGGAGTCCCAGTTAATTGGGAGATCCAGCAAGAGCCTCACTCTGGAGCCTCATAGTCTCCTGTGCCAGGGCGAGCTCCACCTTGGTGACAGAAGGCGCAGCCCTCTGGCTGCCCTTTTCATTTCTTTTCTCTTTTTCGTCTTTTTCTTTTCCTTCCTTCCTTCCCTTTCATTTATTTCATTTTCTTTTCTTTTTGTAGAGTCAAGGTCTCACTCTGTCACCCAGCCTGGAGTGCAGTGGCATGATCACAGATCACTGCAGCCTCAAACTCCTAGGCTCAAATAATCTTCTTGCCTCAGCTTCTTGAGTAGCTGGGACTACAGGCGCATACCACCATACCTGGCTAATTTTTAAGTGTTTTTGTGGAGATGGGGTCTTGCTATGTTGCCCAGGCTGGCCTCAAACTCCTGGCCTCAAGCGATCCTCCCGCCTCAGCCTCCTGAAGTGCTGGGATTACAGGCATGAGCCACCACGCCTGGCATGCCCTTTCTAAGTGTGGAGTTTGTGAATGTGTCCACTTTCCTCACACTCCCATATGCCTGGCCAGGCAGATTCTCATCAAAAATTAGAAAAGCAGATGTTTCCATTTGCAAATGTGTAAGTACGCTGTCTATGATCACTGAAGCTCTGACTCAGCCACTGTGGTCAGAAGCTGGGAGCCACTAAGTTCAGCACAGCTGCCAATCCCCTGTAGCTTCCAGTGCCTCCAAGAACCTTATATAAAGCATGTGAAGTTGGTCACAGCCCGTCACCCTGTTTCTGCCATCTCCGTCCACAGCCCCTGGATATTACTAAGAAGCAAGCACTCTTCCATGCCACACTACTGCCTCTGGTAACCCCATAAGAGGAAGACCTGGGCTCATCCCCAGCAGGGTCAGAGAAAACATGTTCTTTAAGCTCACGCATGATGGCGTTGGGTAGTTTGCCTGATACAATGCATAGGCCAGTGTTGCTTTGGATTCTGAAAAATGATATAGAGCAATTATTCATAAACTTTTTATTTATTTATTTATTTTGAGATGGATTCTCGCTCTGTTGCCCAGGCTGGAGTGCAGTGGTATGATCTCAGCTCACTGCAAGCTCCGCCTCCCGGGTTCACGTCATTCTCCCGCCTCAGCCTCCCAAGTAGCTGGGACTACAGGCGCCCGCCACTATGCCTGGCTAATTTTTTGTGTTTTTAGTAGAGACGAGGTTTCACCGTGTTAACCAGGATGGTCTGGATCTCCTGACCTCGTGATCCACCCGCCTCAGCCTCCCAAAGTGCTAGGATTACAGGCGTGAGCTACCGCACCGGGCCTATAAACTATTATTAATTAATCATTGTTAACCTAAGTGAAGAGTGTTCAGGATTCATTCTTTGGACCAGCCAGCATTTTAACTGTACAGTAAGTCCCCCCCTTAACATTGTCAATATATGATTAGAAACTGTAATTTTAAATGAAATGACATGTGACAAAATCAATCACAAAAACAAAGTTGAAGGAAACAGCGTTACCCGAGGACTTGCTGTATGTCATTTCGTTTACAGTTGCAGTTTACATGAACCTATCGGCAGCCTTAAGTGAGCATGTACTACATTGGGGGTAGTGAAATGGGTTTAAGTTTATAGTGCTTTCGTTGATGGTTTTCAAGTAACAAAAGAAACAGGCCTGCTGCTGAGCCACCCCTGGCCCCCTTTGCAGCCGGCTGTCCTTCTGTGATCACTGTGAATGTGAATGTCCTCAGCTTCCCTGCTCCAGGGTCAGTGATCGGAGTGCCTGTGATGTGCTTACAGCCTGGGCTGGGAGTGGAAGGAGGCTCTGGTTTAGCAGATAAAGAGAATCCCTTGGCCTTTTTACTGATTTTTGTGTTTGCCTTAGAAGATTTAGGGATCCTTCAGTCCTTGTCAAGAGGGTTCCTGAATCTTTTATTTGGCTTCAATGCACATTGAGTAAGAAACCGCAGAAGGAAAGCAGGGAAGGGAAGAGTCAGCGGGAGGAGAGGAGATTTGCTTCTAGTTGTCTTACAATTCCCATCATGCTTCTGAGTAACATTCTCAATTCCCAGAGATCACCATTTTTTAGTTAAATTGGGGCTTCCGAATTCTAGCAACCAGCAGGTGTTTTGGAGGTAGCTTGTTGACCCCTCTTTCATCCAAAAGTGATCATTTTTACGGGGGTTCCTCACAGAGTAGGAATTTGTTAGCAGTGCATACCCGTGGCAAGAGCTGTGGCTAAAGCACATGCCCTGTCCCTTCCCGATAGCAGCAGCGCAGAGGGCACAGAGTGGCGCAGGCGAGACTGCCACAGACGCCAGTGAGGCCAGGATGTGCTTGATGGCTCTGCATGCCTGCTCTGTGGGGCTGGAGGTGTGCCCTCCTGTGCTGTGTGGATGTTATTAGATGTTGGAAAGCTGCAGTGTTCATTTGGGAAGGAGTTACTGCTCTGAAAGGTTTGTTCTCCTTTATTTTATTTTATTTTTATTTTTATTTTATTTTATTTTTTTGAGACGGAGTCTCGCTCTGTTGCCCAGGCTGAAGTGCAGTGGCATGATCTTGGCTCACTGCAGCCTCCGCCTCCCGGGTTGAAGCGATTCTTTTGCCTCAGCCTCTTAAGTAGCTGGGATTACAGGTACCCACCACCACGCCCCACTAATTTTTGTATTTTTAGTAGAGATGAAGTTTTGCCTTGTAGGCCAGGGTGGTCTCGAACTCCTGGCCTCAGGTGTTCTGCCCACCTCGGCCTCCCAAAGTGCTGGGATTACAGGTACCCATCACCACGCCCCACTAATTTTTGTATTTTTAGTAGAGATGAAGTTTTGCCTTGTAGGCCAGGCTGGTCTCGAACTCCTGGCCTCAGGTGATCTGCCCACCTCGGCCTCCCAAAGTGCTGGGATTACAGGTGTGAGCCACTGGCTGCTCTCCTTTAAAGAGAAGGTTTGTTCTCCTTGATTCTCCTGTACAGTTTTTTCTTAAAATTTGTTTAGAAATCTAGGAGCATGCTGGGCTCACATTATAGGTGACAGGAATAGGCTGACAAAACACACACCTTGCATAAGCCAACAAGCATTGGACTAGAATTCATTTGCTGTCAGATTTGGGGGCAGTGACAGTCTTTTGGTAGAATTGTAATCAAAGGAACAAACTCAGAGAACAATCTGGGTAAAGAGACTGGTGTCAGGTTAAGTTCAGATCTGTAGACCCTTCTCAGGTGGTGAAGCCGAGACCACAGACACAGATCCTGGAGAGGGATTAGAAGCCAGACATTCCGTGGGTGACGCGCTCCTTCTCCTGTTCCCATCTCCGCATTTCCTGGTCAGGAACCTCATGAAAGACAGCTGCATTTTTTCCAGGCTGGTATCTCTCACCAGAGTGAGGCTTGTGGGCTTCATGCATAGCGATGGATACAGAAGCCTTGGCTGTTGGTGAAGACACTGAGGTGTATGGATATATTGACCACTGTGGGGAAGGCTCTAACTCTTGGTCGTTCCACTTGCTCACTGCTCTTCTTTGATGGTTGAGAAAGTGGTAGGATGACCAGATTTGCAAAAGCCCATCTCACTATTATCAAATTTAATAGTGGATGTTCTGCCGTCTGCTATTATTACCCATGGTTTGCTTTTGTGTGTGGGTATTAGAAAGCCTTTTAGGGAAAAAGCAGAATGTGGCTGGGCTACAGCTCCTGAGGAAGCCGGCCATGGCAGCACTCTTCCCATGCTGTCCCTGGGCCTAGGAGAGCAACCGCTCTCTGTTCACAGTGTGCCGTCCAGACCCCTATTTAGATCCCTGTCATGTGGTAGTTCATCCACCTGGACATCTTCCTCACCATGGCAGCAGCTCCTTGGGAGCAGGAACTATGTCCTGTTCGTCTTTGTACCCCTAGCACCTGCTATTTAAGAAGGACTCCAGAAGCCTCGATGTGCGGCAGGACCATGGCCGATGTGTCTCCCTGGCACCTCTGTCTCAGGGTTAACTTTCCTCGCTGCCTGAGAGCCCCCGGCTTTGACGCTCATGGAGCCCTGGCATTGAGTGTGAGCACTTCACACTCTACCTCTCTCAGTTGGCCCTCCGAAATGCCTCAATTTAGGAGTGGTGCCCCACTGTGGAGGGTATTTTCAGGACCATCTTACAAATTATTGTGAAGTGTTGGAAACAAAGAGCTTCCTGCTTCTTTTCAACCTGGTTCTACCATGTTCCAAGCTGTAGCCAAAAGGAAAATAAATCAGAGCTTGAAACTAGCCTTTCTGATGGGAATATCTATCTGGGACACCCCTCCCTTTTTGTCTCTTGCCCCCATACGTCTCCTCCTTACAGCACAGGCTGTTTGGGAAGGAGGACAGGATATGTCATCTAACTTTTTTTCCATCCCTAGCTGAGTCACTGATTAAAAACAAATGAACAAACAAAAACCTAAAAAACCTTCCAGAAATACAAAGGAAAAGGGTTTGTTTGTTTTTTATTTTAATTTTTATTTCTGTAGGTTTTTGGGGAACAGATGGTATTTAGTTACATGAGAAAGTTATTTAGTGGTGATTTGTGAGATTCTGGTGCACCCATCACCCGAGCAGCCTTCACTGTACCCAATATGTAGTCTTTTATCCCTCACTTACCTCCCACCCTTTCCCCTGAGTCCCCAAAGTCCATTGTGTTATTCTTATGCCTTTGCATCCTCATAGCTTAGCTCCCACTTGTGAGTGAGAACATATGATGTTTGGTTTTCCATTCCTGAGTTACTTCACTTAGAATAATAGTCTCCATCCAGGTTGCTGCAAATGCCATTAATTTGTTCTTTTTTATGGCTGAGTAGTATTCCATGGTGTATATATACCACAATTTCTTTATCCACTCATTGATTGATGGGCATTTGGGCTGGTTCCATATCTTTGCAGCTGTGAATTGTGCTGCTATAAACATGCGTGTGCAAGTATCTTTTTCGTATAATGACTTATTTTCCTCTGGGTAGATACCCAGTAGTGGGATTACTGGATCAAATGGTAGTTCTTTCTACTTTTAGTTCTTTAAAGAATCTCCACATTGTTTTCCATAGTGGTTGTACTAGTTTACATTCCCACCAGCTGTGTAAACGTGTTCCTTTTTCACCGCATCCACGCCAACATCTGTTATTTTTTGATTTTTGGATTAAGGCCATTCTTGCGGAGTAACGTGGTATTGCATTGTAGTTTTGATTTGCATTTCCCAGATCATTAGTGATGTTGAGCATTTTTTCCTATATTTGTTGGCCATTTGTATATCTTCTTCTGAGAATTGTCTACTCATGTCCTCAGCCCAGTTTTTGATGGGATTGTTTGTTATTTTTTCTTGCTAATTTGTTTGAGTTCCTTGTAGATTATAGATATTAGTCCTTTGTCAGATGTATAGATTGTGAAGATTTTCTCCCACTCTGTGGGTTGTCTGTTTACTCTGCTGACTGTTCCTTTTGCTGTGCAGAAGTTTTTATGAAGCAAGTCTTTGGGGAGGATATTTTGTCTCATAAAAGTTATTACAAACATCAAGAAAGTGGATTCCAGCCGGGCGCAGTGGCTCACGCCTGTAATCCCAGCACTTTGGGAGGCCAAGACGGGTGGATCACGAGGTCAGGAGATCCAGACCATCCTGGGTAACACGGGGAAACCTGTCTCTACTAAAAATACAAAAAATTAGCTGGGCATGGTGGCGGGCGCCTGTAGTCCCAGCTACTTGGGAGGCTGAGGCAGGAGAATAGCGTGAACCTGGGAGGTGGAGCTTGCAGTGAGCCGAGATTGTGCCACTGCACTCCAGCCTGGGGGACAGAGCGAGACTCTGTCTCAAAAAAAAAAAAAAAAAAAGAAAGAAAGAAAGAAAGAAATAAAGTGGATTCCTCTTCCAGTTTCTTGCCTAGCTTAAAGCCATGTAATTCTTGCCAGCTCACATTGTGACTTTTCTGGCTTTCAACACTTTGATTGGGATTTACCATTTAATTAAATAAGCTTAGGAGCTGGAGGGTGGGTGCTGTCCGGGGTCAGTTCAGTCAACCCCTGGTTCTCTTTGCACTTCACAGAATGTGGATTGTCTCTCTGTTCATGGGCTCTGCTGGGCTCTCTGAGCTCAGAACCTTCAGATTTGTTGGGTGGGACCACAGATAGTCATGGTAAGTGCAGTCATCCTTCCCAGCTGTAGCAGGGGGATGTCCGGAGGCTGTGGAAGGTAGAGTGTTAGGATAGAGATGGCGACAGTGTGGCCATCTCAGGAGGGCCTGGGGTGCCCATGAGCTCCGCTCAGAGAAACTGCCAGCTGAGCAGACGGGAGGACCTGGCTTTGAAAGAAGTTACAACATTAAGCAAAACAACATGTCGTTGTCTGTGGAAAGGAATCCTTAGCATAAGTTTTTGAAAATATGATCAGGTGTCTTGACCCAACACTTAAAAAGTGAAGTCCACAGGGTTTAATTTCCTGGTGATATTTTTGTTTTTATTTGCGGTTTAGCATTTTTTTTTTAAGTATCCGAATTTGCATGAGGCTAGTTTTGTATTTCTGCAAGTTTCAGTCCATGTGATTTGAAGCAGATGTCATAGTCACACAAACAGAGTCCATAATGGGAAAGTCAACTCCTGGGCATGCTGTTCCATGCCTACATGGACTGGAAAGAAATTTGATTACTTTGGGAAATTAGGCTAATATTTCAGGGGTTGTGTAATGGACAACAAAGGACATGTTCAGCAGCTTTTGAGAACTGAGAGAATGGAGGATTGAGGACCCTGCAGCGGCAGTCCTGAGTCTCCAAGCGCGGCTGTGTTGAGATGGGTTTGCTGGCTGCTGGGGAACATGCCTTTGCTCAGCCGAGGACAGCTTTTTACTGTGGTGATGTTAGAAATGTGGGCAGAGTGAGTTATGACTCAGTCTATTGTAATTAGAAAAAAGAGCAACCACTGAGAAAAGTCCTCAGAGAAAACTTAAGAAATGGGGATGTTCTTATTCTCAGAAAACTAAAACGGGAAGTCATTCTTGGTGATAGTGAGGGGAAACGCAAAAGCGAAGGGAGAGGGGAGCTCTGTGTGCGGCGTCTCTAGCATTGCACAGTCCTCTTTAATGAATAAATGGAACCTTAATAAGGAAAAGTACCGGCTACATTATCGGTTGCAAATTGATTTGCTGTAGGCAAATTCTAATGTAGTTTGGCCATGTGAGGCGTACCTCTTAAGAAAACAAAATCAGGTTGCCTGAAAATGGACTCTTGCTTTCCAGGTGAAAAAGGCACTGGAAACACCACACAGCTTTGTCCTGTAATGTTTCCTTACTCTGGAATCATGAATGGGCTTTTCTCGTGCTATATCTAAAACTCAGCTCTGATTATTATGTTTAAAAAGAGGCTGTGCTTACTTTCCACACCCAAATGAGGCTGAGAGTGGCTGTGAGGAAGGGAGGTCAGTGCCTCCTACTTCTTTTTGGTGGGGCAAGCAGGGGAGGGAGAATCCATCTCTAAAAACCAGTGGTTCTTAACCTTTGAGAATCTGAAGCAGGCCAAAGACTTTCATCCCAAAGCAATGCAAATATACCAAGTCTCATGTGTAGTTACGGGGTTTGCAGACCCCTGAAGCTCATCCGTGGGTCTCAGCTAAAAGCACCTGCTACAAACTCAGTAAGTGCTTTTTCCCCATTAAATAATTGGTGGCATCATCTGTCTGATGAATTACCACCTTACTACTTTATTTTCTAATTTTAACTGTTATTTATATTCCCCTGGAACACCTTGAAATTTTCCCTAAAACTAGATTGACTAATCTGGGTCCCTCCTTGTCTCAGGAGATGGGGATGGTCTCCCACTTCCACCTGTGCCCTCCCTGGCCAGCACATCATCATTGTCATCGGAACCACCTTCTTTGTAACTGTCCTCCTCCAAGCAGTGTTTGCCAAGCATGGTGCTAGGTGCCAGAGAATAAGCTAGAGGACAGGAAAGAAGAAACACATAGAAGTATTAACCTTCAGCGGAAGAAGGCGTGCCCACCTGGGAGAAGTGACAGTGGCGATCTTATAGAGCCTGTGGCATGCCCTGCAGATCGTGCACACAGCTGAATAAGATGCTGGTGCTGGCTTCTTAGCGAACCATAATATATTTAGCTTGGAGCAACTTTTGTTTTTTGCTAGGATGAAAAACAACCTGAAACTCAGGATACATACAAGAGATCAAAATAAAAACCATGAAAGTACAGTGACCCATTTAAAAGTTGTCCGGGTCTTTTTTTTTTTTTTTTTTTTTTTTTTTTGTCAGAGATCATGGTAGACCACAAATCGCTGAGTTAATAATATAATGCTATTTGGCCGGGCGCAGTGGCTCACGCCTATAATCCCAGCACTTTGAGAGGCTGAGGTGGGCAGATCACGAGGTCAGGAGATCGAGACCATCCTGACTAACACGGTGAAACCCCGTCTCTACTAAAAATACAAAAAATTAGTCAGACGTGATGGCACGTGCCTGTAGTCCCAGCTACTCTGGAGGCTGAGGCAGGAGAATTGCTTGAAGCTGGGAGGCGGAGCTTGCAGTGAGCCGAGATCGCACCACTGTACTCCAGCCTGGGTGGCAGAGCAAGACTCCATCTCAAAAAATAAAAATAAAAAAAATATAATGCTATTTGTTTAAAATGATAGTGCTGATTTATGAATGTGGGAAATATCTAAAAATATCTACAAAAGAAGTGATTATTGAATTACAGTCATTTGTTTATATGTAGTTATTATCAAATAATGATCAAGTTGTCAGTCTCTGATTTTTATATGTAGTCATCTGTGACACATGGAAAATGTGTAAGTGGGCCTGTCCCTTTTTACTAGGAAGTGACTTCCTCCTACCTTCTGAGCCAAAGCTCTCCAGTCTCCACTTAGCCAGGGGATCTCTTTCTTCATGGATGACCAGTAAGGGGAGAGAATTCCTTATCCCCATGTAGTAGCTGAAGGGCATTATCTTGGCTGGTGATTGGCATGGATGGGAAAGGCCAATGTAGTTAAAGTCTTCCTGGGATCATAGTGAATTTCAGGTTTCAACTGGTGGAGACATATCACTGGACTTAGCTTCCCAGGCAAAGTCACCAAAGATTCTATGTAAATAGCATTGAAATGCCACCTTTGCCTATCACAAGAATGTATGCATTAAAGAGACTGTTGCAAGTTATCCTGGACACCACCCTGCCATTTGCGGTATTCTTTTTCCTGTGGAAAAACTAGTGCCCAGTTCTGAGTAGCCGACTTCTATCTGAACTTTTGAAACGCAGTCTGTCATGCGTTGTCTGGGGGCCATAGACTTGCCCCTCTACAGTGTCCCTTCTCAGCAGGGCTGCTGTCCGATGCTGTGAGAGCCAGGGCCCCTGAGTCTCCCTTCTAGGGCCCCTAGTCACACTGCCTTCCTTCCTTCCTCTAGTTCACTGCATGTCAGCCATAAATGAGTCTGCATTATTAACGTGATGCTTTTCTCATGGTCTGTGCTCATCAATTTCTCATTTCCACTGACACTTCTCCTCAGGATGACTTTCAGGGCTCCAGGCTGCTCTTCTTGCTCCCACTTCCTGTGTTTTATTCTGTGCCTCGTGCATACTGTGCACACTCCCTGCTCAAAGCCTTCAGTGGCTTTTCCCTGAACAGGACAGGATGAAGCACCAGCTCCTGGCCTTCCCTGCTGCTCTGGAGAGGCTGCCTGGGTCTAGGCACAGCTGTGGTCACCCCACCTTGGCTTGTGACCCCACCTTGGCTTTCTTGGCTTGTGACCTTTTCGTCATCTCAAATCCTTTGGCTTTTCTGAATCACTCCCTGGGCTCTCTGTGCCTGTCAGGTGGCAGCACTGTCTCTGCAGCCAGAGGATGGGCCCCAGAGGGCCAGGGATGCATCAGGCTGCTTGGTTCTCCTGATGCTTGATGAGTGTCGGCTGCTGCTGGGAGGATGTTCTTGGGATCAGTTTGAATGGCAATGAGAACGTCCCACCTCAGCCATCTGCAGGACTCTGCTGGAATGTGCAGGCGATGGCACGGTGGCCACTGCTGACAGAGGCACAGGGTGGCCATCCTGGTCCCCAGACTTCTCGGGGGACTGGCCAGCAGTCACTTCCTTTCCCAGGTGACTTGGCCGTGCCCTTGTCCAGAGGCAGGGCTCCAGACTTCTTAATAGCCACAGGTCTAGGAATCTGCATTTTCCTGGCTTATGAAACTGTCAAGCTGTCTTTGAACTACGGCTCCCTTTCTAATCAAGCCTCTGGCAAAGAGAAAAGCAGCATCGCTTAACTATTAGAAGCTTGCCCTTTTAAAAATAACCTCTTCAGCGTCTGGTTTTGCAATTGAATAATTGCCAGGTTGCTGGTTGGTGGATACCTGGTTTGTGTTCTGTATACAGGTTGAGTGTCCTGTATCCAAAATGCTTGGGACCAGAAGTGTTTTGGATTTTGCATCTTTTGCAGATTTTGGAATATTTGCATATACAGAATGAGATATCTCGGGGATGGGGCCCAAGCCTGAACACAAAATTTATTTATGTTTCATATATATGTTATACACATGGCCTGAAGGTAATTTTATGCAGTGCGTAATAATTTTGTGCATGAAACAAAGCTTGAGCTGCATTTTGATGTGACTGGCTCAGGAGGTCAGTGGTGGACTATTCCACTTGTTGTGTCATGTCGGCTCTCAAAAAGTTCGGGACTTTAGAGCATCTCAGATGTTAGATTTTCAGATTAGGTATGCTCAACCCCTAATACATTTCTGCTAGTTGTTTTTTTCTTATCCTGCAGTCTATGTACAGGCCTGTCTCTCATTTTCTGTCTCTACTGAACTGTCTGGAGACAGTCTAGCATATTCAAACAGCCGAGCTGCTGCATTCTGTTTTCCCTGGGTAGAATCTCCTAAGTTCTTTGGAGCCTTCTTTCTGGGAACATGAAAAAGGGACTCATGCAGTTATAAAAAGAAACTAGAGATCATCCAGCTATAAAATTGCATCTTAGCATTAGCTTCTGTTTTGTCTACCATTCATTTTCTATTCATCCTTGTCTAAAGTTTGTCCAGCAATTTGAACCTGGTAATTTTAGTTCTGTGGTTTCTATTGGCTCCTAGACCCTTACCAGTGGTTAAAAATACAAATTGCAAGCCTGTCTTGGTGGGCATGTATACAGACAAAGCTGAGGACTTTCTGCACTGCTGGATCTGAGAATCCTGAGCTGAGCAGCCATGCTTACCAGCACCTTGTGCGTATGGATGCATGAGCTTGTGTGTGTGTGTGCACTGTACACTCATGTGCAGAGCTATGCACACACGTATGTGTGTGCATGTATGTTCATGTGTGCATGTGTGTGGTAAGGGGTGGCAGGGACTGGACTGCAGCATTTGACGGTCCACCCCCGCCCATCCGTTACAAACATGCATGTATCTTTCTGTGATTTATTCCACACTGAGGGGCTGTGAAAGGAGCATGGCCTTGGGGGCATTATAAATCCAGATTGGAGTCAGCCCCTAGCTCTCATGCATCTGTAATCAAGTGACATTACCCCACCCAGCATCAATATTTTCTACTAAAATGGGCATAGTGATTTATGCCAAAAATGAGGGAAAAAACAAAAAAACCTAAAGCAGTCGGCACAGGGCCTGACACAGAAGCACTCAGCAATGGCCAGTTTTCTTTGCCTTTGAATGGCCTAAAAGGGCAAGAGGTGACTGGGGAGTGAAGGAGAAAGATGAATGTGTATATCAGTTCTGTGTGCACTGTGCTGGACCATAAGTGGGCATCCCAGGCCGCAGCATGGTAGCTGCGCCATCAATCAAAGAACTGCATCTAAACCGCCTGGAGTGGGATTTGGCTTTGAGAGCAGCCTGCCTTTTCCAGGCAGATGCAGTTCCCTCCCAGGCTTGCCCGCTAAGGCCCCCAGCCGAGGGCAGTGTTTGCAGCTCCTCTGCTCTGTCCACTTGGGTTCCTTTGAGCGATGGGAGGAGGCATTTGACAACACATGGGCATCAATACCTGTCCCCACTGGGCCCAGGAGAGATGCAGCATGGCAGGAGGCCCACACCCTCCTCAGCCTTGCCACGAGCTCTGCTCCTGGGTGGCTCGCCTCCCATGTGGCTCCACTTCATCTCTGCACTTATTTATTTATTTTTAATTTACTTTTCTAGAGACGAGGTCTCACTCTGTCACCCAGGCTAGAGTACAGTTGCACGAGAATAGCTCACTGCAGCCTCGACCTCCCAGGCGCAAGCAAACTTCCTGCCTCAGCCTCCCAAGTAGCTAGGACTATAGGTGCATGCCGCTGTGCTGGCTAATTTTTAAATTTTACATTTTGTAGAGATGGGGTCTTGCTATGTTGCCCAGGCTTGTCTCCAACTCTGGCCTCAAGTGATCTTCCCACCTCAGCTTCCCAGTGTGCTGGGATTATAGGGGTGAGCCACCGCGTCTTGCTTGTATACTCATCTGAATCAAACCTTAATAGGTTTCCATGCTGAAGAGCTCTTTTTGGTCTCTGGGTCTTTTTGATTATTTCACCCGCACCATAAGACTGTGAATTATAGCTCTTATTTTAAAATTTATTTACTAGCCACAGTGGACTAGATGCTATCCAAAAAATTAGAAGCTTTTGTAATATTAGTACAAAATTATATATAAATACATGTAATTTAATATTTTAGTATTTCTTTTATATTCTCTCATTTTTTTCTAAAACACTGTGAAATTGTTAGGGCAATATTTGTAGTCTAAATCTGCAGATGACAAGGTGAGGTGGAGAGAGGATGGCTGACAGACTGGGGCGGCCTCCTGATGGCCACGTGTGTGGTGACTGACTTTTGTTACCGAGACCTAGGGGAGGGACGTGGTGGTCACGGCACCAACTTTGAGATGCCTAAGATCTAGTTAGTAGTACTAGAATGCATGGGATTGGGAACTTTAAATGAGTTGTAAAAAATAAGTGTTATTAGAGTTCCAAAAAGAAAGAAACGAGTTTGGCCGCTGAGATATTTAGAGGAACATAATATCACCACGTTCAACTGATAAATTAAATTTTAAGAAAGATTGATATTTGCCAAAAGATATGAAGTTAGAGTAAAAGAGGCTCGGTGGCTTGACCAGGGTGTGGTTTTCACTCTTTCATTCACTGACAAGTAGTGTTGGGGGGCCCGGCCGCGCCGAAGCCTGCTTGAGTCACCGAGCCAGGGCGCTGCGGCTCCCCACTGCTGGCGGAGTCTTATTGTTGTGTCTCTCGCTTTGCCTTTCACAGTTCTGGCATGGCAGGGCTTAATGAATGTCAGGCTCAGAGGGAAGAGAATGGAACCTGCGAGCACTTTCTGCCACTCACAGAGCGGGGTCACCTCGCCCTGCTCCCCCAGCTGCCTACAGGCCTGCCGTGCCCTTCCCATCTCCGCAGCCTCAGCCTGGCTTCCCTTGAGGACCACCACCGCCCTTAGCCCATCTCCCACACCCATCTTGCTGAGAGTGCAGGTGAGCCCGGCCCACCCGAAGCCACGTTGCCTCCCATCACCCTTCAGTGCTCTGGGGCCACAGGGGAAAGCCTGTGACCGGCGTCTGCCTCTGCCTGCCTTGGTCTCTTCATCGTCATAATGCCCTGGACTCCAATTGCTTAGGGTTGTCCCAGACACACTGTGCTCTGTCATCTCTTAACCTCTGCTTCATGACAGTCTTTCCCCCTGGAATCTTGTCCCCTCTTTCTGTCATCTGACTAATTATTACTTATCCCTTAAGACTCAGATGAGTGGCCACCTCCTACAGGAAGCCTTCTTCCACTCTCTCTTCTTCCCACTGCTTGGCGCTTCCTCTCCTCTCCTGAGCTGAGCTGTGATGATTCTGTGATAGCCCTGCCCAGCTGGTTTGTAGCTATCTGCTATCTGTCTCCTCTTCCTTCCCAGACACTTCCAGCTTGTCTGAGAACAGGAGCTCATCCGTGTTGTTCCCCTCGGTGACTAGCACTGCACCTGGCGCCCAGGAAGACTTAGCCAATGGAGGAATCATAGGATGGCTCGGTGGAGGGATGGCTACAAAACCTGTCTTTTCTCATACTCATTTCTTGTTAACTGTGCACAAATAATTCCATATTACCACTTCTTATTGTGCTTAATCCTAGGGTAAATTTAAGTTAAGAGTGTGCTGTGGGGAAGAAAGGCAAGTTGTCTGAAGATTATTCTGCAGTGAGAACTTTGGATCTGTCTCCTGATACACTGTAGAACCAGGATAAACCATAATTGTCCAAATCCTTCAGGGCTTTCCTTCCAAATGAAGTGATTAACTTCTGCGGTAAACTTCCTCTTGTCCAGGCTCCAGGCTTCGTGCTGGGCCTGACAGCACTCAAGCTTTGCTGCCCACGTAGGCAATTAGGGTGTCCTTATCCTTCGGTTCCACTGCCTGGTGAAATATTAGATAACGAGGACAGAGCTTATCTTACACGCGTCTGAGCTGACAAATATGGCAGCCTTTCAGCAAAAGGCAAATGCAGACGAGGCCTTTTCCCTGGCTGGAATAAGAATGAGCCTCATGCGTGTCTGGCCCCATTGCCGATGGTCAAATGCACTCGACATGATTTCCATAGCACCCAGACAGCCTGAGTAGCTCATATCTACCTGTCTAGTCAATACATCAGCTTTGCTGGGGAGAGAGCAGGAGTTTGTCACTGGGGCTCATTTCTAATGCATCAGGAACAAATCTGTTACTGGCTCTCTTTATTCTGGCATGAATACTGTAAGCTGCATGAATTTATCTTCGGTGATAAATAACAGTGCCTTCTGGGTTCTGTTTTTTTAAAGGGGTCTTTGCTAAGCCATTAATATTGAGGTGAAGAGAGAGGAGAAGAAATGGATTATGCCTGACCGTGGAGATTAGCAGCCTGCTCAGGTGAAGGGTGGCCACACTTATTAATGCACTAATGAGCAAGCAGGGTCATTCTGATGATTAGTAATTTTGGCAACATAACTTCTGCCCCAGATTTGATTAAGCCTTCATACAGACTTCCTCTTCCAGGAGATTATCTTTTCAAAGCACATTTGGTTTCCCACTCCCCCTTTCAAGCCCATTAGGAAAATTAAAGCATTTAATTTTAGTGATGAATTTTACTGATACAGACAACTGCTTTTCCAGATTTTCTCCAAATGTAAGCACAATTGCTACATCAACCAAAATACCTCTTACTGAACACAAACTGGCGTTGTGTGGAGATTGCTGATTCCTGGTAATATATTACAGAATAATAAGCTCTGTGTTGGAAAGAATATATATATTTCAATATTGAACCAAGCCAGGGGAGCAAATTAAATAGGAGAACTGAAAGTTAGCTAATATCTGCAAACTTACTTCCTCTTAAATGAACTTGTCCATCAAACCTTCAGATTTCCCCTACTTTCTCCCTTAAAGAAACAGATCAAAAATATTTCGTGATGCACAAGCTAGCTAATGTCACACAGCTGAAGCACTGGAGTGAATGAAAGTTGAAGATATGGCAGACTCCTTGAGGCTAAAATTACTGCAACCTAGATGTTGAAAAAATACCTAGTAAAGAATAGAAACTGAGGGCGGGGCATGGTGGCTCACACCTGTAACCCAGCATTTTGGGAGGACAAGGCAGGCAGCTCACTTGAGGTCAGGAGTTCTAGACCAGCCTGGCCAACATGGCAAAACCCCGTCTCTACTAAAAATACAAAAATTAGCCGGGCGTGGTGGCAGGCGTCTGTAATCCCAGCTACTGGGAGGCTGAGGAGAGAGAACTGCTTGAACCCGGGAGGCGGAGGTTGCAGTGAGTTGAGGTCGTGCCACTGCACTTCAGCCTGGGTGACAGAGCAAGACTCTGTCTCAAAAAAAAAAAAAAAGAATAGAAACTGAGAAGGGCTCTGAGGGCTCTGAGTCACAGCTACCATTTTACCTTTCCCCTGCCAACCAAGTGAAGTCAGATTATGACAGTCGCTGTGCCATTGTGAGAAGAGCCTAGGAGCCCTGAAACAGACACACATCCATATATACAAGGATCTCTGACTTTAAGGCAAGTCAATCTCAAAACAATCTGGATACCTTAAAAATCAGGGGGGAATCGTTGAGAGGCCAAGGTAGGCAGATCACTTAAGGTCAGAAGTTTGAGACCCCAGCCTGGCCAACATGGCAAAATCCCGTCTCTACAAAAATACAAAAATTAGCCAGGCATGGTGGCGCACACCTGTAATCCCACATATCAGGAGGCTGAGTTGGGAGAAACCCTTGACCCTGGGAGGCAGAGGTCGCAGCCAGCCTGGGTGACAGAGTGAGACTCTGAATCTAAAAAAAAAAAAAAAAGGAAAAAAAAATAGGGGGGATCAGTATGTGTATGCACCCCTGTAACATCACACTGTATCTACTTGCAAAGAAAAAAGGGGTTGGGAGTTCCAAGTCATGGGAGTCAGAGACCCAGAGAAATCAGATTGCCTAGGAAGCTGGCAATATGAAAATATTATATGTTTATTCATTTTCTTTTTGGAGGTTTCCACTCTTGAAACACCACCGCTTCCTTGGGTCAGAGGGTTCTCAAACTCTAACATACATCAGAATCTCCTAGATGGCTCTGTAAAACCCAGACTGCTGGCCTCATGCCCAGAGCTCCCAGTAGATCTGGGTGGACCTGAAAATTTGCATTTCTAACAGGTTCCCAGGTGATGCTGATGCTGCTGTTCTAGCAACCACACTTTGAGAACCCCTGCCCTAGGCATTGCATTCCAGAACTCTCTCCATGTTAGACAGTCTCACTCTCATTTAGTTTGTAAATATTGAGCCCTTACCAGATGCCAGGTACTGTGCTAGAAGCAGGGAATCCCAGAAACACCCTGCCTTGGTCTTTACCGAGAACAGTCGACCTGTCAGATTCCCTCACAGAAAGGACCCCAGTCACCCTCAGCCTGCATGCCCGCTGAGTGGAAGACCTGCTTATTCCAACGTCCACACTTCGTTTCATAGGGTGGAATCTTCAAGACATACAGGCTTAGACAATTTCAATTACTTGCTTTTCCTTATAAGGCAGACCTCTTTCCCACCTCCAATAGACACATGATAGTAGGTTTTGCAGACTAACCTCTCTCTTGGATGGCTGGGCCTTGCATAGACTTATGGGTCCTCTGATCCCTTCTGGGCCACTGTCCCAGTGGGGCTATTTTTCTCCAATCTTCAGGACTGTTGTTTATGATTGAGCCTTTGCTCATTCATAATCCTGCTTACTGGTATCCAATCCTTTGTTTATTTCCTTAGCTTTAGAATGTCTACAAAAAGGGGGGAGGTCACTTTCAATCTTGAAAAGTTAGTCCTCAAATAAGTTTATGTAGTAATAGCCGGTAGCTGATCTTGAATCTCTTTCATATAAATTGGATGGCTGTTTCTCTACATTGCCAACAATTTCTTTATTTTAGACTTCTGGAACACCCTGCATCTGGAATCCAGAAAGCCTTTTTGTATGAGTCGCACCATTTTCTTGGTTCCTGTAGAGGATGTGGTGCTGAGATTATTCATATCGGGAAAAAAAAACCATTCTCAGAAGAATAATTTCTTTGTCCTCCTGTCCCATTGAGAAGCTTTGTGAAAATACTGTGAAAAGACAGAATTATTTTGGCTTGAAGCTGAAAGCTGGTGACATGTATGCTCTAAGTGGTCTCACTGTGCGTGGGTAAGGGGCCTGTGGCTTCTCTAGCACCTGCTTGGGAGGGGCTTTCTTCTCCTTCTCCTTTTCAATAATTTCATCTTGAACCTCTCTATTCTGAATGGACCAGTGGGAGTGATACTTTTTTACACAGAGATTTATACATAACATAACAAATTTGAAGGCTGGGAAATGAATCTATTGATTTCTTCATTTTCTGAAAATGTTTGGAATTTTATCTTTTTTCAGTGAAATATTACAAATAAATTTACAGATGGGGCTTCATTAAGGAATGTATTTTAAAATATGTGATCAAAACGATTCATTATTTTTTAAATTTCAGTTTCCTCCCTTGCCCTTAGCATGTTATTTTTTTTAGGGTCTCTGGTTGTTACCTCACCAAGCGAAGGGACAGCAAGTTCCTTTTCTCCCTCTGCTACTCGCCGGGTGTTTTTGTACGCAGCTTCCATTTCTGAAAACACTTTTTGGCCTCTGTGTTCTTAGGATTGAATTGTTCTTGTGCTGTCGACACAATCCACTCATGTCACCGCTAGTTTCTTGAAACTATCTTGACCTTGTTTCAGAGAAAGTGGCTTCCCTAATCCTACAGTCCAGCAAAATTTACATTTCATGATGCACCCGTTCAGCTGTGTGCTCACTCAGAAAGCTCTGCGGAATCATCTAGCACTCTGCCATCTTTTTCCTTTTCTTTTTTTTTTCTTTTTTTCTTTTTTTTTTTTTGAGACAGAGTCTCGCTCTGTCGCCCAGGCTGGAGTGCAGTGGCGCTATCTTGGTTCATTGTAACCTCCGCCTCCCAGGCTCAAATGATTCTCCTGCCTCAGCCTCCCGAGTAGCTGGGACTGCAGGGTTGCACCACCATGCCCAGCTATTTTTATTTGTTTATTTTCAGTAGGGATGAGGTTTTGCTGTGTTGGCCAGGCTGGTCTCGAACTCCTGGCCTCAAGTGATCCACCCATCTCAGCCTCCTGAAGTGCTGGAATTACAGAAATGAGCCAGCATGCCCAGCTTGCCATCTTTTTTCTTCTGTGGTTGGTTTCTGTCCCCAAACTGTGATGGGAGAAGGCAGGTGAAATGATGGTTGGATGCCACTGCAAGCTGCCTTTTCTGTGTGGGCTCTTGGTCTGTGTACATGGGGCCCCATGGCACACTGAGTTTTACCTAGGAAGGCTTCAGCTGTTCATTTTCGTTTGCAAATCCTCCGTGGAGACCCAGGGAGAGACTGCAGGAGTTGCTTCTTATTTCTTGACCAGGGTTTCCGCTCCCATCACCGTGGCTTTTTGGGGAGCCTTGCTGGTGTGTTCCTGGGATGGCTGTGGCCTGCCACTGTGTCCTCTTACACAGGAGTCAGCCCTGGATGAGACCTGCAGCCCTGTGGCCTTGGACTCCCACCTTTCCCCCAGGCTGGGTCCCTCAGGCATGGCCCTTTCCCCCAGTGTCCCCTTAGGCATGGCCCAGTTTGCTTGGTAGGGCCTGACACTCTTCAGATGGTGAAGTCAGAAAGAAAGGAAAGTCTAAAGGAGAGAAGCAGCTCAGAGAAGGGAGAAGAGGGTTTGGGAGGAAAGGGAAAGAGGTGTTGAGAGGTTATGACGCCCAGGAGAGGTGAATGCAGGGAGGGAATGGAGGGGCCCAAGGAGTGACAGGCAGACGGGGTCTCTGATCCGGGGGTGCTGGGCCTGCCCTGCAATCTGAGTCACAAAAGCCAGTGGGGAAAGACAAGGCAGGCATTGGGTGTGCGAGTGGGTGTGCATGTGTGTGGCTGCGTGTGTGGGGGTGTGCACGTGTGTGGCTGTGCATGTGTATGGGTGTGCATGTGTGTGAGTGTGCATGTGTGTGACTGCATGTGTGTGGGTGTGCATGTGTGGGTGTGAGTGTGCATGTGTGTGACTGCATGTGCGTGGGTGTGCATGTGTGGGTGTGCGTGGGTGTGGGTACGCATGTGCGTATATGGAGTACGGGGGAAGGAGATGTGGGTAAGGGTTTGTGTATGGGAGGGTGTGTGGGTATAAGTGTGTGCATGTGAGGGGGATAGGTGTGTATATATGTGTGTGCATATGGAGTGTGGGGGAGATAGGGGTGTATGTGCGTGTGTTGGTATGTGTATGTGGGGGGTAAGTGTGTGTGTGTGCGTGTGCGTGTATGTGCACGTGTTGTGTGTGTGCGCCTGCACACGGAGAGCCCACTCATACGTAGCAGAAAATCAAATGGCCCCAAATCAGAAACATGGCGCATGTGAGCATGCCACTTCTTGTGTGCCTGTGACTGTTCAGAATGTACACGGCCCTGCAGCTCCCGAAGGCCAGCTCTGCTGCAACCCCTCCTCTGTCCAACACAGTCCTCACTGGTGTCTTTTCCTCTTCAAATCTACAGCATTTCTGATCTCTGCAAACAATTTAACCCAAAACCAAGTTCTGGCTGACAAGGCTACATCTTGTTTCTTGTGCGTGATTAGCCTCGAGACCCAAGGAGCTCCCTGCCCTTGACTGATTCATTCTGTACCTGCTGGACCTGGAAATGCATTAAAAGCTCAGGAAAGCTTACTGATCAATTGCACTGGAGATTGAGTCTGGTTTGGGGCTTTACATTTGTAAAGCATCTTATGTGCAAAAGTAATTTGAAAGACCAATTTATTATTTCTAATTCAGAGGTCTCATTATCATCAGATGGAATGGAGGAAGCAGTGGCATGAGTTGGTGCCCTTGAGGCTGGTGCTTGTGTTCTCCCTGGAGTTCCTGCTACTCTTTGTCTTCAGATTTTTCTTGAAGTATGAATTAAAAGGAGCAGGAGATCTTAACCCAGTATCATGTGTGGGTTTTAGTGGCTTTTGATCAGGGAGTTTTGAGGCTGTTTTATTGTCCTTGAACAATTACAGTCTCTGAAAGCAGAAAGACAGAGCCCAAATCTTGTGCTCAGTTTGCTTGCTGTAGAATTCTGTGTCTTCTCTCTCTTAAAATAAAGCCATATAAATAAAAACTCTTGGGGATTCCTTAAGAATGTCAAAAGTAATGATTGGTCTAAATTGAAGACTGTTATTGTAGAAACTGGTTTGCTTTCAAAGATTTTTTGAGTTTCATATTTAATATCACCAGGTAGTTAGAATAGGAATGAAGAGATTAAGTCTACATTTGATTTTTCTTTCTTCCTGAAGTCAGCTGCAACATGAAGGGATGTATTCCAAAGAGATGTGTGTGTATGTGTGTGTGTGTGTCTGTGTGTGTGTGTGTGTCTCTGTGTGTGTGTGTCTGCCTGTTTATTCTCGAGAGAGGAAGACCGCGACAGAATGTTAAAAATAAAGAAAACAATCAGTAGTAACCCAGTCTAAAATAGTGATTCTTAACCTTGCCTACTAAAATCATCTGGGGAGTTTTAAAGTTAACAGATACTAGGTCTACCTCCTTCTGATTTAGTTAGCCTGAAATGAAACCTAGGTATTGGTATTGGTAAAATAAAATACCGCAGATTGGATGCAATCTGCAGCCAGTTAAGAATCACTGCTCTGAACAATATATGCAGTGGAATTCCAGGATTGTGAGGCATGGAGCCAGTGTAGAACTAAGCGGTCACTTGTACGTGAGGCCAATAAAAAATAATGCACACTTTTTAATTGTATGCCACATGCACATGGATTGTTTGATTTGATTGTTATAACATCGTTAGGGCATTTGGGGGTAATTATAACATTTTATAGATGAGGAAACTGAGGCTAAGGAAGATTATGTGACATTCAGTCACGTAATTTACAGACAGGGTGTCGGGTTCCAGCTCAGCTCATTCAACCACAAGGACATCACCCTGGGTCCTCAGACAGAGCCAAAGGTGCACATGTGTCACCTTCTGAATTATAACCTTCGACCTTGAAAGATCTTCACTAGTGTATTGCTGGTTTGTTCCCAATACAGAATTGAGTTTTGTGGAAGAAGGTGGTTTTACCTTGTTGAATAGGAAGGAATGATATATTTGAATAGCTGGTTACTTTTTCAACCAGTGGCTTTCAAACTTTTTAAACCCTGACCCACAGTGAGAAATGCATCTTGCATCATAACCCAATATAAATACACACGTATTGTAATGACAACAAAAATGTCTCACAATACCTATCTTTACTGTACTCACTCAGATATTTCCTATTCTGTTCTTTCTTTTAAAACTGGTTGCAGTCTGCTAAGTCGACTGTCCTAATAGATTGCAACCCATGCTTTAGAAAATACTGTCCAACTTCCTTCCTGTCTTCCCTCTGAAGGCCAGAAAAAGGAGGTAGCATTACGATTAGGAAAGTGAATGACTTGTCTTATGTAGCCACATGAAAAGATCTGTGTAGGCCAAAGAATGATTATTATTGGTAGAGTGTATAGGAAATATTATTTTAAATTTGATAAGCCTGGTTCTATGTGGTCAACCAGGCTTTTAACCCTTTTAAGGACAAACCTTTCACAATAAAAGTTGTAGGTATGATTTATCCAAGGAGGGATAATCAATGTTGTGCTCCCTTAAGTTTTTAATGTTTCATTTAACTCTTGGAAACCCAAGATAAAAAAATATAATTTGTAGATAACCTAGAAATATTTTAGAAGGAATTTGTAATTCCTTCTATAAATTGTAGTTCCCAGTTGGAAAGGGAGTGGAAAGAGACCAAAACTTTGTGGAGCAATTCAGTTTCAAGCAATTCTTAAGCATTTAGTATCTGATTCTCACTTTTGAAACCTGATTGTGTCAAATGAGGTTCTAGAAAGTGTATTCTTAAATTTACAAAGTACTATTTGCAAAATAATATTGTTTTATATTTTTAATTGCTTTTTTAAAAAATCCAGTCTTGGCTGGGCACAGTGGCTCACGCCTGTAAGCACTTTGGGAGGCCGAGGCAGGCAGATCACTTGAGGTCATGCATTCGAGACCAGCCTGGCCAACATGGTAAAACCCTGACTCTACTAAAAGTACATAAATTAGCCGGACATGGTGGTGTGTGCCTGTAATCCCAGCTACCGAGGAGGCTGAGGCAGAAGAATTACTTGAATCCAGAAGGCAGAGGCTGCAGTGAGCCAAGATCGTGCCATTACACTCTAGCCTCGGCAACAGAGGGAGACTGCGTCTTAAAAAACAAAAAACAAAAAACAAAAACAGTCTTGTTTCTCCAGCAAGATTGTTAGCTTTTTGCAAGCTGACCTGGGCATGGATTTGTCTTCCTGTCCTTTCCTCGCGATGCTTTCCACAGTGTTAGTTACAGAGGAGACTCTGAAGAGAACTTCAGTCTGAACCTAGGAGTGTTTGACCTGTGGCTTATCAGGATGTGAACATTGGGCAGCCTATTTTCTATTTTGTTTATTTACTTTATCTATCTATCTGTCTGTCCGTCCGTCCGTCCGTCCATCCATCCATCCATCCATCCTATTTATATATCTGTCTATCTAGCTAGCTAGCTATGAGATAGGGGCTTGCTATATGGCGCAGGCTGGCCTTGAACTCCTGAACTTACACAATCCTGCCTCAGCCTCCTAAGTAGTTGGGACTACATATAAGCGTCCTTTATAACAGCTCTCCTTCCTACCCTCCTCCCTCTTTATTTGTTTGTTGACTTATTTTAGAGACAGGGTCTGTCTGTGTTTTCCAGGCTGGAGTGAAGTAGCTATGTACAAGTGTGATCATAGCACACTACAGCCTTGACCTCCTGGGCTCAAGCAATCCTCCCACCTCAGACTCCAGAGTACCTGGGAGTACAAGTGCACATCACCACACCCAGCTGAGCAGCATTTTTAAAATTTTCTTTTCCTCCAAAGCTTTCTTATATCCTGATTTTCCCTCACTATCCTCATGTAATATTTGCATATATTCATACACACACACACACATGCAACTGCATTTTATACACATGTGTCTTGGGGTCCCGGAGAGCTCAGCGTGCTGGTGGGGTTGGTGGGGCTGGTGTCTCCAGAGTGGTGATGTGAAGAGCAGCACCTCGCTTAGAGGTAGAGCAGGTGTGTGCCATGAGCTCAGGTGATGGCAGTGGAGCTTACAGGAGATGGCTTGTGGCTTTTCCCTCCGTTGGTCTGTCACTCTCAGCTGCCACTGTCTGCCACTGTAGGGATTCCACTGTGGGTTCAACTTGTTCTTATGTCAGGCAATGTTGTTTGTGTATACTCATAATAAGCACTGGTTAAAGAGGGAACATTAATGCTGAAATACTAGTGAGGGGTCGGGTGTGGTAACGCTTGCCTGAAATCCCAGCACTTTGGAGGCCAAGGCGGACGGATCACTTAAGGCCAGCATGGTGAAAGCCATCCCTACTAAAAATATAAAAATTAGCAGGGCATGGAGGTGCATGCCTGTAGTCCCAGTTACTTGGGTGGCTGAGGCACAAGAGTCGCTTGAACCCGGAAGGTGGAGGTTGCAGTGAGCTGAGATCATGCCACTATGCTCCAGCCTGGGTGACAGAGCAAGATTCCATCTCAAAAAAAAAAAAAAAAAAAAAAAAGAAACAGGAAGAAATACTAGTAAGAAGCATTTGAAAATGATAATCATAGTCATACTAGAATGAGTGGGGAAGTGTTCTCTTCTCCAAAAAGAAGTTGTCTGGAGGGATTGGTGGAGAATTAGTATTAACTCTTCTTTAAATATCTGGTAAAATTTACCTGTAAAGCCATCTTGGTCTGGGCTTTTATTTCCTGGGAAGTTTTAAAGTTACTAATTCAATCTCTTTACTTGTTTCAGGTCTATTGAGATTTGTTATTTCTTCTTGATTTAGTTTTGGTCATTTGTGCCTTTCTAGAATTTTTTTTCATTTCGTACAAGTTATCTAATCTGTTGGCATACAGTTGCTCATAATATTACATTATAGTCACTTTTATCATTGTAAGGCTGATAATAATGTTGCCCCTTTCATTCCTGATTTTAGTAGTCTTTTCTTTTTTTCCTATGTCAGTCTACTAAAGATTTCTTAATTTTTTCTGTCTTGTTCAAGAACCAAATTATGTTGATTTTCTCTATTTTTCTATTCTCTGTTTTGTTACTGTAATCTTTGTTATTTCCTTCTTTTTTTCTTGATTTTGTTTTAATTTATTCCTTTTGGTCCAGTGTCTTATTATAGAAGATTAGGTTATTAATTTGATATCTTTCTTAATGTAGGCTTTTACAGCTATAAATTTCCTTCAGAGTATTCCTGTAGCTGTATCCCATAAGTTTTGGTATGTTTTGCTTTTATTTGCCTTCATCTCAGAGTGTTTTCTAGATTTCCTTTTGGGGGAGAAATTTCCTTGTTATTCCATCTTTGACCCATGGGTTGTTCTTTTTTTGTTTGAGGGTGTTTTGTTTTGTTTTTGAGATGAGGTCTCACTATATTGCCCAGACTGGTCTTGAACTCCTAGGCTTAAGCCAACCTCCCACCTTGGCCCCCTAAAGTGCTGAGATTACAGGTGTCAGCCACCACACCCAGCCGAATCCATGTTTTTTTTAAATGTGTATGTTGTTTATTGCTTACATATTTGTCAATTTTTGAATTCCCCATTTTCTTTCTGTTATGATTTCTAGTGTTATTGTATTTTAATCATAGGGTATATATTGGGTGATTTCAATTATTTTGTTTCATGGCCTGGCATATGGTCTATCCTTCAGAATGCCATGTTCTACTGTTGTAGACTAGAGTGTTCTATAGAGGTCCATCTGTTAGGTTTATTTGGCTTCTACTGTGTTTAAGTCTTCTATTTCCTTGTCGATCCTCTGCCTTGTTGTTTTATCTATTATTGAATGTGGAGTATTATGGTATCCAGCTATTATTCTTAAGTTGTCTGTTTTTCCTTTCAATTCTGTCAGTTTTTGCTTCATGTATTTTGGAAGTTTATTGTTGGATGTATATATGTGTGTAACTGTTCATTCTTTCTGATGGAATGAACTCTTTGTCATTAGTAAATGTTTTTTATTATCCCTTGTAACTTTTTTTTGTTCTGAAGTCTGTTTTGTCTGGTATTAGTATGGTCGCACCAGTTTTCTTATGACTGTTGTTTGTATATCTTTTTCCATGTTTTTTACTTTCAACCTATTGCTATCTTTGATTCTAAATTATTTTCTATACATAGCATATAGTTAAATCTTGTTCTCTCATCCATTCTGACAGTCTCTGCCTTTTGTTCATTTCACTCTTATGTAATCTTATTGATGTAGTTTGATTGGCATTTACCACCTTACTTTTTGTTTCCTATATGTCTCATCTTTTTTTCTTCCTCTATTCCTCCTATACTGCTTTAAGTTATTTTCTTAATGGTTGCTCTCAAGCTTAACACACATAACTTGTCAGAATCTACTTAAGATTTCCACTAAATTCTAGTGTGAGATATATACATAATTTTACTCCAATATAGCTGTTTTCTCTTTTTTTATGCTCTCCTTGTTATACACATTAGCTCTCTATGTTACAAACCTAACAATACATTGTTATAATTGTTACTTTGTGTCATTTTATGTCTTTTAAATAATTTGAAAGAAGAGATGAGAACAAGCATCTATTTATAGCATGTCTTGTATTAGCCTTCTAATTTACCTTTTCTAGTTCTCTTCATTTGTTCCTGTGGATTTGAGTTACCATCTGGTACCATTCTCTTTGCCTAGTACAGCTTTGCTCCCACTCACCTCCTCTGTGTTGTCATCATGAAATAAATTACATTTCTACATGTTATTGGGCCAGTGGCACAATTACTTATGCATATATTTGTTTTAAACAATTGCCTTTTAAGTTAATTAAGAGAAGAAGGAAGAAGAAATGTACATTTACACTATCTTTTATCATTATGCAGTTATCTTTCCTGGAGCTCTTTGTTCATGCAGATTCAAATTACTGTCTGGGGTTACTTGCTTTCAACCTAAAGAAATTCCTTTTGTATTTCTTAAGTGAGTCTACTAGCAACAGTCTTTCAGTTTTTGTTTACCTAGGAAGGTCTTTATTTAGTCTTAACTTCTGAGAGATAGTTTTGCTGGATATAAAATTCTTGGTTCACAGTCTTTTTAAATAAATTTCAGCATATCAAATATGTCATCCCATTGTCTTCTGGCTTTCATTGTTTCTGATGAGAAGTCAGTTGTTAATCTTAATAGGGTTATCTTATAAATGATGAGTCATTTGTCTGTTACTATTTTCCTTGGTTTGGCTGTCAGCATTTTTACCATGATGTGCCTGTTTTTTGGTCTCTTTGAATTTATCCTATTTGGAGTTTGTTGTAATTCCTGAGTGTATAGATTAACTTTTTCAATAACTTTAGTACATTTTCAGCCATTATTCTTTGGATTTTTGTTTCTGCTCATTTCTCTCTCTCTCTCTCTCTCTCTCCTTTCCTGTGGTACTCCTAATGTGTATGTTGGTGTGATTAATGATGTCTTGTGTTTTTTATCTAAGGCTCTACTTGTTTCTCTTCAATCATTTTTCTGTTACTCAGAGTGCACAGTCTTTATCAATCTATAAGTTTGCTAAATCTCTCTTATGTCAGTTTAGATCTACTGTTAAGCTCTAGTGAATTTTTTATTTTGGTTATTGTATTTTCAACACCAGGCATTCCATTTGGTTTTTTCACAGATAATTCTATTTCTTTATTGATCTACTGTTAAGCTCTAGTGAATTTTTTATTTTGGTTATTGTATTTTCAATACCAGGCATTCCATTTGGTTTTTTCACAGATAATTCTATTTCTTTATTGATATTCTCTGTTTGATGCAACAATGCCATTTTACCTTGCTTTGCTTCTTTAATCATTGTTTCCTTGATTTCTTTGAACATACTTGTAATGGCTATTGTGAAGTTTTTGTTAAGCTGGATATCTGGGCCCTCCCACAGGTAGTTTCTATTGCCTGCTTTATTTCCTGTTTATGTGTCACACTTTCCTTTGCTTGTCTCATTTTTTGTTACTGAAAACTGGACATTTTGATAATATATTGTATTGACTCCTCTAGAGACGGATTTTCTCCTCCTCCCCAGAACTTCTTGTTGTTTTCTCATTTATTTAGTAGCTTCGTTGGACTATTTTATTAAAGTCTGTTTTCCTTGCAATGTGAAGCCTCTGATGTCACTCCTCAGAGGGCACAGCCTTGGATATGGCACAGTCACCCTGGGATGGCAGTGATTTTAGCAGAGCTCTCTTTGTTTCTTTGCTTCATATTTCTGTCAAGCTGTCTGCCTTAGTTGGTATCACACCCAGCTGTTAGTTTCCACTAATTGCTGGCTAATTGCTTTATTGTTTTCCTCTATGCCTGGGGCATAAATCACTACAGAGTCTGATCCAACTAAATTCAGGCCCCTTTGCAGGGGTCATTTTTGATCTAGCCTTTGAGGTTTGTTCTGACCCCAGAAAGGTTCTTCTTAACTGTCTCTTTCTCTGATTCTCTGTAAAATTGCTGACCTAGAGTTAAGCTTGTCACTCTCAAAGAGCTACTAGCCTCCTCTCAATTTCTTACTACCAAAATTTCTACAGTTTTTGAAAGCACCCTTACACTTGAGCTTCCTCACATACTGTTCTAAATAAAGTAAGTTTTCGGTAGCAGAGCTTTGGAACTCTTTGTTCTTATGGCCTGCCTGTACACTCTGGGCAAAATCTCTGAGTTGATGCTCCACAGCTGGAGTGGGGACATTAGCTCACTTCTCTGAGTGAGCCCTCCTCAACTTTATGGGCAGGATGGGCAGGACACTGGGTAGAGGTAGTAGCCGCTGGTCTTTTTAGCTTGCCTCTCCTTACATGGAATTTCCACCCTGTGAATGAACTGGGCTAGAAGCAGTTGGGACCATGCTATCATTAGCCTGCCATTCCTCGGATAGATCTTCTGCCCTAAGAGTGGGGGTGAGGAAGGGGTAGAACAAGGAAGGCCAAGTGGTAATAGGAAGCCTATGGCCTCTTGACTGCATTCACCTGTAATTTAACCTCTGCAACAGGGACGTGCTGTGCTTGCCTTTCACTGGAGATGCCATAGGCTTTGTTGGGAAGTGGGGAGAGAGGAAACTCTTGTTTTTTTGCCACACCCACTCAGTGTAGATCTTCCCTGTGCTGAACTGGGGAAGGGAGAGGGAAGGAGTGGGTTGTGGCTCAAGTGCCACAGACTGTCACTGTTCTTACAATGGAAGTAAGAGATTTTAATAGATTTTCTTGAAACAAGATATTTATTAATCTGCTGAAATTCCCTTGGACAATTTTCAGAGACTCAAAATGGTTACTCTTTTACATAATTTCAGCAATTATGGTTGTTTTCCTGGCAAGTGAGTCTGTGGAACTTCTCAGCTCACTATTCTTTGAGTCTCCAATTTTTTTTTTTTTTTTTTTTTTGAGACAGAGTCTCACTCAGTCACCCAGGATGGAGTGTAGTGGCGTGATCACGGCTCACTGCAAGCTCCACCTCCTGGGTTCACGCCATTTTCCTGCCTCAGCCTCCTGAGTGGCTGGGACTACAGGCGCCCGCCACCACACCCGGCTAATTTTTTTGTATTTTTAGTAGAGATGGGGTTTCACCCTGTTAGCCAGGATGGTCTCGATCTCCTGACCTCGTGATCCGCCTGTCTTGGCCTCCCATAGTGCTGGGATTACAGGCATGAGCCACCGCACCCGGCCGTGAGTCTCCTATATTATATTTTAACTGTGTTAAAGTTTCAAACACAATATATATGTGGACAAGTCATGTTTTTCTTACTAATTGATTGAAACTAAATTATACAGCAAACCTTTCTTTTAAATGAGCAAAAGAAAGAAAATTATCTTTATATTCTATAAATAACATTAAAGATTGTTTTGGATTTTATTATATATCTTTTAAAAATAGAGACAGGGTCTCACTATATTGACCAGTCTGGTCTCAAACTCCTGAGCAAATGAAGCAATCCTCTTGCCTTAGCCTCCCAGGTAGCTGAAACTATAGGCACATACCACTATACCTGTAATTTTATTATACAATTTTTAATAATATGCTTGCCTCAAATGTTTTATTTAAAATATCTAGCATATCAGGCCTGTGATTTTTTGGATATTGTTACTTAGAAGTTAAATTTTTTAAAAAATGAATTAATTGAAGTCCAGTTTAAAATCAATATTAAATAAATAATAGAACATGTGGAGTGCAGGTATTTTAAGAATCCTTAGGGTGGGACTTGAAGGACTTGGACTGAAGTGTGCAAGACATTGATTTGGTCCTAGCAATGAAATGAGACATGTGAGGACTGCACAGCTGTGTGACTCAAGATGTCACTTTCAGCTAGCAGGACAGGTGGCACTAGACCCTGGGTCTCCTGACCAGCATCCAACTGCATCAAGAGTCACTAAAGCCAAAATGTTCCAGGCATAATGACAGCAGACAGAATCTGTAGCCTAAGACTTCCAGGGCATTCAGCTGGAGTCTGATCAAGGTTCGCCATTTGCTGTTTTGTCTGTTTGAGCTAAAAATCACCAAGAAGACCATGTGTGACCAAATTGCCACCCTGCAGCCAACCTTTGCCAGGATTTCTGCCTCTCAGAGGATGAATGGTGATAGACTGGTTTGGAAAATTTTTCTGTAAGGTATATTATAGGAAACAAAATTGTAAAGGTATTTGCAGTATTACCATTTCTAAGCTTGTAAATTTTTTTAAAATTACTTTTATTTGTATAACCAAAATTAGATGGGTTTCTGCCAGAGTAGCATTCCTTCTATGAGGACTCTACATTTTTATTATTAACACTCTATTTTACTGTATTTGCTTTCCTGCTGTGGGTATTTACTATGTTGAGAATAACAGACTTAATTAAGGTCATTTTTAATCAAAACAAGACCATGTTTCTCCTTATCTGCATAAAAGGCACTATCAGGCCTTTAGGGAGGATGGGCACCTGTTCTCCTAACCCTTTGGCTTCTGTCCATTTCATGGTGGCAAGGTGTCATCATAAAGTCCAGTCGATCCATCTCCATTATCTCTGGTTAACCAGGGGCCTCACATTCACAGCTAAGTTTGTCATGTTTCCATTTGTCAGCCCTGTAGAAATATTTTAAACGCAGAAATCTGATGTTATAATGCATTTAACAATGATCATTTATCCAAAATCTATGAGGAATGTAAACAAATCAATGAGAATAAAACAAATAACCCCACTAAAAACTGGGCAAAGGACATGAACAAACACTTCTCAAAAGAAGACTTACAAGTGACCAACAAACATAGGAAAAAATGCTCAACATCACTAACCATAAGAGAAATGCAAATCAAAACCACAGTGACCACCTCACAGCAGTCAAAACAGCTATTATTAAAAAGACAAAAAATAACAGATATTGACGAGGCTGCAGAGAAAAGGGAACACTTCCGGGCATGGTGGCGGGCGCCTGTAGTCCCAGCTACTCGGGAGGCTGAGGCAGGAGAATGGCATGAACCCGGGAGGCGGAGCTTGCAGTGAGCCAAGATTGCGCCACGGCACTCCAGCCTGGGCGACAGAGTGAGACTCTGTCTGAAAAAAAAAAAAAGAAAAAAAAAGGAAAAGAAAAGGGAACACTTACACACTCTTGGTGGAAATGCAAGTTAGTTCAGCCACTATAGAATGCAGTTTGGAGATTTCTCAAAGAACTGAAAATAGAACTACCATTCCACCCAGCAATCCCACTACTGGATATATGCCCAAAGGAAAATAAATCAGTCTACCAAAAAGACACTTGCACCTGTATATTTATTGTAGCACTTGTTCACAATAGCAAAGACATGGAATCAACCTAGATGTCCATCCGTAGTGGATGAAGAAAATGTGGTACATATGCACCATGAAGTACTACACAGCTGTGAAAAAGAATGAAATCATGTCCTTTGCAGAAACATGGATGCAGCCGGAGGCCATTATTCTAAGTGAATTAATGCAGAAACAGAAAAAGTAAATATAAGTATTTTCTCACTTATACATGGAAGCTAAGCACTGGATACTCATGGACATAGAAATGGGAACAATAGAAACTGGGGACTCCAAAAGGAAGGAAGGAGAGAGGTGGGAAAGGGCTGAAAAACTTCCTATCGGGTATTATGCTCACTGTCTTGGAGACAAGATCAATAGAAGCACAAGCCCCAGCAGCATGCAGTATAACCTTGTATCAAACCTGCACATGTACCCCCGAACCTGATACTAAAAGTAAAAAAGAACTTGATCGTATCAGACAGTTTAGTAGGGGTTAGAATTTCAACCCAGGATATCTGACTGCAAATCCACATCCTTCCCAAAGCAGTATATTGGTTGCTTTGGGAATCATCATTGGTGGTGGGATGGGGGGAATTTTATCAGACATCATTCTTAAACCATGGCATTTAATTTTTTTTTTTTTTTTTTTTTTTGAGATGGAGTCTCACTCTGTCACCCAGGCTGGAGTGGAGTGGCACAATCTCAGCTCATTGCAACCTCCGCCTCCCGGGTTCAAGGAATTTCTAACTAATTTTTGTATTTTTAGTAGAGTCTGGGTTTCAACATATTGGCCAGGCTGGTCTCGAACTTCTGACCTTAAGTGATCTGCCCACCTTGGCCTCCCAAAGTGTTAAGATTACAGGTGTGAGCCACTGTGCCCGGCCTAATTTTTTATTTAAAAAATAAAAAGAAGAAAAACTAGAAATTAAAAAACAAATAAAAATTTGTCATTTCAGTACTTTTTCAAGTCACAAATAAGTAAAATATTGAACTAAGCAATCCCTCCAGGCACATCATGGCTTTCAGCATTGGAACAGGTTCCAAGGAATCCTATTGGAGAGGACATTTAATGGGAGGACATCGCTATATGTTTTCAGTCAGAAAGAAAAGAAAGGCTATGGACATAACAAATTTAAAACAGTGAAAAAGAAAAGTGTTGAGGGAGCTTTTATTCTAGAAAACTCTGATTTTTATAAATATTTAAGTTTTTAAAGTACCTTTTTATACTCTATTACAGAAGCAGAAACTTCGTCTTTTTAGGGCCCAAGATAAGGAAAAGGATAAAAGACAATAACCTTAAATTTCCAGAACACAGGTTTACTTTAACATAAAGGAAAATTGCCTGGTGGTACAGTTTGTTTCTAGGACCATCTTCCCTGAGGAGTGAAGAAGTTCTTTCCTGATGGTCCACTTAAATGGTCTCTATGCACTTCCAGAGCTTCCTAGCTTCCCTGGTCTCAGAGAAGTAAAATTCATTCCTCGAGCCTTTTAAATGGGACTTGTTGATCAGGAGCCTTCTGAAGGGTGGTCCTCGGATCGGCCACATTTAGAGTTGGACTGATGCAGTGGTGAGGAACAGGCTCTGGAGTCAGTCTTCCTAGTTCAGGTCCTGGCATTGCCAGTTACTGCTGTGTGACTTTGGGCAAATTACTTAACCTTTCTGTGCCTCTATTCTCTCACCTGTGAGATTGGGATAATAACTAGAATTCATCTCATGATAGTTGTAATTATTAAATGGCCTACTTGAATGAGTTAGAGTGCCCTGGAGCACTGCCTGGCCCACAGGAAGCGCCATCTCAGTGTTAGTTGTTGTCAGTATTTAGGTTAGGCACCCCTCCTGTGTGCTCCTGCAGCACATCCGTCACTGGTGCCTTCACCCACTCCACGCTGAGCACGCTGCTGGGTGCCACGCCAAGTTTCACAGGCCTCACGACCCCGCTAGCTCTTGCTAGAGATGTGAAGCAGGGACAGCAGGGACAAGGGCGGTTCCTGGCTCTCTTTGTCTCCTGCAGTGCATCGTGGTGGCCGGCACATAGTAAGTGCTTAGCATTTGCTGCCTGCAGCCCTGGAGCTGACATCAAAGAGACTCAACCTCAGGCTGGAATTTTCTAAAACACTCGAGCACTGGAGAGCCATGAATTCTTGTCTTCACAGCATCTGTGTGTCAGGCTAGTCTTAAATGCTGAAGATGAAAACGGAGTATAGTTATATAGGTCTGATGTCAAGGTTGACTTTGGACTAGCTTGGATTTTTGGGCCATACTTTCTCTGATATATGGCTTAGTATATGCTCCAGTATAAAACTAAAACCCTGGAATGTGCCTTGACTTTATCACAACTTTTGAAGAAATGAATGATTTGGCCAAGCTAAAGGTCTTGGAGCCACCTGGACACATCCTGCAGTTTATAAGCAAGACAGAGAGGAGCTACAGAGATGACAGTATGTGCCGCTTAGGACGGGTGCAGGCCTGCTGCCCTAACAGCTATGGGAATAACGGCCCCAGGGGTGCGGTCACTTGGCAACAACCTGGACCATCATGAGCACCACCTATGTGTGCCATATACTGCGTGTGTGCAAGAATGCGTGACATTTGCCTGGATTAAGGAGCTAATGAAACTGGGGTTTCAGTCTCTCAAGGGGCAGTTACAATTTTTATGGGGTTAAAAACTGAGAACTAGAATAGCAGTATCTAACTCCTGAGTTAATAAACATCTCGAGCCTCATTTTCTGTGGTGTACCCAGAAATAAGATGAATTACGAAAGTTATTCAGCCTTCCATTTTGGGGATGAAAGTGAAAATTGTGATATATTTAAAAAGCAAAATAAAATATTTTCCTGAGTAACTACATCAAGCATTTTAAACAGTAAAATATCCAGTGTGTTTTTCTATAGGAAAAACATGTTTCACCTGATAATATGCAGATTTCTATCCCCCTTCAACACCCTCCCACCCAGAAGATGTACTGGCAGTTTTCTGAAGGCACTCTCAGTATGCCTTGTTGATAAAGAAACATTTGGGGGCGTGCCAGCAGCCACCAGGCAGGCAGGACACATGTGGCAGGAGTAGGTGCTGCTTCCAGAATGCTCAAGGGCCAGGACCCTTCCTGGCATCTGGCTCTCTCAAGGAACAGGAAGGCCGAGGCGGGGACAGAGAGAAAGCGGGGCCAGGCTCATAGGGACGGAGGCTTGGCGTCTTCATCATTCTGTCTTTACAAGAAGTCTGCTCCTGGCACTTGAGTTTGTCCAGAGCGCAGAATTAGAGTGTTCTCTTAACATATGGTGTCCAGAAATCCTGAAAGACTTCTTGAGTTTTTAAGAAGGATGCCAAATATTCTAGAAATAGTGTCTCAACACTAGAGCCTCTGTTTTAATGAGACAGGGTCTCATTCTGTTGTGCAAGCTGGGGTGCATTGGCACAATCACAGCTCACTGCACTCTCGACCTCCTGGGCTCAAGTGATCCTCCTGCTTCAGCCTCCGGAGTAACTGGGATGACAGGCCTATGCCACCACACCTGGCTAATTTTTAAATTTTTTTTGAAGATGTGGTCTCACTGTGTTGCCCAGGCTTGTCTCAAACTCCTGGCCTCAAGCAGTCCTCCTATCTTGGCCTCCCAAAGTGTTGGGGTTACAGGTGTGAGCCACTGTGTCCAGCCCAGGGTCTCTGTTAACATAAGCCAGCTAGCTTTGCCATTCTTGGGGACCTTAACGACACTGTTAACCCCTGCTGGTTCTCCTGAAAGGTGCAGGTAGATCAATCATGACCCATCAGCACAGAGCGGAGGACAGCAGGAAGCACCTGCCATGCCCAGGAGGACAGTGTTACTGCTCTACCTACATGTGCACACAAACTCTGTTTGTGTTGAGGTTGAGTACTGTTCTTTAAAATCATTGTTGAATGACAATTAGCAAAAACAAGAGCCCTCACATGTCCTCGTGGTGGTATGCTGGCACCACGATTTCTCCAAGCCCCCGGCTTGCTCATTTCATCCAGGTGAGGAGTCTGGAGTAGAGCAGGGCTTCTGAAATGGTGACATGCACATCACTCTCCTGGGCATCTGGTTAACATGCAGGCTCCAGTTCCCCAGGTCTGGGCGGGGCTCAAGATCGCATTTCTCATAAGCTCCCAGGGGATGCTGCTGCTGGTGGTCTCTGGACCACACTCTGAGGAGCGAGGGTTGGATGCGTTATTTCATCCTCCTGACCACCCTGTGAAGTAAGTATTCTCAGCCTCATTTTATAGATGAGGAAACGCACCCAGCTCAACCTAACACAGGTGGCAGGGTTGGAACCCAACGTTGGTTCTAACTGGCCTCTATAAAAACTTTATACTGCCTCCCATTTTCTTCTGGGGCTTGGAAGGGTAGCTGCAATTTCAGGCACAAACCCACTTAGGAGGTAGCTTAGCCATTATGAAAATCTATACCACCATAAATGTGGACTCATAAGTAATTCCTTTTTTCCGCTTAGTAGCATAGATAATGTGTAACATAAACTCAAATCTGCTAATTCAGGGAGTCTTTTTGCATATTAGGAAGCTATTTTAAAGCTGTTTAATCTGAACTAATTTATTTAATACATTTGTAATCCGCATTATTGGCTTGCTAGCTCCATGGGGTCACACACTTTTATATTTGTTAACATTCCTACCAGACGACAGGGCTGGTGGGAGCACACGCAGAGCATTTGCGTTTCTACATAAAGCTGTCTCTGTGCTGCGTTTTTCTAAGTTCCAAGGATACGCTAGAAGATTATTCCATGTTATAGACTAATGTCCACAAATATCAAACTATTTCCATGTTTTGAGTCTGTGGGAACATAAAGTTTGTGTTCTTTTAAAATCCTCATTCATGACTTTAAGCATAACAAACTGACTTAAAATGTACTGTTTCTAAAGGCCAAATTCCAGGGATTAATTTTTATGTGGAAAATTTCATCTCAGAGCAAAATTTTATAGCATAGTCGTAAACCTCAAAGAATGGGAATTTGTAATGGGCAGAGCCATCGATTCTTAACAAGAGCTGCATTAACAGGCAGACGAGACACATAAAATGGCTCCAAGAGCCTCATGGCAACATGTGGAGATGTAGAATCTTTTACATGGATTTGCAAGTAAACACATCCTCTTAGTGCCCCAAAAAATCGGGTAATCAGGCTAAAAAAATCAAAGTAAGTCATCATCAGTCCACTGGCATCCTTTGGTTAGTTTCAGTGGTTGCTACATTTGTTGACTGTTGGCTAATTAATTCTGAGCTTGCTACCACTGAGCAAAACAATGAGTGGGTGGCCGGATGGGAGTGTCAGAGTCAGACTATCCCGGCTCCAACTCCTAGCTGGCCTCTCACCAGCAGTTTGCCCTTGGACAAAAGACTCACCCTCTCTGAGCCTCAGTTTCCCCATCTGTAAAGTGGTAACAAGAAAAATGTGCCTCACAGGGTTGGCATGAATATAAGAGATATATAGTGCTTGAAAGTGCTTTGCATATAGCAGTAAACCTTTATGAATGTTTACAAATGCTAACTTTATGCTGCAGAACCATTGAAAAGGTATTTCTAATTCTTTTTTTCTTATTATTTTATTTTACTTTAAGTTCTGGGATACATGTGCTGTATGTGCAGGTTTGTTACATAGGTATACATGTGTCATAGTGGTTTGCTGCACCTCTCAACCCATTATCTAGGTTTTAAGCCCTGTATGCATTAGTTATTTGTCCTATTGCCCTTCCTCCCCTTGCCTCCCCCAGCCCCCAACAGGCCCCACTGTGTGATGTTCCCCTCCTTGTGTCCATGTGTTCTCATTGTTCAACTCCCACTTATGAGTGAGAACATGTGGTGTTTGGTTTTCTGTTCCTGTGTTAGTTTGCTGAGGATGATGGTTTCCAGCTTCATCCATGTCTGTGCAAAGGACATGAACTCATTCTTTTTTATGGCTGCATAGTATTCCATGGTGTATATGTGCCACATTTTCTTTACCTGGTCTATCACTGATGGGTGTTCGGGTTCTTTCCAAGTCTTTGCTATTGTAAATAATGTTGCAATAAACATACGTGTGCATGTGTCTTTATAGTAGAATGATTTATAATCCTTTGGGTATATACCCAGTAATGGGACTGCTGGGCCAAATGGTATTTTTGGTTCTAGATCCTTGAGGAATTGCCACACTGTCTTCCACAGTGGTTGAACTAATTTACACTCCCACCAACAGTGTAAAAGAAAAAACAACCCCATCAAAAAGTGGATGAAGAATATGAACAGACACTTCTCAAAAGAAGACATTTATGCAGCCAACAAACATATGAAAAAAAAAAAAAGCTCATCATCACTCATCATTAGAGAAATGCAAATCAAAACCACAATGAGATACCATCTCACGCCAGTTAGAACGGCGATCACTATTTCTAATTCTTCAAGTGATCTTTATCTGCGAGAATTTCTGTTGTGAGTGAAGCACCCGCGGTGGGGCAGGCTGTGGAGGGGGAGGCAACTGGAGGGGGAGGCAGCGGGGCATACCGAGAAGCCCTGGGGGTGAGAGCTGGGGCTGGGACCTGGGCTGGGTGAGATGCTAACTGGGCTTAGAGATGACAGTTACAGATTCTGGGCGAGCAGAGCCTCCCTTTACCACTCAGAAATTTTTTTCTGAAGCTAATGAGCTCTGAGTAGCCGCTGAGCTACTAACTTACCATACTTGGAGTGGCTGGATGAGAGCTGAAATCTCAGCTGATCACCTCCAATCAAATCCCTGGCTTAGGCTGCCTCTTTTTGGCCATTCAGGACAGCAAGGTTCCAGCCACCTTAGCTTCTCCTATGCAGGTCTCAACTGGTAGCCGATCCTTAAAGCCCGTTTGGTTCCTTAAATAAGCAACTACCTGCAGATGGAACCTGAGACGAGCTCAGCCACACAGAAACGCTTATCTGTAGGACTTCACTGAAGGTCCAGTGCGTTTCCTCCTAAGGACTGTAAACGCTCAGGTAAATATTTGTCAGATGGATTAATGAACTGAAGACCTTTATAGAGGAAACCTTGAAGAGATATCGTTAGAATCTCAAGTCCTTGTTGCTACCAACAACTCTTGTGAAAGTCTTTGGTGTCCCTGCCTTGCTCCATTTTCAAGGCCCCTGCTGCACACACAGATGCCTCCTAAGCTCTGAGATGCGTTGGTGACTGCACAAAACTCATATTAGACGTGATAGCCATCAGAGTACTTACGTGAAAGATGCGATGTAAAGATGATGAGGGAGGAGAGAGTGCCGAATGCAAATGTTTTTACACTTTCATATTTGTGTGTTCCACAGACTTCCCTCTCCCATGCCCTTCTGCTATGTGTGCTGCCATTTTCTCTGAATGAAGGGAAAAGAAATATTGGCAGCTCTCAGCTAAAATTCCCAGTGATGGACGTGCTGTCATGCAGCCAGGGTGAGCTGTGTATCAGGGCATGAACCCTGAGTCACGACTTGACCTCGGAACTTCCTTTCTGAAGCACCATCTTCAAGTGGTGCTTAAAAGGAATAAAAACAAAACTCAAGAGCACTATCTAGTACATCCGCCCAGACAGCCCCTCAGAGGCGCTGGGAGAGGCCCTGTGCCTGTGTTTAAGCCACACATCCCAAGACAGACTCTACACCATGTCCCCAGACACCCACAGGAGCGCTCATTATGCGTGTGTGTGTGCGTGTGTGTGTGTGTGTGTGTGTGTGTGTTAGGTGTGGGCAATGTTTTCAAAGTAAACTTGTATTCATAAAGTCAAAAGTTTTGAAAGTGGTTTTTAAACAGGTTGAACTGTGAGAACATTAAACTGAGTGGGCAAGGAGCTTAATTAAGATCGGCTCCATGGCCGGGCGTGGTGGCTCACACCTGTAATCCCAGAACTCTGAGAAGCCGAAGCTGGTGGGTCGCTTGAAGTCAGGAGTTCCAGGACAGCCTGGCCAACATGGTGAAACCCCATCTCTACTAAAAATACAAAAATTACAAAAATTAGCCCGGCATGTTGGCGCACGCCTGTAATCCCAGCTACTCGGGAAGCTGAGGTGGGAGAATCACTTGAACCGGGGAGACAGAGGTTGCAGTAATCAGAAATTTCGCCACTGCACTCTAGCCTGGGCGACACAGCAAGACTGCATCCAAAAAAAGAAAAAAGAAAAGAAAAAGATTGGCTCCCATGGCCAAGATGCCCAGTGACAGGGAAGCTAGCCAAACACAGTAAGTGTGTTGAGACACTGGGGAATAGCTGATGGCCGTTAAATGAAAGAAAAAAATGTTGATTTTCTTTTTTTATATATGAAATATTCATTTTACACCATGTTAAATCCCAGAGCGGGCTATTTATAACCATTTCAAAATGCAAATATGTTCATTAGCAAAGGAGAGAAGAACTTTTCCAGTTCCATGAAGTTCACCAAAGCCCTAATTTTTTTTTTTTTTTTTTTTTTTTTTTTTTTTTTTTTTTTGAGACGGAGTCTCACTCTGTCGCCCAGGCTGGAGTGAAGTGGCCCTATCTTGGCTCATGGCAACTTCTACCTCCCAGTTGCAAGCAATTCTCCTGCCTCAGCCTCCTGAGTAGCTGGGATCACAGGCGTGTGCCACCACACCTGGCTAATTTTTGTATTTTTAGTAGAGACGGGTTTCGCCATGTTGACCAGGCTGGTCTTGAACTCCTGACCTCAGGTGATCCGCCCACCTCGGCCTCCGAAAGTGCTAGGATTACAGGCTTGAGCCACCGTGCCTGCCCCACAAAGCCCTAA